>NC_000015.10:26610207-26913237 GCF_000001405.40 Homo sapiens | reverse complement strand
ACAACACAAAAGTCTCACATTCAGGCAAGGAGAGGATTTTTTTTTTTTTTTTTTTGAGACAGAGTCTTGCTCTGTTGCCCAGGCTGGAGTGCAGTGGCGCAATCTTGCCACACCACAATCTCCACTCCCGGGTTCAAGCAATTCTCCTGCCTCAGCCTCCTGAGTAGCTGGGATTATAGACGCCTGACACCACACCTGGCTAATTTCTGTATTTTTAGTAGAAATCATGGTTTCACCATGTTGGCCAGGCTGGTCTCAAACTCCCGACCTCAGGTGATCTGCCAGCCTCGACTTCCCAAGGTGCTGGGATTACAGGCGTGAGCCACTGCATCTGGCTGGGAGAGGAATTTTTAAATGATTTTCCACACATATTCACAGAATAAGAAGATAATTATAAACATCGACCACTTCACTTATGATTTCACCTTCATTTAGCCCTGAGTTTTTCTACATGTACATATATTTTCTTTTCATTCTTGGTATATAAAAGTCAGTCTTGTTTATACCTAACACTAGAACAGAAGTACTTCCCCCATCACCAAAATCTTTATATAATCATGACATTGAAAGGTTAAATATTTGATTCTAGCATCCATGTGTACGTGTGTGTTTCTGTCTGTATGTGTAATTATCAATTAGCTGTTGCTGGACTTTTATATTATTTTACCTGATAAATAACCTGCAATTGACCTCTTCAATCATAAATTATGAAAAAGGGCTGTTATTAGAGACTATGAAATTGGTAAGGTAAATAAAGAAAAAACTTATTGGAATTAGGAAAATTAGAACTTTTTAAAAAGTCACCTATAAGGATGGCATTCAGCCAACACAAAGGAAAACAGGTTACTTTATATGGTTGTTAGCAAATTTGTCAAGTGATGCAGTACTGGAACAGAGAATCTCAACGGGTCAGATGTGTTCTTGAGGACAAAATCACAATGATCTGAAAATATCTAGAATTTCCTTAAGAAGGAAGACTTTAGTCAGGAAATAGGAAGTATATACAAAGCTGTAAGATTAGATCCATAGCAATAAATGTGAAGATGAGCACACGAGGAAACAGCACTGTGGGAGTTTAGAGAACACTTCTGATCAGGAGAGGCATGCTTTGCGATCGCCTGTGGCCTTGGCTGTAACAGGAACACGCGGGGCTCACACGGGAGCAGTCTGAGGTGGGGTGGAGGGGAGGGCGTTTCAAGTGACCTGACTGTCTTAGCCCAGCTGTGCTACTGAAGACCTCAACCAGCAGCCCTGGCTTTACTCTTTGAGTCTTCTGACAAAGATGCTAACAACACTATAACCCCACACAGTCTATGCCATCGTCAGGGTGGATATGGAGATGGTTGTCTTCTCTCCAGACACTGCCATGTCTGCCAGACCCCGGCAGGCACTCAGTTTCCCACTGGGTCTGGAAGCAGCCTAGAAGTCAGTCTACGGGCTGAATTCCTGACAACTTGGAGAGTCCGAGTTACCCCCAACCCATTGCTCTGTGCTGGCATCCAGCTCCAATCCACCAGGCCATTGCAGGCACCAGACGTGACGTTTCTGTTGCATGCACCTACTCTCAGAGCAGACCCCAGGGAAACCTCATCCCAAAGGCCCCGTGAGGCACTCTGCCAGCTCCTGGTTCATTCCTCCTCCTCTCCTGGCCAATACCGTGTGTTTATAAAAGGGACCAGAGCCGCTCCTTCTGCCATGGTGGGCTTCATTCTAGCTGTTTGGCCCTGAGAACTGCCCACCTTCCGAAAATTACTGCACTGACAATGTTGAAAGATGGCATTCTGACAAGGAATGCATACCAAGGAGCTGGCTTTTAGCATATTGCAGGAGTGTGTGTGTTTGTGTGTGTGTGTGTGTGTGTGTGTGCATGCAGCAAGGGTGGGGGCAGGGAGGGTACACAAACACAGGTGGACAGCATTTAGCTGGATCTAAAAAAAGGCACTTTTAAAGAAAAAATAACTCCAGTAAAAATGTAAAAAAGACAGTTTTTCTACAATTACCATCTCAATAAATGCTATTATTAGAGCCTTGTGACTTCTCCCAATTTTATAGAGCCCCTTAGAATTCTAAACCTCAGGAAAGTATACTTCATCTATGATAGTGTCTCTCCTCTAACACATGAATGTATTATTCAGATAAATCTCTCAATAAGAACTGTTTCAGCCTCAGTCAGGAAATAAATTTAAATTTTCGATCCCTCTAAACATTTCAAAAATGGCCTATGCTTTTATAATACTCAAAAAGTATCTCTCAGTGAAAGAAAGCCTTCTATTCATGGGGCTCTTGAAATGTGGAATGCTTTGATGTGGAACCAGCCGCCTCCACACAGAGCTGAGATCAAGGCCTCTGTGGAGTGGGTGACTGTCATAGCGCAAGAGAGACAGCTAGGTCACCTGCTTGAAACCCTCACTTTTTCGATAAAGAAAATCAAGCCCAAAAGGTTAAGAAACTTGACTGTGGAAAGACTTCACTGAATTACTGGAAGACCCAGGAATCCAGTATTTTTACAAAGGTCCAATTTCTGTTTTACTTCCAATTTCTGTTAAGACATTCAAGCATTCACTTACTGAAGCATAATGTCCCATTTTTGAAGAACATCTTGATTTTAGGATAAGGAAATGGGATTTTTTTTTTTTTTTTGATGGAGTCTCGTTCTGTCACCCAGGCTGGAGTGCAGTGGCATGATCTTGGCTCACTGCAACCTCCACCTCCCAGGTTCAAGCTCTTTTCCTGCCCCAGCCTCCAGAGTAGCTGGGATTACAGGTGTCCGCAATCACGCCCACCTAATTTTTGTATTTTTAGTAGAGACAGGCTTTCACCATGTTGACTAGGCTGGTCTCAAACTCCTGACCTTGTGATCCACCTGCCTCGGCCTCCCAAAGTGCTGGGATTACAGGTGTGAGCCACCACACCCGGTCGGGCATTTTTATAATTTAAGATAATTGCTTCAATTTGGATTTATGTCATCGTAATTGAGGGCTTAGGGTCCTAAACTCAAGAAAGAGCTCTCTGCTTGGTCAGGAGCAGCTGATGGGTGAAGAGTGCTTTATGATGGGTAAAATGGCCAAATTCTAGAGTAGCTTTGCTATTAACTAATTGTGTGACCTTTGTAAAACTGCCTAACCAATCTGGTCCAGTCTTCTTGTGTCAAAAAAAAGAAAAAAAAACATTTATTTCATTCTCTGAAATAAATAATTGATAAGTATAAAAAGGGTAAAAAGGCTTTGGCTATTACCAGTTCAATGACAATGAGGTGATTAAAGAAAGTCTCCAAAATTCTACTAAAATCTTCTTCAAATCGAAGCCTTCCTTATTCTTGTGGAAATCCTGCATCAATGCAGTAGGTGTGACAGTGGCAGGCAAAATAACAGCACTGCAAATATGTCCATGTGCCAATGCACAAAACCCCAAACCTGTGAGTATGCTACCTCACTCAGCAAAAGGGCTTTGCAGATGTGATTCATTTAAGGATCTTGGGATGGAGAGATAATCCTGGATTCTCCATGTGAGCCCAATACAATCACAAAGGTCCTTCTAAGAGGGAGACAAGAGTGTCAGATTCAGAGAAAAACATGTGATGAGGAAGCAGAGGTCGGTGCAAAGTGGCCAAGAGTCTAAGAATACAAGTGTCCTCTAGAAACCGGAAGAGGCAAGAAACAGCCTCTCCCCTAGAGCGTCCAAAAGAAATGCAATCCTGCCAACAGCTTGACTGTAGCCTCCTGGGACCCTTTTGGAATTACAAGACAATAACTTTGTTGTGTTTTAAGCCAAAATTTGTATTTCCTATTGATGCTATGACAAAATGGTGGTCTCCAAAGATGTCCATGTCCCAACTCTTCCTACCTGTCAATATGTTTCCCTTATAGCAAAAAGGACTTTTCAGATGTGGTGAATTTAAAGCTTTAGAGATGGGAGGTTTTCCTGGGTTATCTGGGTGGGACAAATGTCATCACGAGGCCACGTAGAAGAGGAAAATGGGAGTGTCAGAATCAGAGCAGGAAATCTGATGGCGGAAGTGGAAGCAAGAGTGACGCAGGACCATGAACCAAGGAATCTGGCCCCTCCAGAGGCTGGGAGAGGCAAGGACACAGATTGTCCCCTAGAGAAGCCAGAAGAGAGGCCATCCTGCCCACAGCTGCATTTCAGACACACAAGACCCATTCCAGACTTCTGGTCTCCAGTGATGTGAGAGAATAAATTTGTGTTGAAAAGTCACTAACTATGTAGTAATTTGTTAAGCAGCAACAGGAAGCTCATACAAGTCTAATGACCAGCAGTTATTGTGCCAAAGAGCAGCCCCATGCATATTTTGAAATCATTTTCACAAAGGTGACAAATAAATTTAGTAATATTAGCCAATTTGTAAGTAGCTCACATCATGTTCACTGCAGTGAAAATTCAGACTTTGATAATGAAATAGACATCTCATGTGAGGCATCCTAGCTGGGTCAGTTATTGAACAGCATGCTGTGCCTCAGCTGGAATTATTGGAAACATGACCTCCCTGTGAAGATGCTACCCGTGACTCTCAGGCAATACAGGAATTTATTTAGGGACCCTTGAAATTCAGTATCAACACAGTATCTAAAGATTGATGCTACAGAAAAGAAACAAGGCTTAATTTCATCATGATCTTTGTCTAGTCCTGAGAGGCCTTGTAAAAAACACACCAATGCTTAACTTAGAAAACTTTCTATGCACCAGAGTTGTGCCCCATCGGAAAGCCTGCAGGGTTTGGAGACACAGCGTTTGGCATTCTGCAGCTGGCATGACGGCAGGCAATATTCTTCTATTGGGCTGCAGCCTGACTCTGGTGCCTCTGGTGTACTCATAGCTGCAAGTCTGTGCAGGGCTTATTCAGCACACCAGTAGGGATGCTGCTGGTGAATTTTCACTCTACACCTGAGTCACATCCTTAGCAAGGATGGAAGAGGAGATTCACATCATGCACACGGAGCATAGTTTGTGCTATGAGTGGGGCGTCTTGGAAAGGAAACCCAGCTGTAAGGATTACAGGCCTGTTTCCCTAGAACTGACTCAAATCAAGATTAGCAAATGAAGATATACTGATCCAAATATTCAATTAAAAAGAACTGAAATACATATGCATGCATACAAGTGTATAAATACATACATACATATATATTTAATAAGTTACTGATGCTAGCAATACAGGTAGCCTGTTTCTCCTTCAGAAACTTTCCCATGAGCCCTGCCTGATGCCCAAATCCTGCCTGGCTAGACTTTTCTCCCCTGTACTACTGTGCTCATAAAAATAACTCCAAATTTGTTTACTAAAGAAAAGAATGCACGGATGTATTTGTTTTATTATATGCAGTCAGTATCACGATGTACCATGTGTGTTATTTGTATACCTGTAGTTAGGCACTGCTTGATTTTCTAGGAACCTAACTTCAGCTTACAATAATATTTCAAGGAAAAATGTATTCTGAAGCTCAGTCAACTATATGAAAACTGAACTTTTGGAACAGAAACGTTGGTAAGTCAGGATCAGAGTTTGTCGGAACCCAAAGGCCACTGCCAGGTTCAGCAATTCCCTCGCCTTTTTTTCTGACTGTGACGTGTGTACTGGTCCCATTCTGTGATGGTTGTAGATCCACTGCAGTTGTGTTTGATCCAGACAAGAACTGCAGACCTAGTTTCTTTCAGTGCCTGGCCATTGTGATTGTCCTGGTTTGCCAACCTCCTAAGGATCTTTACCTTAGCACTAAGTCTGACCCCGTCAAATCCAAAGCAAGATTTTGCCTGTCATAAGAAATAGATGAGACATCAAGTCCTGCTGCGGGGCAGGAATGGGGAGTAGGCAGCAGAAAGCTAGAAGAATAAAGTGTACATTGACCTATTTTATACATAATAGAATTTAAACTCAGTGAAGAGCAAGCTTGTAAAAGTCAACTTAGGGTATTACTGAAATTTTAAAGTCTTTCAAATAAGAATACACTAAAATGATCCACGCTTTGGTTTATATTACTGTAGAGTTCCTTGCTTTAAAATATCTGCTATTGAGATAACAAAGTGTCTCCTTTTTAAAAATAGATCCAAATTATACGGCTTACTTTGAGTTTGAATTACAGATTTCATGAATTATTTTAAGGCTAATGGATTTCTTTTGTATCCCTGAATGTAGTAAGGAGGTACATGAGACCAACCATCAGAATTATACTGGGCTAAAACTTCTCACTGTGCTTTGCACTATTAGGATCCTCATTCCTCTTTGGCCACTGAAAAGAAGATGTCAGCAATTCCTATTTATGTTGGGAAAACCATCGTAAGTTTGATAATTTTGAGATGTTAGTATATTTCTTATCCAAAAGAGATATAAAGTATATTGATCTATTTTGATTAACATAGCTGTTGCTTTTTTCTAATGCTCATGTTTCTCAGGAGGACATTGTAATAATTGACGTGAAATGGAATTATTTTTGTTTAATTTGTTATGTGCGTCTACACACTCCATAATAAATCTTTTTAACAGATCAAATGTAGGAAAATACACATAAGCCTGAATGATTTTTTTAAAATACTACAAAAGAGAAACAGCACAAATCCACAAAAAAGGTTCTTTCTCACAATAAAATTCAAAGTTTAACGTTAAGAAATTAAAGCATTTATTTCATCATAAAGCTAGGAAAGAAGAGGCTGAGGAAAGGTATACATAATGAACAAGGGCTGTAAAGCTCCCACTTATACCAGGAAATCTAAGAGGTCACGTGCATGCCCAGGGCTGGACACATACTAAAAAAATACCTAAAAAGACCCAAAGTTTTCATGTCTGGCTGACCTTCAAACTCCACACAAGAAGAAAGCAAAGTTATAGCAATGTTGTAAACTATCTGGCTAGGCACTGAAAGAGTGTTTTAACATGCACACAGACCCTATCTGCAAAGACTGAGAGAGGCTTTTATTGTTTTGGTTTTTAAATTTTGGTTTCAGGCATTAAAAATATCTCTGTCAAATCATTAGTTGACCAATGAACTAAGGAAAGAGTGGCCCTGTAGAACAAACAATACAGATTTCACAATATTAGCTCAAAAACTCACCAAACAAGCAAACAACAATAATCACAACAGGCATAAACAAACAAACAAAAACCACTATGGACATGGGAGAATATAACATCCAGGGTCACCACATTATAATAATCAAAATATCCTATTTTCAAGAAAAAAATAAAATACATCAAAGAAACAATGGCCTGTTCAAAGGGAAAAATAAATGAATGAAAACTGTCTCTGAGGACACACAGACATTAGACTTACTAGAAAACATGTTAAATCAACTGTCTTAAATATCAAAGATCTAAAAGAAATAAGAAAATAAAGGAAACCTGGAGAACAATGTCTCAACAAATAGAGAATATAAATAAAAAGAAGTTATAAAAAGAACCAAAAAAATTCTGGAGGTGAAAAAAAACAACAACTGAAGTAAAGAATTCACTAGAGGGTTTCAACAGCAGATTGTTCAGGTAGAAGAAAGATTAAGATTCAGCAAATTTGAAGATAAGTCAAATGAAATCATCCATTCTGAGGAGCAGAAAGAAAAAAAATGAAGAAAAATGAACAGAGTCTAACAGACTAACAAGACACCATCAACAGTATCAAATGATACATAATGGGAATCCCAGAACAAGAGAAAAAGAAGAAAGGGACAGAAAGAATATTTGAAAAAAATTATGGCTGAAAATGTCCCAAATTTTATGAAGGAAAAGAAACTCAATAAACTTCCAGTAGTATAAATTTAAGAGATCCAGACTGAGCTGCATTATAATCAGACTTTCAAAAGTCAAAGATGAAGAGAGAATCTTTAGAGAAGCAAGAGAGAAGAAACTTATGCACAAGGGATCCTAAGTAACATAAACAGGTGATTTCTATCAGAAACCATGGAAGCCCAGAGGTGGTGGGAGGAAATACTAAATGTGCTGAAAGAAAAAAAAAACTTGTCAACCAAGAATTCTATTTCCAACAAAATGATCCTTCAAAATGAAGAAGAAATTATGATATTCCAGATAAACAGCCACTGAGGGAGCATTCCAAAATCAATTAATGTACCCTTCATGTTAAAACTCTCAACAAACTATGTACTGAAGGAACATACCTTAAAATAATAAGAGCCATCTATGACAAATCCACAGTCAACATCATTCTGAATGGGCAAAAGCTCGAAGAATTCTCCTTGAAAACTGGCACAAGACAAAAATGCCCTCTCTCACCACTCCTATTCGATATAGTACTGGAAGTCCTGGCTAGAGCAATCAGGCAAGATAAAGAAATAAAGGACATCCTAATAGGAAGCAAGGAAGTCAAACTATCCCTGTTTGCAGATGACATGATCCTACATCTAGAAAACCCCATAGTCTCAGCCCAAAAGCACCTTCAGCTGATAAATAACAAAGTTTCAGGATACAAAATCAATATAAAAAATCAGTAGCATTCCTATACATCAGGAACAGCCAAGCCAAGAGCCAAATCAGGAATGTAATCCCATTCATGATTACCACAAAAAGAATGAAATACCTAGGAATACAGCTCACCCAGGAGGTGAAAGAGCTCTACAATGAGAACTATACAACACTGCTGAAAGAAATCAGAGACAATACAAACAAATGGAAAAACATTCCATGCTCATGGATAGGAAGAATTGATATCACTAAAATGGCCATACTGCTGAAAGCAATTTACAGATTCAATGCTGTATCCTATCAACCTACCAATGACATTCTTCACAACAGTAGAAAAACTATTTTTAAAATTCATATGGAATCAAAAAAGAGCCTGAATAGCCAAGGCGACCCTAAGCAAAAAGAACAAAGCAGGAGACATCATTCTACCCAACTTCAAACTATACTACAGATGTACAGTAACCAAAACAGCATGGTACTGGTACAAAAATAGCTGCATAGATCAGTGGAACAGTACAGAGACCCCAGAAATAAGGCCACACACCTACAACCATCTGATTTTCAATACAACTGACAAAAATAAGCAATGGGAAAAGGACTCCCTATAAATGGTGCTGGGATAACTGATTAGCTATATGCAGAAGATTGAAACTGTACCCCTTTTTTACACCATATACTTAAAAGTATATTAAAGATGGATTAAATACTTAAAAGTAAAACCCAAAACTATAAAAACCCTACAAGACAACCTAGGCAATACCATTCTAGTCATAGGAATGGGCAATGATTTCATGATGAAGATAGCAAAAGCAACTGCAACAAAAAGCAAAAATGAACAAATGGGATCTAATTAAACTAAAGAGCTTCTGCACAGCAAAGGGAACTATCAACAGAGTAGGCAGACAACCTATAGAATGAGAGAAAATATCTGCAAAAGTCTAATATGCATCTGACAAAAGTCTAATATCCAGAATCTATAAGGAACTTAAACAAACTTACAAGAAAAAAAAACAAAACATCCTGTTAAAAAGCGAGCAAAGCATGTGAACAGACACTTTTCAAAAGAAGACATACATGCAGCCAATGAGTATATGAAAAAAAAGCTAAATATCACTGATCATTAGAGAAATGCAAATCAAAACCACAATGAGACATCATCTCACACCAGTCAAATGGCTATTACTAAAAGGTCAAAAAATAACAGATGCTGGTGAGGTTGTGGAGAAAGGGGAATGCTTATACACTGTTGGCTGGAGTGTAAATTAGTTCAACCATTGTGGAAAGCAGTGGGGCAACTCCTCAAAGACCTAGAGGCAGAAATATCATTGACCCAGCAATTCTGTTACTGAGTATATACTCAGAGGAATGTAAACCAGTCTATGATAAAGAGACATGCACACTTACATTCATTATAGCACAATTCACAATACAAAGACAAAGAACCAACCTAAATGCCCATCAAAGTTAGAATCAATGAAGAAAATGTGGTACATATACACCATGGAATACTATGCAGCCATAAAAAAGAAGATCATGTCCTTTGTGGGGACATGGATGGAGCTGGAGGTCATTATCCTTAGCAAACTGACACAGCAACAGAAAGCCAAATACCACATGTTCTCACTTATAAGTGGGAGCTAAATGATGAGAACACATGGATGCAATGAGGGGAACAGCAAACACTGGAGCCTTCTTGAGGGTGGAGGGTGGGATGAGGGAGAGGATCAGGAAAAATAACTATTGGCTACTAGGCTTAATACCAGGGTGACAAAATAATCTATAAACAAACCACTGTGACACAGTTTATCTATATAACAAATCTGCACATGTACCCCTGAACCTAATATGAAAGTTTTTAAAAAACAAAAATCAATTAATGTAATCCATTACATCAACAGGCTAAACAAGAAAAATCACATGTTCATATTAATAGATGCAGAAAAAGCATTTAACAAAATCTAATACCTGTTTATGATAAAAACTTTCAGTAAATTGGGAATATGGGGGAACTTCCTCAACTTGATTTTTTAAAAATCTACCATAAACCTACAGCTAACATCATACTTAATAGTGAGAAATTAAAAGCTTTGTCACTAAGATCAGGAACAAGGCAAGGATGTCTACTCTCACTACCCTTTCCACATTATACTGAAAGTTCTAGCTAATGTAATAAGACAAGTAAAGGAAGTAAAATTTATATAGATTAAAGAAAAAAAGAAACAAAATTGCGCTTGAGCACAATTGAGCTTGAGCATGCTCGTCTATGTATAAAATCTGAAAGAATCAACAACAGAAAAGTCCTGGAACTAATACATGAATAGAGTAAGCTTGCTGATACAAGGTCAATGTATGTAAGTCAATTATTTTATTATATATCAGCAATGAACAAATGAAATTTTAAAGACACAATACAAGTTACATTAGCACCCCAAAGTGAAATCTTTAGGTATAAATCTAACAAAATTAGTATATAATATTTAGGGGAAAAACAAGAAAACTCTAATAAAATAAATTAAAGAACAAAATGGAGATAAATTCCATGTTCATTCATAGGAATACTCAATATTGTCAAGATTTCAGTTCCTCTCAACTCAATCTACAGATGCTATGCAATGCCAATCAAAATTCAAGCACGTTGTTTTGTGGATATTAACAAACTGATTCTAATATTGATATGAAGAGGCAAAAGACCCAGAGTAGCCATAATGATATCGAGGGAAAAGAACAAAGTCAGAGGACATACACCACCCAATTCAAGACTTATAAAGCTATAGTAATCAAGACAGTGTAGAATTGGTGAAAGAATAGACAACTAGATAAATAGAAGAGAACACAGTCCAGAAATAGCCACCCAAAAATACAGCCAACTGATATTTGACAAAGGAGCAAAAGACCACAGACTGAAGACGAGACAGTCTTTTCAACAAGTGCTGGACCAAATGGGCATGCACATGTATAAAGATGAATCTAGACACTAACCTTATACCCTTCACAAGAATTAACTCAAAATGGATCACAGATCTAAATGGTAAATGCAAAACTATAAAACTCCTATAACATAAGAGAAAATCTAAATGACTTTGGGTTTGGTGATGACTTTTTAGATGAGATACCAAAAGCACAGTCTGTGAAAGTAAGAATTCATAAGCCAAATTTCATTAAAATTAAACATTTCTGTTCTGTGAAAGACACTGTGAAAAGAATGAAAAGACAAGTCACACAGTAGGAGAAAATATTTGCAGAAGGCATATATGACAAAGGGCTGTTATCCAAAATATTCAAAGAACTCATAAAACTCAGTCATAAGAAAACAACCCAATTAAAAAATGATAAAAGACCTTAACAAACATCTTACTAAAAAAGACATACAGATGATAAATAAGCATATGAAAAGATGCTCCACGACATATGTCATCAGAAAAACACAAATTAAAGCAACATTGAGATATCACTACACATCTCCTAAAATGGCCGAAATCCAGAACACTGCCAACAGTAAACACTGGAGAGGATGTGGAGCAAGAGAAACTTGCTCATTAACTGCTGACGTGAATGCAAATTGGTTCAGCTACTTTGGAAGGCAGCTTGGCAACTTCTTAGAAAACTAAACAAACCCTTACTGTATCAGCAATTGTGCTCTTTGTATTTACCCAAAGAAATGGAAAACTTATGCCTACACAAAAGCCTTCACAAGAATGTTTATACCAGCCTTATTCATAACTACCAAAACTCGGAAGCAATCAAGATGTCCTTCCATAGATGAATGGATAAACTATAGTGTATGCAGATAATGCAGTGTTGTGCCAAGGAAACTCAAATGCATTTTACTAAGTGAAGTGAGCCAGTTTGAAAATATGACACACGGTATGATTCTAACTATTTGACATTCTGGGAAAAGGCAAAACTATAAAAGAAGTAAAAAGGTCAGTAGTTGTCAGGGGTTCAGGGGAGAGAGGGATAAAATTAAGCAGAGCACAGAGGATTTTTAGAGCAACAAAAATACTCCTGTGATATCGTAATGGTGAGTACATGTCATTATAATTTTGTCTGAACACACAGAATGTACGCCACCAAGAGTGAACCCTAATGTAAAGTATGGACTTTGGGTAATAATGATGTGTCAATTTAGGTTCATCAGTTGTAACATATGTGCCACTCTGGTTGGGGATGTGTAAGGAGGGAAGCTATGCATGTATAGGGACAGGGGTTTATGGAAAATTTCTGTACCATACTCTTAATTTGTCTGTAAACCTAAAACTGCTCCAAAAATGAAATTCTTTTAAAAAATACATTCTTTAAAAACTGAGGGAGTTCGTTGCTATAAGACTTGCCATATAATAAATGCCAAAGGAATCCTTTAGGCAGAGATAAAAGGACACAAGAGGATAACTCAAAACCATATCAAGAACAGCAGTAACAGTAATGATGTAGGTAAATATAAAATCAGTATGATGATATTTTTGATTTGTAACCCATTTTTTATCCCATATGACTTTAAATACAAAAAAATTGTATAATTATTTAATAATGCATAAAATAATGCATAAAATAATAATTGTAAATCTATGTTAATAAATATTTACAAATCTATGTTACACAAACTATGTGTAAAGATACAATTTATGACAATAACAATGGGAGGACAGAGCTACTGGAGCAAAGTTTTTTATATATGACTGAAACTAAGTTGGTTTTAACCCAAACCAGATTGTTATAAATTTAGATGTTAATTTTATTCCGCAGGGTAACCACTAATAGAATAATTTAAAAATATACAGTAAAAGAAATTACATGAAAATTAAAGTGGTACGCTAAAAAACATCAATTAAACACAAAAGAAGAAATGAAAGAACTGTAGAACAAGAAATGAATAAGCAATATAGAAAGCAAATAGAAAAAAGGTAGAAAGTCCTTCCTTTCAGCAATTATATTAAATGTAAATGGACTAAATACTTCAATTAAAAGGCAGGTATTGGCAGAATCGATATAGATATATAAAATAATTCTTTATCATGTACGAGGACTCATTTTAGTTCCAAAACCATAAAAAAGTCAAAAGTGAAAGGATGAAAAAGGCATTCCATTGACATCAAAACCAAAGAGAACTTTAAGACAAAATTTGTTGCAAGAGACAAAGATATTACATGATAATAAGTGGCTCTGTTCATCAAAATGTATAGAAATTATAAACCTATATGAAACTCAAAATGGAAACTCAAAAATATATCAGACCAAACTAACAAACCTCAGAGAAAAATACACTATTCTGCAATATCAGTTGGAAACCTGAATATCCCATTTTCAATAATGAGTAGAGTATCTAGAGAGAACATTGACAAGACTTTGACTATACTATAAAGCAAATGGACTTAACAGGCATATATAGAACACTCTATCCAACAAAAGCAGAATACACATTCTTCTCAAGCGCACAGGGAGCATGCCCAGGATAGACAATCTGTTCAACTACAAAACAAATCTCATACTTTAAAAATGTAAAATCATACAAAGTATCTCTTCTGACCAAATGTAATGAAACTAGAAATCAGTAACAGAAGGAAAATTGAAACTTTCACAAATATGTGGAAATTAAACACATTTCTAAATAACAAATGGGTCAAAGAGTACATCATAAGAGAAATTTTAAAAATTTTGAGGCCAGGAATGGTGGCTCACACCTGTAATCCCAGCACTTTAAGAAGCCAAGGCAGGAGAATTGCTTGAAACCAGCAGTTCCTAACCTGCCTGGGCAATATAGCAAGACCCTGTCTCTATAAAAATAAAAGAAATTAGCTGGGCATGGTGTCATGTGCCTAACTACTTGGAAGGCTGAGGTGGGAGGATCACTTGAGCCCAGGAGTTCAGGCTACACTGAGCTATGATGGCACCCTGTCCCTAAAAAAAGAAAAAAATATTGAGATAAATGACAACAAAAACCCAAGTTATCAATACTTATGGGACTAGCAAAAGCAGTGCCTGGAGTCAAATTTATAGCTCTGAATGCCCACATTAAAAACGAAAAACGATTTCAACTGATAACTGAACTTTACACATTAAGGAACTTTACACATTAGAAAAAAAAAAAAAAGAGCACGCTAAGCCCAAAGATAACTGAAAAAAGGAAATAAAGATTGGGTAAATGAAATGGAGATAAGAAAGCCCATAGCTTGTTGGGCTTACAGGCAGGTCAGAGGGAATGCTGACTGGGGATGTGAAGGCCCACAGGGTCCCTGCCTACAGGTGCCAGTCTTCCATCCTACAGATGTTGCTGCTTTCAATCGCTGGATCTCCTCTTCCACAATTCTGAATGCCTCTGATAACCAATGAATACTTTGAGCTAATATTTATAATGCCATTTAAGCACTTTGTTTTAACAACGCAGACTCTTTCAAATGATGGCACCACATCCCCTCTCTGGGGAGTGGAGAGAAAGGGTGCTTGTTGAAGCGTGTGGGTGAGTGGATAGAAATTTGATGTATAAAGTGACACTCAGAAGCCCACCTGAGGTAGCCTCACCAGCACAGCTGTACAGCATCCTCCACTATGCAAATATTTGGTTTACGTTTCCCATGGGCCTTGACTCACTGAACAGAGGATTTGTTTTTCCATACTTGGAAACTTGACAGCAATTTTCCACCTATCTGCCAATCAGTAGCATTCTTCTCAATTTCTAAGAAAGTGATCCAACCCTAAATCTCTTCTTTCCAGTGCACGTTTCAAAATGCTCTATTTTCTACCACGGCAACTCATTTTATGTCAGTCTATCATTACCCCTAAGTGGCCAGGCAAATATTCTGGGAATATCTGGAGTTTCTGTGAATGAGGAAATGTTGCAGGTTGTTCTTGCTGTCGTTTAAATTATTGAGCTCTGAGTTACCAGTCCCCAAGTGTCATGAACTTGGAAGAGGTGCATTATTTTTTAGAAAACAATGTGATAAAATGGGCACTAAAAAGCCCCTCCGTGGGTCAGTTGCATCCCCGAGACACAGGGGATGTTCGACATGTGATGTTGACTGGTCTACTTCTTTTAAGTTAGTGCAGCAAAGAATCAGAGACTTGTGATGGAGGAATTGACATGTAACAGGGAAAGTAACGAGAGGCATCTTGTTCCACCCTCTCTATGATTAAAAGACATTTGAATCCTGAAACTTTAAGTGTTATCAAGGGGCAACTTGTACTCCTGTTGAGTTTGTAAAGAAATGGATTGACACCTTGAGTGTGAAGTTGATGCAGCGTATCTGCCGAGTCAGGGCTCTTCATTTGCACAGCACTGGAGCTTCTGTAGTAGTCTGCTGGGGCTGCCATTACAAAGTACCACGGGCTGGGTGGCTTAAACTACAGACATGTATTTTCCCACAGTTCTGGAGGTAGAAGTCTGAGATCAAGGTGTTGGCAGGGATGGTTCTTTCTGAGGCCTCTGTGCTTGGCTTGCAGATGGCTGTCCTCTCCCTGTGTCCTCGCATGGTCTTCCTTCTGTGGGTGCCCGTGTTCTAATCTTCTCCTCATTGTATAAGGATCCAGTTATATTGGATGAGGGCCCTTCCTAATGACCTCAAATTCATTTAATTACTTCTTTAGAACCCCTTCGCCAAATGCAGTCGCATTCTGACAACTGAGAGGTTAGGACTTAAGAATTTGGAAGCAACATAGGCATGTCACATAGCTGCTTTGGCTGGTTAAAATTCACGCTCATGTATTCTCTATAATGGCAGTGAAGGGACCTCTCTTTCCATAGGTGCTGTCATAAATGTGTTGTAAATGTGTTTACATCTAGAGATGTAAAAATCTACATCTCTACATCTCTAAGATGTAGAGATTTTTTTCTCTACATCTCTAAGATGTAGAGATTTTTTTCTCTACATCTGTAAGATGTAGAGATTTTTTTCTCTACATATTAATTTACACTGCTTAAATTCACATAATAAAACTTTTTGAAAAGATATAGAAAAATAAATCACCCGAGGAAATGGAGCAGTGATATAGATACTTGCTCAATCACCTTGGGCCAACTTGGTGATGACTGGGTTAACCAGGTGGTAAATTAGCGTCCTTCTGATGTTTAATTCACACTCATCACTACGCAATTTCTTTTTTCCTTCATATACTCCCTCAACATCTTTAGGCCAGTGTGTATAATCACACTAGCACTTCTCATTGTAAAAATAAACCTACCAACTCCTATTTTGGGGTACTATAAATTGAAATAATAAATTATTACAAAGTAGTAATTGCTTAACACATGGACCTGGTTAAATTAAAAGATGGAGAAAGTCTTGTGACTGTTTATTTCTAGTAAACATTATTTGTTCTTCCCCTAGAAAAATAAAAACAAATTTGGAAGCAACAGAATTCAGCCCATAGTAATATCCAATTAATTTTCCTTTAATTAATTGAAACCCACTGGGTTTCTGGCCTGACAAATGATGGGAGAGAGACTGACACAGACCATGAGGAAATCTACTCAAATTAGTTGAATCATGATTGTTGGTCAGGGAGATTTTAAAGCAGGGTTAAAACATTTGAATTTCTGAGAGAAATTATGTGCTATTTCATACACCTCTTTTGTAAAGCTTTTTTTGGCTACTTTGCAGAGACACCGATAAATGTTTGTTTCTTTGGAGACAACAGGAACACACTTACACAAAGACACTTCAGAGCCCTTAAAAAGGAAGAAAATACATTCCAAATCATCGAAGACTCTGTATGATGTCGGGCAAAGGAGCGGTCAGCGGTTGCCCAGCAAGGGAATGACTGAAGGGTGGGAGCAATGGGCACTGATAACCCGGAGGAAGAATGTGCGACCACAGGGTGCAGGGAAGGGTGGAAGGGGATCCGGACCACTGTGCATGGAGGCAGGGGGAGGCTGGTCCAGCTCTCGGGGAGACTCTGTACCCAGCATGGCCAACAGGAGCTAAATGAGTATCTCTGGGCTGGGTGCTGTGAAAAAAACTCTTTTCACTTATATTTTCTTTTTCTTCTTCTTCTTCTTCTTTTTTTTTTTTTTTTGACGGAGTCTTGCTCTGTCGCCCAGGCTGGAGTGTGCGGTGGCGCCATCTTGGCTCTCTGCAACCTCCGCCTCCCGGGTTCAAGCGATTCTCCTGCCTCCGCCTCCCGAGTAGCTGGGATTACAGGCGAGTGCCACCATGCCCGGCTACTTTTTTTGTATTTTTAGTAGAGACGGGGTTTCACCCTGTTAGCCAGGATGGTGTCGATCTCCTGACCTCGTGATCCGCCAGCTTCGGCCACCCAAAGTGCTGGGATTACAGGCGTGAACCACCGCGCCCAGCCTCATTTATATTTTCAACAAGACTAGAAGACAGGTACTATTTCTATTCCATAAGGCATGAAGCAGTTGGATAACTTCTCCCAAGTCACACTGTTAGTGACGGAGTTCGGATTGCACCCCAAGCAGAATAGTGGCAGAGCCTGCACAGGCACAGAAGTGGAATTACGAATGCGCAAGTTAGTCCACAAGCTACAAATCCTTAACATGGTAAGTCCGGGTGGTCTTTTACCTTGGTCCTGGCATCCATATTCAGAAGGAATAATATTAATAGGAGAGAGAATCTGGTAACAAGGAACCAGCTGTGGCAGTGGCAGCCATCTATGAGGTGGGGGGACTGAAGGGTGAAGGGGGCGGCAGGTGGGGTCAGGACGTGGTGGGCGACCTGCAGCAGTAGCCAGGGGCTAAAAACGAAGGGCTTGTGCCCCCGGGTAGAGAAAGAACGAAAAGGAGCCATCCATACATAAAACCAGCTGGTTAGCAGAGAACCAGGCAGCAGCTCCTGTTTGAGAAGAGCTCTGGGCTCAGTTTCAGACCCCAGCAGGATGCCTAAGAGGGGGCGCCCAAGGAGCCACCGAGAATGAAATCAGGGCTTGGGTGTGTTTTAAACCATGTCAGAAAATAAAATAGACAGAAGTCGGACCCACGGAAACAAATGAATTTACAGAAAAGATACTCAAGACGGAGACTGGAAGACAAAAACATTGGAGGAACCAGATATTCTGCGGCCGGACTGTGCCTATGGATCCGCGGGACTTCAGAAAGGTCCCAGAACTGAGTTCCATCACCTGCAAAATAGGGACACCTCCTCCGGTGAGCGCACAGCACACCGCCAGGCGCTACATATAACATCATTCCTAGAGCCAGGACCAGAGAGTACAGGAAATCAAAGGTTCATGCAGCCAAGAATGACGAAGGCCAAGGAATTCCGATGAAGGAAACTGAGGGGAAACTGGATTTGACCAGGAGAAGAGGCTTGACATCATGGGACCAGCTCTTACAAGCAGGTGACAAAGAACAGCCATCTGACGCCACGGAAATCGCAAATTGTGTGGAAGAGGCGCAGGCAAGAGCCCGGGGGGAAGGAGGGGCCCGGGATCGTTCCGGGAGCGCTGCCCGCACCATCTCACCCGGGGACCCACTGGCTGCCCGCGAGGCCGGCAGTGAGAACAGACGCTGGGTGCAGGCGCGGCCTGTGAAGGGGTGGCCCCTGGACGCACACCGGCCTCTCTGGAGTCGAGGTTTGCGTTGCTAGCCTGGCCTGAAGAAGGAAAAGCATCCCGAGAGAAGTGTAGTGGATTCGCGGGAATACGCATCCCTCCCAGAAGGCTTCCGTTTCCACCTTTGTCCAAGTGAGGGCTGGGCTGCTCGCAGAGTCCGGGCCCAGGTCCGGCGCCGTCTGGGCAGGGCTTCTGCCCGGGCCGCTGCGCTCCAGCCTCCGGCCCTTGGCTTTCAGTGCAAAGGGCGTCTGGGGAGCACAGGGGGCGCGCGGAGAGAACTGCCTCCCCTCTCCAGTCCTCGACCTAACACTCCTGGAGGCCCAAAGGAAACAGTGACCAGCCTTCAAGCAAGGGTCCTTGGAATCTGTCCCCGGCCACCTTTGAGGTCTGATTTCCTGCTGCCCCTTGACCGGCTGCCGCCGCCCCGCGCGCACATAGGTCTCACATCTTGCACTCTGACGCCCCGGTCCATGCTGCTGCCCACGCGGGTCCCCTGGCCCAGCCTCTCCACCTTCGCAGCTCGAGCTCACCCCAGACTCCGTGCCCACCGCCTGGTCGCCGGGCCCTGCTCCCCTCACCCCCAGACTCAGCCCCTCGCCCACTCCTGTGCCCCCAGATCCTCCTGTTTCCCCTGCGCCACTCCAGGGTGAGCAGGCCCTGGGCTCCGCAGACAGGGCTTAGTGAAACTGTGAGTGGTCGAAGGGATGGGCGAGCGGGAAGGACACGAGGCAGAGGAAGGGGAGCCCTAGGCAGCCCGACCAGCTGCAGTCCTCCCCACCGCTGCTCCCATCAGATCCACACGCAGGAGGGAGGTCCAGGCCCAGGCCGTGCCCTGCTCATAACTTCACATAGGGACCTGAGTAGGGGCAGTCACACACACGCCACACACCATACACACACAACACACACAACACACCATACACATACTCCATATAGTCCCGCCACACGCTACACACCATACACACACACGACACTCCATAGACACACAACACGCCATATACACACAACACACCATATACACACACGCCATATGCCATACACACACACCATACACACACAACACACCATATACACTCACGCCACACACCATACGCTCACACCATACACACCCAACACACTATACACACACACACCACACACCACATACACACCCCACACACGCCACACACCATACACTTAGAAACACGCCATACACACGCACTAGACACACACATGCCACACACCATACACCCCCAAACACGCCACACAGCGTACACACACAACAGACACACCACACTCCATACATACAAACGCACCATAAACACAACACACTACACACACACGCCACACTCTATACACCCCCCACGCGCACCACACACCATACACACACTACACACACGCATCCATACACACATCACGCACACACAACCTCATACACACACACACCACACATACCCATACACACCCACACACTGCTCCATCCTCCCCGCACAACTTGCTCAGAGAAGCCTCCGGAAGCCGCCCAGACCTCTCCTGCCCCAAGGGGCCCTTCAGCTGATTCCATCCCACGATCCTCTTCTTCTCCATGTGAATGCTAACGGAAAGTAACAGCCCCTCTGCTCGGACCTTATTAATATTGCTTGAAGCAATGCAAAAAACTTGAGATCCTACTGAGAAGAAAGCTAATTTCAATAATAAAACTTTAGATTAGCAATGGGTATTAGTTTCCTGCTAGATGTCATAGTTTATTTGATCATTCAAACTTCTAAAATGCTCTAGAAAAATCGCCTCCGTTAAAAGATTGTAGCATAAATACTCTAACTTGCCTTGAAATATTTTAAAGCTTCCCTGTGTCCGCGGACTCGCAGGTCATGTGCGCGCGGCCGGGGAAGGCAGCCCCCCCACTGCTGGGCCCCCGGGGCGCGGGCTGGGTAGGGCCCGGAGAAGGGAGCCTGGGGCTGCCACGGGGCTGCATTTCCCCGGGGCTGGGTGACGCCGCCGTCCACACTGCCCGCCAGCGCGGAAGCCACCGTTCACAGCCGGCTACCCACTGCTGGGAATGTGGCTGGCACACGGGGGACCTGGATTATTAATGTTTTTCGACCTTAATTTTAAAGTGTGATAAATGTCTAGTCACCGTTTCAGACAGTGCAAATCATAGGAGTGAAGACCACAAAAACTCCGGATTCCGGGCCAACCGGGAAACACTTTGGGCACGGAGGCCTCTGCCAAGTCTTCCTTCTCCAGCAGCATGGGGCATACGCCTAACTATTCTCAGGGTAAACATGGAAATCCTAATCGCATCTGCCTCACTCCTGCCAGGCGGTGGCTGCTCCGAATTTTCCACCACCCGGTGCGCTTGGCCAACGTTTCTGGGGCATTTGCGCTCAAGGCCAGAGAGCGTGCAGGAGATGAGACCATCAGTTTCGGCCTGCTTAAGGGACCACCGTCCGAGCTGAAATGAGCAGAGCGGGTCACTTGGCTCACTTTTCCCCGCTGGCCGGGAGGGGAGGGATGCCTGCAGCAGCACTGTGGCCCTGACTCGGGACTCTGGTGTCCGGAAGCGCGGTGGTGGGTGCAGGCTGGCTGCGCACTAGGGAGGACCTGAGGCTGAGCGCAGCCTCCCTGGCTCTGAGCAACCTCAAGGCCGCGCAGACCTGCCAAGAGGCTCAGGAACACTCTGCAGACATGAAGCACTTTGTCTTCCCTAAACGTGCTTCGGTGAATCCGGGGCTTTAACCAAGCTCTAGAATGCCCTCCTGTCAGTCTTCCCCTCGATGCACGAGGCCACGGCGCCACCTCGTGGACATTATTTTCAGTCCCCATGGCTGAATAGCGCGCATAGCTAGCTTCCTGTTGCATGCTTGCTATATATTCTATCTATGCAAATAGGGAGAGGCCAGGAGGTTTGGCACTTGGACATTATCGATGGGCTAATTGCCATGTGATCATTTTTACCTGTTTCATTTATCACATCTGTTGTGAAGGACGATAAAGATACTACCAAATGTATGTTATGTAGTTTAAATGCGTTTATATTTCTGAAGCTCTGGTTTCTGTTTCACTAGGACGAGGATGTCTGCAGCCTTTGTGGGGTCAGGACCTAAGAAAGCAAACATGTGCTGGAGATGGTCCATTTGCAAAGGGTGATGTGGTCCTGTGTGAGATGTGTGCCCGAGAGTCCAAAGCATGGCCTGGCCAGACGGAACTGCCTGCAGTGGCTGCAGACTGATGGCCTTCTCAACAGGCCCAGAATATGTCTGGTCACGTTTTCAAACCAAATATGCAAGAAATGTGTGTTGAAATGTCCTTATTTGTATGCTGCAAGTACAATTTTAGCAAAACTAAATCTGACTCTTTATTAAATTGGCAGAAACCTAAGCACAGAACATGTCTGTGAACCAGACATTCTCTGGATCTCTTTCCAAGTCCCTCATACTAGGGTCTGGGTGGTGAGATGGCCTCATTTAGGAAAAGGAGATCTCATACATTCCATTATGGTTCATTCATTCACAAGCACACACATAAGTTCCTCCTGAGTGCCCAGTGCCGGGATGACAGGGAGTATATGGAATTACACAGGACACGTGTATCATGCATGTGTTATACATGATTGAGACATATATGTCCAAAAGACGCTCTGTGGGGAACACAGAACTTCAGCTGGGAAGTCAAAGGCAGTGGGGCCACAGCAGGCTGGTGCAAAGTCTCTGTCTTCAGTGACTGAGGACATGAAGGATGGTGTGGCTGCGTGCCTACAGGGAGATCGGCGGGACCAGACAGAGGAAAGGGCAGTGGTGTCCCAGGCAGGCTCCATGTCTCCAACCTTGGGAACAAGGCTCAATTCAAGTTAAATCAGGACAAGGGAGCTCTGTGAGGCACGTCCCAAAGCAAAAAAAAAAAAAAAAAATTGAAGTGACTACAAATCTTGAGATGAGTAACTGTTATGCATGGTTTTCAATGGACTGGCTAATTGGATCTCATGTAGCAAAATGGGCAGAAATTTCATGTTCATTTTTGTATATAAGGTGCCAGAGAGGAAGTAATAGGTGGTCTCTACTCTCACTGTTGATGGAAGTGAAACTGGTACTATTTTTCTAGAGAACAGTTTGAAAATCTGTATTAATATCAAAAATTTATGTTTTGTCCAATTCCTGGGATTTGTTCAAAGGATATACGTAGGTGCTTGGACCAGAATGTTATCACAGAGAAAAAAAATAGATGTATCGTGAATTTTTTTACAGAAATCATATAAACACAGGATAACCACATGATGGGATGTGCTATATCACAAAGTTTCAAAACAATGTTTAATGACATGGGAAATGTTTTCAATGCTGTATATTTTAAAATTGTAAAGCTATTCACAAAAGTTTTCAGTGAATGAGGCCACTCAAAAACTATAGGAGACTATGTGTGCATACACACAGACATACACATATGTATTCATGAATGTCTACACGCAGGGACACATAAACATGATACACACTAAAATATTAACATTGATTCTCTTTGGTCTTGGTGTTATCATAACCATATTCCGCACTTTGTAATTTTCTATGTTTTATAAATTTTTAAATCATATTTTGATTCTTGCCAATATAAAATGTGTTACCTTAAAAATTGCAAGTCAGCCAATACATCTGGTTTCATGAAAGAAGCTTTGAACTTGACACTTTGAACTTGACAATGTATAGCTATGCATGCTTGTACATATATACAAACACATCTCAGTGTCTAGTTCAAAACTTCCAGATATGTATGTATCCAAGTTACCTATTAATGCTATTTGATATTGACTACCAATCATGAAGCAAAAATGTGACAATGCTGCCCTCAAGTGGCCGTTTAAGGAATATGTGTATTTACTAGCCGTTTTCAAATAAGAACGAAACAGACTGCAGCTAGCTATACTGCATTAGAAAAGAGAAAAACCAAAACCAACCAACCAGAAAAAAAAAAAAGACAGTGGCTCTAGGAGATTAAAATATAATTTCCAAGGACTCATGACTACTAAATGACAGTCAGGACCTGAATTTAAGTCAGCCTAACTCCGAAGTCCACGATCTTTTCACTACATCGTATTTCCCCAATTCATGAATTAAGCAGGGGTTTCCACTCATGGGGAAAATCCAAATGGAGTGGAGTGTAAGCAATCATCAAAATATGTCTTCCTTAAAGTAAAAACAGCACAGAGGAATACATAGTGTGCAAAAGAGATGATGCAGAGCGGTATTCAGTGCACGACTGTCTAGTGGTATTTTACTTGGTGCAGCGTATCTACTACAATGTAAAAATGTCAACATTCTACAATGTTTGCCCAGATCTTTCTATTAAACAGGCACGGGCAAGTGACCTTGGGTGGAGCAGCGGCCGGGTTCTCTGAGCCAGGCAGAACCACGTGGTGCAGGCAGAGCCAGCCTTCTAGGGACTCCCTCCTTGCCTGTTGCAGTCACACAAGAGCCTACCGGGGGGACTTGCTCTCCTGCCAGGGGCCCAAAGACCAGGGGGACATTCCCTAAGGTGACCCTCACTGTGTGTTCTCACATAAGTTGGCACTTTTAGAAGGTGTGGGAAGATGGCAGATGAAAGGGAGCCATTGCCTCCCAATTCACTTGGTTATTATCTCTATATGCTCTTTATAACTTACGTAATGGTGTATGTATGTCAGATCTGGTGGGGTCTCTGAAACAGGTGGCCACCCTGTACTTCAGGCACTTATCTGGAGGGGACTATGGACCTGCTGCTATGTAATGACAACCAAAGGCTCTATCTCCCCTCACCCGAGAAAACAATTAAGGGACGGTCATCCATCTGGACCCTAGATGACCTCGGGCCAGTCCCTGGGTTCAGCTCCCCTAACCTCTCCAGCCCTGCAAAGGAAGGCGTGGCAGGGAGGAACTGCTCTGAGCTTCCTTGGAGTGACCTGACTGCCCTGCCTAGTGCTGGAAGCCTAATTCTGGGCATGGTTCTGTAAACTGGCTCACTCCATTTGCTGAAAAATGGTCCTCAAAGAAATTGTTCAGTACTTTATAGGCAGCCTCTTGAGGACGCAACAGGAGATGTTTGCTGCTCTCTTTGGGCTGATTCTGAGAAGCTACTGAATTTCACTTGTAAAATTCAGTGAATGCATGACCCACTCGTGGTAGGAAGTTCTTCAGAGCCAACATCATGGATAAGTTCCAGAAAAATGCCTCGGGCTCACTGCCAGACATTTGGGGAGCAAACAGCATACATTCCCTCAGCTTTTTTTGAATCTCTTATGTAAAGAATGCCAGCTCACTCAATTGTGTGTAACTCTGAATACTAATTTAAAGGAATTCAGAAACATGGCAGGGATTTCCCATTAAAAAATCTTATTCAATACAGTTAACTGTAATTTATTGTGTATTTTCAAAAAGGTAGAAGAGAGGGTTTTGAATGTTTACAACACAAAGAAATGGTACATGTTTGAGGTGACGGATATGCTGATCACCCTGATTTGATCATTATACACTGAATACACGTATCAGTCTGTATTTCATCTAGATGTGCAATTATTATGGGTCGATTAAAAATAAAAGGGAATTTAAAAATATATATATTTAAGTACAATAACCTATATGGAGTCACTTTTAAGAAAATGGTAAGTGAACTCCTGCAAACATTTCTAGATGTTTGTCTCAGGTTAAAAGGGCATCATGGGGGCTGGGTGCAGTGGCTCACACCTGTAATCCCAGCACTTTGGGAGGCCGATGTGGGTGGAGGCCGAGGTGGGTGGAGGCCGAGGCTGAGGTTAGGAGTTCAAGATCAGCCTGGCCAATATGCTGAAACCCCGTCTCTACTTTAAAAACACAAAAATTAGCTGGGCATGGTGGCAAGCACCTGTAATCCCAGCTACTTGGGAGGCTGAGGCAGGAGAATCACTTGAATCCGGGAGGCAGAGGTTGCAATGAGCCGAGATCACGCCACTGCCCTCCAGTCTGGATGACAGAGCAAAACTCTTTCTCAAAAATAAATAAATAAATAAAAGGCATCATGGAAACCTAGTTTGTTCTACACTTTCATATTTTGTCGTTTTACTTAGGTCCAACATCTGAAAAAAAATTAAAGATACATTTTCATTTGAAAAATTTACCAAATTTTAATATTTATTCCAGTGTTTGGTATCATAAGTAATATAATAGACACCTTTGTGCATAAAGCTTATTCCATAGTCCTAATTATTTCCTTGAGATGGATACTATGTGGGAATGACTGGATCAAAGTATACCATTGGCTTTCCATGACTTGACAGTGTGGCGTCTTCCCAACCAGAAGGACCCTGGCACTGAAGTGCTCAACCACAGGGTGATTCGTGCTTTGGTGATTCCTATTTCACCAGTAGTTTGCATAGCCATTTCACCAGCTTTGCTAAATCAATAGGTAAAACTGCTGTAGCATTCTAGCTATAGCTCTATCGCATTAAAATTCATAACACTTGGAAGTGGAACTATTTCCACTTTCCAAATGTTGTATATGACTGAAAAAGAAAACTCATTATCAACCTTGCAGCTCATTAGCAGACTCTTCCTCCGCACAAACAGCCACTAATTACCACTGGCAAGTCGCTCTGGTTCTCACCTCTCCTTGGCTCCCTTCTGGGCATGACACTCCCAAAAAGCCACTCTCAATCTAATGATGTTGTGTCCCTCGAATTTTCAAATGTGGTGGATTAAACAAGAACATTGCTCAGAAATGAGCTCAAATTCCTGTGACCTCCTCACTAGCTGTGTGATCCTGGGCTGGTTACCAAACACCCCTAAGCCTTACTCTCTCTGTCCATTATGGTCACAGTGTCACCTGGTTGGCAGGGCTGTCTGAGGGCTGAAGGACGCTGTGTCTGTGAAGTTGCCTGCTATACAGACTCAGTAGGCGGCCCCATTCCTGCCTCTTCCCCTTGTAAGGAATGACACTAACTCTCCATCCCATTCAGACAACAATGCTTCAGAGAATAGAGTGTGTCCCATTGTCTTCTAGAATTAAAACTGCTTACCTTGGCTGGGCACAGTGGCTCACGCCTGTAATCCCAGCACTTTGGGAGGCCGAGGCC
Organism: Homo sapiens; assembly: GCF_000001405.40. Classification (NCBI taxonomy): domain Eukaryota; kingdom Metazoa; phylum Chordata; class Mammalia; order Primates; family Hominidae; genus Homo; species Homo sapiens. Next base: position 26,886,265 of record NC_000015.10, on the reverse strand, counting down.
AGTGGATCACCTGAGGTCAGGAGTTCAATACCAGCCTGGCCAATGTAGTGAAACCCCCTCCCTACTAAAAATACAAAAATCAGCCGGGTGTGGTGGCACACGCCTGTAATCCCAGCTACTTGGGAGGCTGAGGCAAGAGAATCGCTCGAACCCGGGAGGTGGAGGTTGCAGTGAACCGAGATCGTGCCATTGTACTCCAGCCTGGGTGACAGAGTGAGACTCCATCTCAACAACAACAACAACAACAACAGCAAACTGCATATATATGGTACACCTTTCAGGCTTTGGACCCAAAGATTAAAGTAAGATTAGATTTAATTAGGATGAGAATCAAGAACACTAGTCCGACGAGGACCAGGAGTGTATTCTCATTCCATGAGCAGAACACAGGCATCCCCACAGTAACCACATCCAGCATTCCTCCCAGCCCTACGTGAACCCCTAGACATCCTCCAACACCTCGGCCTCTGTCTCCACACCTGCTGTCTACACACAGGGCTGAGACTGCACTCGCTTCTCTCCAAACCCTTCCTTTTTCCATGGACTGATGGCTAAGGACTTATTCTCAACCCTTGAAATATTTCTCAGGTTTTCAACAACCTCTCTAAATCAACAAGGTAATGTCCAAGGACACTGATGCTCAAAACTCACATCTCCATCTATGGGCAAACACGTTCAAGATCAATGCGAGGAAAGACAAAATGCCAAGTTGTGTGCTCTAGGCTCACTCATCACAGCTCCTTATTGGGCTGTTACCAGGACAGTCCTGCTGTCAAATAGATTTGGAACTGTGAGACAAGGTAACAAATGTGAGAGAAGCCACCTTTGCTCATTTCCACCTGCCAGCATCATTTCACAAAGTCCCTGATTGTGTCTCCAGAAAGATGCTTTGAAGCTCAAACAGGATAGAGCTCACGCCCCCCACATCTCTTGCCTGAGTCACCACATTCTTTTTTTTTTTTTTTTTGAAACGGAGTCTTGCTCTGTTGCCCAGGCTGGAGTGCAGTGGTGCGATCTGGGCTCACTGCAAGCTCCGCCTCCCAGGTTCACGCCATTTTCCTGCCTCAGCCTCCCAAGTAGCTGGGACTGCAGGCATCCGCCACCACGCCCGGCTAATTTTTTGTATTTTTTTTAGTAGAGACGGGGTTTCACCAAGTTAGCCAGGATGGTCTCGATCTCCTGATCTCGTGATCCTCCCGCCTCGGCCTCCCAAAGTGCTGGGATTACAGGCGTGAGCCACCGTGCCTGGCCCTGAGTCACTACATTCTTTACAAGATAAGAGCACCAGTCCTTGCGTTTTCCTACACAGAAGGTAGGGTCTGAGGGGGTTAGTGATTATGCCTCCGCAAACCATAACCAAATGTGCTCTTGCACCCAAGCTGCAATGAGATGTTGCACAGGCTGATTATCCACCACAAGTGCACAGCAGCAGGATGAAAGACTGCACCGCGCCGTTGGTAAACCCCCTCCAAAAGGCGGCTCCCAGGCTACAGGCCTCAGTCTGCAGTCCCTTGTAAGACCTCTGAACAAAATTTAGTTCTTTAAAAGCTTGATTTTTTTTTCCCCTTTAATCAACAGGACACAGTGTGTTACAGTATTCACCAGAACATATGCTAGGAAACACAGATCCTCCAAAGATGAGAGCATCAATATTACTTTCCACTATGATTACTCTTTTTAAACATAAAGTTTACCGTGAAAAATTGTAGCAAGATAGAGAAATTCCAGTACCTATGCAAAAGGAATGTGCTTCCTTTTTTTTAACTTGACTTTAATGCTGTTTTTTTCAATTTAAAAAATATTTTCTGAAGCCTACTTCCATAGACCCACTTTGGAAACTTTGAAAAACTCTAAAGGAGCCTTTCTCATTGACCAATTTGTTGATTTATCCAAGGCAATGAATAATTCAAAATTTTAAAAATGACTAACAGTCCATTTAAATTATAAATACTAAAACTTAACCTCAACATTGGAATGTTATCCAAGCATGTGAGAAATAGGCTTTTAAAACTTCCAAAGGCTACACAATTGCAACAAAAGAAAATAAAAAATTCCCTTCTTTTTTTTTTCTTTTTTCGAGACAGAATCTCACTCTGTCACCCAGGCTGGAGCGCAGTGGTACAATCATGGCTTAGTGCAACCTCAAACTCTTGGTCTCAAGGGATCCTACCACCTCAGCCTGCCAAGTAGTTAGGACCACAGGTGCATGCCTCCTCGCCTGGGTGAATTTCTTTTTTGTTTTTTTTTGTTTCTTTTTTTTTGGTAGAAACAAGGTCTCGCTATGTTGTCCAGGCTAATCTCGAACTTCTGGCCTCAAGCAATCCTCCCACCTCAGCCTCCCAGAGTGTTGGGATTAAAGGTGTACAGGCATGAGCCACCACGCCCGGTCCTCCTTAGATGTTTAAGTTTAATATAATAATTTTTCCCTATCCGACATTATATGGGCCATGGTTCCAAAGATGCTCTTGAGCTTGAACCGAATAAACGAGTCCAAATGACAAACGGCCACGGACCTATGGCAGCCCTGGGAAAGAACGTCCAAGAGCGCTGGTGTGGGCAGATGGCAACGGGGAACCCCCAGCACACACGCGCCGCAGTCTCAGACCTATGGTCAGAACAGCTCCGCGGCGCAGCTCTTGCGGCAGGATGGGCAGCCGCGCCTGCCCCGCACCGTCCCCCGGCCCCGCCCGCCCCCGCCCGGCGCTCACCGCATGGTGTAGAGCAGGGTGCCGTCGTCCTCCAGCCGCAGCAGCTTGTTGGGCGTGGTCATGTTGTGAGCGATGGACTTCTTCCCGTTGTGGAAGAACGTGTCTGGGGTCCAGATCTTGCTGGCAAGGAGGTTGTTGAGAGGGAGGCGCTGCATGGGCCCCTTAAACCGAAGCCTTTCATCTTTCCAGCTTTGTCGGAAAAACACGTCTATGGTGTACTCCTAGTGGAAAGGAAGGCACGAGGCAGTCAGAGGGCACGGGGCCTGGGCGGGGGCCTGCGGCGCGGAGTAAGAATTGTCTGCCCAGCCATGCCCCGGGACCTACCATTTCCGTGTCGGACACCGGGCCGAAGCTGGTGACGTAGATGTCGGTCCTCACCTGAGTGATGCGCTCTGAAAGACAGACACAGGTCCCTGGGCTGCACCGACCCACCCTGCGCGTCTGGCACACTCTCGTGCTCTCAGTCCAGTAACCAGGGTCACCCTCTGCAACCGGGGGCTTTTGCAGTGCGTTTGGTAAATTTGGAGGACTTGACAATTACCAGATGAAATCGAGCTGCTCCCCGCTATACCATGAAATGAAATTCCCATCATACAGAACACAGCTTGGCTCTCCTCCTCCTTCTGCTCCCTGGGGAGCAGTCCTGGAAAGACCTGGGCTGAGGCCTCGCCGTGGGGCCTTGGGGTTTTGCAAACACCCGAGCTTCCATTTCCTCCTCTGTAAACCTGGAGCAATGATGCCAGCCTGGCAGCTCAGGGCCACGCCGTCGCCACAGAGAGGGGCTTTAAAAAGCATCAGACAATTCAGGATGAGGGGAGCTGACTTTCCAATCAAAGCAGGAGGTCCTGGGTGGTCTCCGGGAAACGATGTTGAGAATGTGCCCAGTGCGCCCTGAGACAGGAAGACCCACTTCTCTTTATGTAGCGTTTCGAACTGTTATTATAGAAAGCCCTATCATGGGAGACTGTGATTTCAAACAAAATTATTGGAAATAGGTAAAGTGATAAAAGTGGCTAATAATATTTGGGGGAAAACCTGTGTACTTCCCTGGGCACTACCACAGCCCTGTAAGTCCCCGTGGTCATGAGTAGGAAGCAATTCAAAGTGCACTGCAGCCCACACCGGGTAACTTCCAGCCGCACTGTGGGCCTGCCTCTCCAGCAGCTCGCGGTGTGATGATCGTCTGCATGGCGTGCATCTGTGCGTGGGCAGGTGTCTGTGTGATGCTGTGTGTTGTATGATGCAGTGTGCCTGTCTCCTCACTGAGATGCCAGCCCCAGCAGGGTGGCCCGGGAGGCTTTCCATGGTATCCTCCTACTCTGTAGGACTGGAAGGCAGAGAGGATGAGAGAATACCACAAGCACTGACAGCAGCTTAGGGCTCCTCTAGATGCTCTGACCCTTCTGAGTGTGTTCAAGGGACTGGACTGCTGGGCACACAGGCCTAGGAACATAATTCAGAGGGCAGAGTAAGAGACTGTTAAGGAGCCTGTGCCCAAAAGGCAGAGAGTGGCAACTCATGCTTTAAGTGGATCTCCCTGTTAAAAATGCAAATACTAGGCGGGGCACTGTGGCTCACACCTGTAATCCCAGCACTTTGGGAGGCCGAGGTGGGTGGATCGCCTGCGGTCTGGAGTTTAAGACCAGCCTGGCCAACATGGTGAAACCCCATCTCTACTAAAAACACAAAAATTAGCTGGGCATGGTGGTGTGCACCTGTAATCCCAGCTACTCCGGAGGCTGAGGCAGGAGAATCACTTAAACCTGGGAGGCAGAGGTTGCAGTGAGCCGAGATCATGCCATTGCACTCCTGCCTGGGCAACAGGAGCGAAACTCCATCTCAAATAAAAAAAAAATGCAAACACTAGACAACTAAATTTTTTCCTCCAAGAATGTATTCACTGGAAAGTGTCTACCTCACCTAACCCAACAAGTTCAGACTCCACATCTAAACTGTAGAGCCAAGGGGATTGCACATGCCTGGAAACTGCACACAATTCTTAGCACAACAATGAAGCTGTGCCAGGTGTGCCCTACAAGAACAATCTACATCAGTTCATTTTTATTGAATTCCACAAAGTCAAAGTAAATACTAGGACTATGGCCATAGTGAAGCACTAAATGCATAACCCATAAAGATATAAAGGATGACTGCATTCCACAGTGGATTTCTGAAAAGGACTCGCATAGATACAAGACTATGAGGTTGATTTTATATTATTTCTTAACATAGGGTAATCTCAGCTTTAGTAACGCCTAAAAGCTGGTTCCTCCTTAAGTTAACCAGACTAGACATTAAGATTATCTGGGAAGAGGGGATTTTGCAAAGATGTTTGGGAAGACCACTTCCCCCAGCTTCTTCCACCTAGAAATAACAAAGGATCTTGCGTCTAGAAAATAACAAAGGATCTTGCGTCTAGACAATAACAAAGGGTGCATGATTCTTGGCAAGAGTGGAACAGCCATCATACCAAAATCCTGGCAGGGAAGCTCTTTTAGGAATTGTTTGAATCAGCGCAAACACAAGCTTGAGACGAGACTTAAGCCCTTCCTGGATCCTTGCTGGGCTCAGCTGAGGAGAGCACACTCACCTCCCAGCCCGGGCCGAAGTCTGTTGTCGTAGCCATCCAAGAGCCCATCCAAGATCCTGGTAAATATCGTGATGTTGTCATTGGTCTCATCTTTCACTGAACTGGTTGGCATCTGTGAAAAGCTTTTAAAAAGAGAAACAAGAGGAAGCGTTAAAACATATTATTTCTTACAAATTCTTCTCAAGATACAGAAACCAGGGAGTCACGTGGAGGCTTGTCTCCTGAGACGAGGATCTGAGAACACAGCTCCCATAGTGCCTAGGGGATTGTTTGGCCTTGATACACCTCAGTTCTCCAACATCCAAGGATACTCTGCTTGGGGCTAGTTATCCAACCACCTAACCTGAGGCTCAAAGTCTATCATTCTGTGATTCTAAGGAATTGGTTTATGTCAATATTTTAGCCATTTTTAACAACCAATTAGCCATTGCGCATGGACTGGCAGAGCCTAATCCACTCACAGGGGATTTCAGAAGTTTGGTTTAAACACACAAAAACCGAGTTCTCATATTGCTAGAGTCACCTGCACTGGGCGCTGGGGCATGGAGGGGACGCTGAGAAACTTTCCGAGGTTGTTGTTCCCAAACCTCACTGCATCCTTAGTTGGTCTGGGAGCATTTGTGCTGTGAATAATATGCCAGGATTGGAGAGTGAGTGACAGACATGATGGAGTCTGTGTCATCTCTGGGGTCCTGCCCCTTCAGTGTGCCAGCTCACAACACATTCTGTGGGACCCAGCGTCACACAATAAGCCCTCAAGAAAAGTGGGCTGACCCTCAGGGAAGACACAAGAACATTTTTTGTTTGTTCAATCAAGTTATCCAGATTCCAAAAGCTTATGTAATATGAGCAGAACAAAACTAGAAACTGCCCTAGCAGATCTAGACAAACTGAGGATGGTATCTGGGGGGACAGAGAGACCACAAGCCCAGAAGACAGCCCCACAGCTGAAGAGCATGGATCCCACCTCAGGTTTCTACAGCTGCTTTCAGATGTGCAAATAGCAACTGGTTTTGAATTACTGAGCACTTGACTGCAAATTTGGCTTCAAGGGGACTTACCAAACTGAAAGCCAGCTGTGGTTCCCAAGAAGCGAGTGCCCTGGGCACTTGGGAGAAGAACATGTGATTCCTGGTACTTCCCTGAAGTGCCCAGCTGTGGGGCCCTAGCTGTGCTTAAAGTGCTTTCTCTCCCATGAAAAGGCTGAAATCAGAGCTGAGAGCCACCAGCCATGGAGAGATGCTGAGGTCAGAATCGATGCAGGCCTGCTCCACCCTGTTCTTAAAAGTCAGTCATTTTTATTGATTGCATCTAACAGATCAATTCTTTGCTGGCCCTAAAGCTATTCCCTTTTGAATAGAATGAGAGAATAAAGAATAAAGGAATAATGCTCTTTTGATCTAAGTTTCACATCACCATAAAAATGCATATACTTGAAGCTCTAACAAGCTAAAATTCACTCCTGTTAGTACGGAGCCCACAGATGTATACTTTTTTAACTCTGTGATTTCATATTTAAAAACATTAAATTCCCCTTTCTCCAACATCCATGGTAGTTGCACACTTCGGAAAGACATAGCACTAAGCCTAGCATAGCTCCTCCCAGTGAACAGCCTTCTTCTTCAGAGTTTTGCAGGGGGAAAAAAGAAGGTTATATTTTGTACCTGCCCAGTTGTGTAACTATTGGTCAAACCAGATCTGGCTTCATGATGCACTTCTCATGGACTTCATAATTGTCACCGAGTTTGCAACTCAATTTTAGACCACGTCCAGGTGCTCAGTTTTTGGAAGGTCTTTGCTGTCTCTTTATCTTACCAATTGAGGTACTAGTAGAAAAAGCAGATCTTAATGGTGAAATTAAAGTTTTCTAAGCTACTCCATTCTCTGTTGTGAAAATGTTCCTAAATTGTGTTAGATGGTAACAGCCCTGGCTGTCCAGAGACAAGGGCTTGACTTCATGATTGACCATTTGGAGGCTGTGCAGCCACAGTGATGTCTCTGTGAGCGTTGTTTTCCGTGGCTCTCTCCAGAAGCGGAGATAAAGACACTCCTGCTCTGCCAGTTTTAGGGAAACACCATCCCACTGGGCTCTGAATCCCACTCACAAATACCCTAATCATTTCCCACAGTGACGGAATAGAATGCTATGCTTAAGAATTTCAAAGCTCGGATTCTACTTCTTGATCAAAATTATTTTCATTAGTTTCAGTATATCTACACACATTTGCACATAATTACACTTTTCTTGGAGGAATGTCAGTGTCTGCCCTTTCCTGCCATACTGCCTTTTGCCTTTATCTGTAGACCTTTCTTTGTACGATGGGGCCATGGCTGGGGATTTGCAGTGTTGTCCTTGCTGTATTAACTGAAGATAGCCTCTAGGAGGGAAGAAACAGATTCTTAAAAAGCTCTGATGATGCCTATCGGGGTAGGAGCAGAGGGGTTTTTTTTTGTTTGTTTGTTTTGTTTTTTCATGAGCTGGAGGCCCTCCTCTGTCCATAGGCCATCCTCAAAAATGCTTCATCTGCAGTGCGTGGTTATGAAATACACCGCTTTCACAGCCATGGAGAGAAAGGCTCGTGCTGTATCATAGAAGGCAAATGCTGTGTTTTCTCAGCCCCTGGTGTGTAAGTGCCTTCATACAGGAGACCTTCACACATGCCTGGGGAACTGGCTAGCGCCTCTATCAAGCTGTATGATCTTTAAGAACTGCTGCTAAGCTAAGGAGGAACTTCAGCTTGCTTTGTTCCATTTTGGCTCATTGAAAGCACTTGAAAAACAAAATAACACAGAAATCCAGGGCTATGCCTTTGGTGAGCACTAATGTGCAGCGTGTGACGGATGAGTCCTACAGGTGGAAACCAAGATGTCCTCAGCCCATAAAGCGCTCACTCCGTTTAGGGTCAGCAGGCAGCCTACACTCGCCGACGCGCCACTTCTGCTTTTCTCAACTGCACTGAGTACAGCCCAGGAGCTCTGCTCATCCTGAGGTCGACCAGAGTCCACGAGTGCTTCAAGGACAAATAAAGGCTCCATTCTTTGGGGAAGTAAATTTTTGTGAGCTGAGATTATATCCCTATTACTAACAACAGTCTTAGACATAACAGAAATATTTGAAAATTTGGTGACTTACCCTTCAATTTTAGTCTGGGTTAATTCACTAGGTTCTCTTAAAATAGGAATTATTTCCTTATATTGAATGCATATTCTCTACAAAACATGTCCCACTTATGCCATATTCTCAGTTCCAACATTTTCCTTATTTGGTACTTGAAAGAGTACAAGTTGTGGCGTCATTTCTGGAGAAGAAAAAATCTTTTCGGTATTGTCATTCCACCACGGGTGCTAGTGAAGGCAGTGTGTGACGTGCTTCTCTTATATGGATGACCACTTCTGACTTACATACAGTGAGTTCGATAATGGCAACTGCAGACGTATTTTGACTGGAAATTACTTTGGACCTTGAACTGGGCTTGTTTTAAGCTGCAGCTTATCTGTCTTCTTAAACTTTGTTCTTCCCCAGTATTTAATGACTTCTGAAAAATGTCTCTTCTGTTTATTTGTCTGTTACTTTCAGGTCATTAAATGAGTACCTCTAAATGGCACCATTGTGTGATGTTTTCCTCAAATGCCCATTACCGATCACTTAAGCACCATATTAGAAAAACAACAACAATGTAACAGAAAAACAAAACCAAGATGGACACTGGCTGGACAGTGAGGGTCAATCCCAGGGTTCCAAATAACAGCTTTCCCCTCTTAAGGTGGAAAACATGGACAGGCACCACATTGTTTTATGAGGCTCTGAGTCTGTGCCATGGAACATCATGCTAGAACTCTCCGATATTCCTGCCAAATCCTAAAATCCCCCAGTTCTCCCTGCAGCTCCTGAAATCCTACTGAAGTGTATTCCTCAATCTTCATGGAGGTTCTCCATTCTTGCCCTTGGCACTGCTGCCCAACTCAGAATCCTGCTGCCCACAAGGTAAAACCCAAGCCCTATGGCCCCACAGGCCAGAGCCACCTCTCCCACCCTGCCCTCCTTCCTAGACTCAGCCCTGTTCCTCCTCCCAGCCACACTGGGGGTCCTGCATAGGTGATGACACAGTGATGTTCCATCCCAGTCCTTACACACATTCTCCCCATTCTCTTGCCATGCCCATCAGCAAGCACATCCGCTCTAATACCACCGCTCTTTAAAAGAGCCTTTCATTCACCCCATATTCCCTTCCAGTCACTGCTCCATTCTTTGCCCGTCTTCCATGAAAACTCACTGGGAGATTTGTCCATATGAGCAACCCCCGCTGCCTCCCCTCCCTTCTCTTGTAACCACTCTGCCAGGCCTTCACTACCTGCATCCCAAGGAAGCTTCTCTTCTGGAGGCCAGTAATGAACTCCACATGGCCAAATCTGAAGATCAAGTCTTGGTCCTCAGCTTAGTTGACCTGTGGGCAACATTCCTACAATCCTTTCCACTGGGCCTCAGGGCACGGCTCTGTCTGTCTTTCCCTTTACTTGCCTCTTCCCCTCAGTCCTGCTGCCTCTCTTACCTTCCTGACCTCAGAACACAAGCATGCCCCAGGGCACGATCCAGACACCCTTTCCTTTTTGTGTGCACTTAACCTCCGACTGTCTCATCCAAACCAGTGGCTTAAATGCCTCCCAAAGTATGGAAACACCTCAGGTCCACACCTCCAGCCCAATCCCTCTCTGTCCTCCAGACCTCTACATTCACTGGGAGACCTAGTGGTGTCTCCAGGGGCTTCCCACACCACCACTGCACCTGTGACCTTCTGTACCCAAACCTCTTCCCTACTGCCCTCTCCAGCTCGATCATAGGCAGGTGATGGAGCAAAATACCTGTTGGGTTCTCTAGCAAAATACCTAGGGGTCATCCCTGACTTCTCTCTTTCCTTCATGCCCACAATAACCTATCAGCTAATGCTGCTGGCCAAAACAGCCACTCCCCTGGGCCACTGCAATCACCTCTTCACTGTCCCCACTGCATCTCGGGTTAACCCCCTCTCACCTCACTCCAGATTCCATTCTATTCTTTCACTCTGCACCCAGAGTGAGCTTCAACGTTTAAGTCACATCATTATCACATCTAAATTGGATCATGTTTCAAACCTACTCAAAACCACTCAGTGGCCCTCTCTGCCCTTCCAGATAAAAGTCAACTGTCCTTCCTGATACTCCCCTGCATGGCCTATAGCACTTTCGGAATGTGATCCCAACCCCAGCCCTTCCTCCCTGACGACGCTCCCTCCCCGTCTCCCACTTCCTCACGCCTGCCCCTCCGCTGTTCCTAACACATCAAGCATGCACCTGCCACACAGCCTGGGATTCACCCGCCATTCCTCCTGCCAGTTCAGGTTTCTCTGCCAACAGCTTTGCTCACATCCTCACCTCCCTCAGATCTCTGCTCAAGCATCTCTTTCCAGCACACGCACTGTCTCTTACTCTGAATTACTCTTCATAGCAATCATCATAACCTACTGACACTTATTCCATGCACACCAGAGTGTACCCTCCTGGGAGGCAAGCCCCACTCTGCCCCTGCTCTGCTCTGTGCATCTCAGTACCTGGAACAGTGCCTGGTGCATGGTGAGAGCATGGTCCACATTGGTGTAGCTGCAGGGCAATGTCCCCCAGGATGCCCCTGCGAGGGAGACATTGCAGATGTGGGCAAGGCAATGACCTTACTGTGCTCAGGCTGAGGCCAGGCACCATCTCACACTCTGGGTCCAGTAAACCCCAGGAGTCTCCTGGACACAGAACCCAGAATGGCTTGGTGCACTTAGCATACCCTCCCCTGACACAGACCTGGGCTTGCTTGAGCATTTGGCATAGGTTGGCAATTGATCCTTCATACCAGCCTTGTGATCCTGGACCCATGATTAATCCCACATTGAGACCCATGATTAATCCCACATTGAGATTAGAAACTGAGTTGCAGGCAGGTGAAGTAACTCTTCTGACGTCACACAGAGAGCATGTGGACAGAGATCGAAGCCGGGCAGCTACACTGCCCTCTGTCAAAATGACACTTAATGCCATCCTAAATATTCACCAGCGGTCCTGAAACAGGAACCGAACTGACAGTACAGTGATGGCCCAATTGTTCTTGTTAAAACTAAAAATTAACTGGTTCTGTGCTTCATTCACTTTTAGGTTGACTTTTTTTTATTTTAAAATAAGTTGTTAAATAAATACAAATAAAATAGAGTTTTCAATGAACTGCTGAAGCCTGTTTCACTGCAGGTCTTACTCTCACTAGCAAATGATCTTTCTCCACAGTATTCCAGTTCACAATCTATATTCCGTGTTGGAGTTTATTTGGGCTGCAGTAGACAATGTTTTCATAGTGGTAACATGTGAGTTCTAGATTAGGATATTCTTTGGTTTCCCATATATAGTCCTCCCCCCATTCCTTCCCTTTTCAGGGCACTATAATAAAAATTAGGACATTCTGGAGCAGGCCCTGCAGTGGAGCACGCTAGCCCAGCCTGCATTCTCAGGGATCCCTTGCTTTTATCACTTTCAGATGGTAAAACTTGGACACACTTCTCTAAGCTCTAACACCTGAGCTCTTTTCACCTGCAAATCAAGAATTTTGTGTAAATTAAACAGTGCATTTAAAAAAAAAATGCATTGTGAATATTAAGGGGATACACTCATATACATGCTGATAAATGAGTGTATATGATACACTCATATACATGCTGAAGTACCAGCAGACTTCTCTGATGAGATTTCTTTTTATTTTTGCTTCTAGTACTTTCCTCTGAAATTTCTCATTAATTAAAATGAGCATCTTATGCAATTTGAACCTTTGTAAAAACCCGAAAGCCCACATGCTCCTTCTCCCCTTGAAGGGAGTCGGTGACTCACTCCCGAGCTGACTGCCAGACAGTCTTGGCGGAGAGCTGCGCTGGCCGACTCTCCTGCCTGCTCAGTGCCTGCTGAACATGCTGAAAGTTTCCTTTATAAAGCAGATAACTGAGAATTATTTACTTTGGGTACCTTTAAAAACATGTTGGACATTCCCCTATAGTCCTCTTTTAACCACCTACATTTTTTGCCACGTGCAAGAACTGCCTTTTGGCTCTCCCAGGGTCGCTGAAGCCTTTAGGTGCACCACCACTTGTGTTCCTGCTCCCTGCTTCAGTGGGCTTTCTGAGTGCTTTCAGAATTGTTATCATAACTGTCCCGGGCCTCATGAACCCGCAGCTATGGTGCAGGAAGAATTTGTCATCTGGGGATTCACAAGGGAGAACTTTCCATTTAAAAAGATATCATGAGTACCTGCGTGATTCAGAGAATGTACTTTCTGCTCTATTTAAAAGAAGGGAACTGTCCTTGAGTGAGGGTATGGAATGGTTCTCTTCACAAAAACAAACGTCCACACTGGCACACTTGTGTAGACAGATAAAGAAGACTCTGTCTGTTCATGTTCAAAAGCCACTTCTCCAATAACCTACTTTTAATTGCTGCTTATAAAATCTTATTTTCCAAAGTCTATTTGAGTTGCAGCTCCCACATATTAAAATTGTTCAACAGATTTTTTTATCAATCAGTAAACCTCCAAAATATATTTAAGACAATAAAATCAATGGACTCAGCCTTTACCTTATTATTAAGCTGATAATCCTCAATTTTATCTCACAATTGTCACTGGTCTATCAGGTCTGATAAAGTATGATTTTCTTAATGATGATAAATTAATTCCAGTTTAAATCTAATATTATGTATTTTGACATTATATTGGTGCCAATATTGTTTCTGTACTGGTTTTTCTATACTATGTACTTTTGTTTACTGGTCTTACTAAAATAAATATAGTACTTCAAGTAATCCCAGGTCGTCAAACGTACCTTAGCACGGGGCTGAGTGTCCAAAAAGGGCCTTATTGTATTGTATACTTGACTTGGTCTCTGTTCCATAATTTAAAACTAACAGAAGAATTAGGAAGACTATTGCAAATGAGCTGCTGGTGACTCCAATCAAATTTAGAATATGATCAAGAGAAGGAGAAGAACACTCATGTATTTTCAAAGCAATTTCATATCAGTTATCCTATATAATCACCAAGTACATTGCACTTATCACATCTATAAATTTTCCAACTGCCAGTGCCACACACGTTTCACAAACACTGCATTTCGACTTGGTCCACGCACATAGCCCTGCTCTTTTTCTTTTTCCTTCTTCTTCCCTGCCTGATTCTCTATAGTCCTCCTCACCCACTGCCAGTTCTCTGGCCTCTCAGGAGTCAGCACTTCTCTTGTCCTAGAATCAGGTTCAAATTAAACCCTTTGATGCTTCTCCTTTCCCCTTTCTTTTGAACCCAATCACATAAACTCTTTCTTTGGAGGGAAAATAAACTGAGTTGACCCAGACTCTTTTTTCCCGCTAATCCCCAAGTACTGAAAACTCTCTCCACTCTGAAGCAGGTACTACCTTTTAGAATTACGTTCCCTCTTGTCTAGACTGGTTTGATCCAGGGCTACCCTGCAAAATGTGTGCATTCAAGTCAGGGAGCCCAAGAAGTGACAGGGGGCGGAGTCACACAGGAAGCTCCGAGTAAGGACTCCTGACTTCTGAGGTTAGGCATTCATCCTCCCTCCTTCCCAGCTAGAAGATGGGCTAACGGTGCTCAGCTCATACAGTGGCTCCTAGGATTCATCCAAAACCAAAACACGAAACATAAAGACAGGTGCTCCACGTTGTGGTAGCTATTTTTTCAAGATTTAAAGTTAACTAAATATTAGGAAATTTCAATCGGGATTTGACACAATTATTCTTAAGTCCATTTAGATAATATACAAGTGAGAGGAGTCTCCTATAGGAAGGGAAATAAATAGGGGCTTGATGTATTTTATGATGTCTTTTGTGGCTGTTGAAAAACATGCCCTGCTGGCCAGAATGTGTGAACCTGGCTTCCCGCTTTGCTAGAAACCCCACTTCTTCAAAAGCAATTGGGCGCGCAGGGTCAAGAGTGAAAAGTGCTCAAAGAACCTGATGTAAAATTCCTCTTACAAAAATATCTTCTAATATAAATAATCTCAAATACCTAAGAAAACTTGTAAGCCAAATACGTTCACTACAGGAAAATTTATAACAGCAAAATCATTCACTACGTAAACATCCCCAATTAGGGAAGAAGCTAACACAAGGCGCTCTTGCCCTGTCAAATATGCAGCCATTTAAAATAATACATTTTAAAGAAATTGTGATCATGTATTGGGTAGGAAAAAAGCACAGTACCAAACTGCACAGCCTGATCCCAACTGTATAAAAAACATGCACAGAAGCAAGGGGAAGTCAGTGCACCAAATGGGAAGCATGGTTGTCTCTGGGTGGTGGAATTAAAGAGATTCCTTTCATTATCGACTTCTGTATCGCACATATTTGCTGCAATTAGTCGGTGCTGTTTTATGATGGATTACTGGCCATATACCTAAAAGATTAAAAACTGCTCCAACAGTTAATTTTCTGGAAAGTTTGAGGGGTATTTTACCACTTACTCAGTGTTAGCTTTCAGAGACTAAGATACCCCTCTATTTTGAAGATGACCTCAGCAAGCTACAGAACTAAATAAGAAAGCATACCTGCTTCTTGGGGCTAAACTACTTACACACATTACTTCCTATTTCAGACCTGCATCTACCAGGGAGTGAAACCATTTCATGCTTATTCAATGCAAATTCATAATACATTTGGCTAAGATTTTGTTTCTTTGTTTGTTTTGTTTTGTTTTGTTTTGTTTTTGAGACAAAGTCTTGCTCTGTCGCCCAAGCTGGAGTGCAGTGGCATGATCTCAGCTCACAGCAACCTCCACCTCCCGGGTTCAAGCGATTCTCCTGCCTCAGCCTCCCAAGTGGCTGGGATTACAGGCATGTGCCACCAGGCCTGGCTAATCTTTGTATTTTTAATAGAGATGGGGTTTCACCATGTCAGCCAGGCTGATCTCGAACTCCTGACCTCAGGCGATCCGCCCCCCGCTTGGCCTCCCAAAGTGCTGGGATTACAAGCATGAGCCATCACGCCTGGCCTAGCCAAGATATTTTAAAGAAAATATAAGTTTCCAATCCTGATATATTCTTCACCACCAAAATGCTACCAAATATATGCGGTATATCAAACAAACCAACTACCTAATGCATTAGATGACAAATTTGAATATTCTGTGCGATTTCACTTATGTACAGACATTTCATTCAGAAGAACATTGTGAACATGCTAGTTTACAGGCTTTGGCAGCTGCAGAGAACTTGTAAAGGAAAACATTCATTTAATAGATAAAAAAAAATCTGAAGGCATGGGAAGGGAGGCATCCACTCAAGATAAGCAAGGCAAGAGCCACGGCCAATGCTCTTTCCCAAGGGAATACTTAGAATGGCTCAAAGGGCTGAGACATGCCACACACCTGTTCCCGTCAGTGTGGTTAGAGTGCACACACTGCCTGGCTTCTGTTGGTGAGGGACAGGCATCTTCCTTAGCTCAGCTCTGCTGGACAAAGTCTCAGCTGATGGCTCAGGCTTGCCCCGGGGTGGATGTGGACTAAAGTCCCAATGCTGTCTTCTACCAGCCACTGCACCTGAGCAAGGCCCCCACACCCACCCCTTCCTCTGCACAGAAGAGTCAGAAGAGCAGAAAATGTACAGAGGACAGACAGAAAACATCATGGCCCTGGGGATGTCTTCTTTCCCCCCAGATGGGAAGGCTGTCTACAGGCTGTTGCCAAGCCACTGGATATTCCCCATCCTGTGATTATTTACATAAATGTGGATAGGCTGTGAAACCTCTGGACCCCATTTTTGCAGCACTAACGCTTGGCAACTTTTGTCCTGACATTTAATTTCTTAATTATATGCCATCAACTTCAAGTTACAATCCTTTTGATTAACCAGAACAATTCTAGGGCACGGGTCAGAACAGGAACAGCAGCCTCATAAGAACATTCATCCACGATGTGGGTTATCACTAGTTTCATGAAAAAAAAGGTTAGAGTTGGTATGCGGATACTAAAGGCTAAAATGAAAGAGGGGTTACTGGAAATGATAGTGCCAGAACCTCAGGGGTGTCTTTCAGATCTTCAGGCACCTGTGGTTTATGGTGTCTGCACCTGCATTCAGATGGTCACAGTTCTAGGGCCTTGGCTCAGGCCAGGACCATTGTGAGTCCTTTTCAATGCCAAGTAGCATAGGCCTGGCTTTCAAGGCAACTTTGATTGCATAATGGAACCGTGGAGGGCAACTGAAATGTTGGCACTGCCTTGTCTAACAAGCAGTGACTGTCCTTCATGCATGTGAACTCCTGAATCTTGTTTTAACCTGAGTAGGAAGAATCACAGCTGACTCGGATATCATCTTCAGCTTCCATTTCTGAAAACATAATCTGCCTTTTTTTCTCTGACTCACTTCAGAGACCCCACGTGAGGAGCAGCCTTGCTCAGGAAGAAAGCGTGGGTCAGGGCAATGACTTCATTTATTTACAACAAGTGAAGGGCTTGGGACTGCAATGGTGGCAGGCGAGGACTTGCTCAATGGATGTGCTGCTCCCGTAACATGTCTGAAAGGCACCAGTGTCCCTAACATCATAAAATAAAAGCACAGATGGTAACTTACCCAAAGTGACTGGATAAGTTCATGGAAATACAAAAGAGAAGGAGGTTTTTGATCATGATAAAACCAGAGAACATTCCATTGTCCATTCCCAATAAGAATAGTAGTTGAAGCAGGTGAATATGGAGGAATAACTCTTCCCTTCTCCAGCTTGTTCTTGAAGCTGAAAAGCACACAAAGCGGGGAAGCACGTGAACATCAATGCTGTTGTGTCACAGTTCCTGGAATCAAATCACACTGCTATCACAACAATTTGCAAAGAAAGGAGCCCGCTGTCCTTCCCCAGGACAGCTGCACACCAGGTATTTTCCATCACCCTCACTGGGCAGTAAGTTGGAGCATAAAAATAAGTAACAAGAGGCTTATTTTTACTTCTACTCAGGGTGCAGAATCACCCTAATTCGTTGTTTTCCACTCAAATACTCTGTTTTGTTTTTTAGCATGTTATCAAATAAACCATTAGTCCAATTATTAAAATAAACGCTGTAGTTATCTGAGCGACTGTATTTTGTATCCGTCAAATCCACAAGTGTAGTAATTTTACCTTTCTGAAATATCTGCCACGCCACGCGTTCAAAGCCAGCAAGCTACTCCTCTCTCTGCAAGGCACTGAGAAAGTACGTGGAAAGAAGTGGGGAAAAGCACATTTAAGAAACAGGTTTTCTGCAGGATCACAATACTGTGACAACTGCCTATAAAAGAGTGTGGCTACTTTCCCGGCATTCGGTCCCCGTGACTACATAACTTAAGCACTGCATCTGTGGAAGTCTCTCCACTCAATGCTGGACCCTAATTAATGTATTTGAGATCCAGGCAGACATTGTCCCTGGGCTCAACGACTAACCTTCCTGAAAACACGCATTTCTCAGTATGCGCATAACGCAAATAGGTGCTCACAGGCATCCGAACAGTATGCTTCGAAAAGAAGCATTTTCCCAAGAAGCCCCCCCAACCCCCATCCCCCGCAAACTCCGGAATTGGGAGACACAACAGGTACTTCCACCTCGGAAGCGAAGGCCTTCTGCGACTCCTGCCAAGAAGGGCAGGGTGCCATGCGGTGGTCGCCTGGGCGCGTCCGGGGGGCTCGTCGCGGGGCCCGGGCCAGAGCCAGGCGGCGAGCACGCGGCGCTGCATGCGGGAAACCCGGGCGGCGCCTCCCGCCGCCCCTCAGCCCCGAGCCAGGGACCCCCAGGAGAGGCTGCGCTCCCACGACCCTCCGGACCCCCACAGAGGCTCACCAGGGCCGGCGCGCCAGGGCAGGTGGGCGCGGGGGCTGCACTGCGGAGCCGCAGCCTGGGTCGCCCTGGCACCCGCGGTCGCCACCCGCGCGGTCCGCAGCGGCACGCCGAGGGTCTCCAGCTCCCCGGCCCTCCCCGGCTCGCTCCCGGCTTTCGCAGACTTCCCCTGCTCCTGCCCCGGGTACGAGCCAAGCGCTCCGCCAGGCAGCGCCTTCCTCCTGGGCTGGGAGCGCGCGGTGCAGCAGCGACTCCAAGTCCCCTGGCCTCGAGCAGCCCGCGCGACACGCGCGCGACACCCCCGCGGGGTCCGAGTCCACCCCGCGAGCAGCGCCGGGACGCCGCGCGCCTCAGAGCCCCGGGGCTGACGCTGGCTTTCCAGGTGGGCGATCTCACCCCTCCGGCTCCCGTGATGGTGGCAACGGGTGTCCCCCACCCCCAACCGGTCACCGCGCCCTGGTGCCCCGTCCGGCAGGGATGAGCCGCCCGGACCCCGCTCTCTCCCGCGCCCGGCTTCAGCCCCGCAGTCGCCAGGGTAAAGTTTGCGCTCTGGCCTGGCTGCGCGCCCCGCCTGCTCTGCACCTCTCCTCCCCGGCCACGCAGCCTGCCGCTCAGGCGCCCCGAGGAGAAGGGTGCGGACCGAGCCGGGGCGGCCGGTCCTCTTCCCCGCTCGCGTCCTCTTACCCCACTGCCCCGGCCCAGCGCGCCCAGGGCTCACCCTGCGCGCCGGCCCCGGGAGGCGAGCCGTCGGTGAGGATGCATCCTCCTTCTCCTCCGCCTGCTCTCGCCCGGCTGGCAGGCGCGGAAGGCCGGTGCGGCGTCACCGCCCCATGCTGCCAGCGCGAACTTCCCCGGCACTCCCGGCGGAGCGGCTCTTGCGCCCCGCGCTCCCGCCGCCGCCCTGCAGCTCCGCTCCGCGCCGCGCCCCGGGCCGCGCGCCGCCCGCCGCAGAGCCCCCCAGCGCCCCCGGCGCACTCGCGCCCGCTCTCACCTCGCCCGAGCGCCACATGTCGTCTCTGGGCTGGAGGATCGGCCCTCTGCAGAGGTGCTCCGGTAGAGGCCGCCAGACGCTCAGCAAATGCGCCCTTGGCCGAGCTGGGCGGAGGGGGAGGGCGCAGGGCCCCCGGCTCGGCCTGCAAGGGGAGAGGCCCTGTTCTGCTGAAGTTTCTCCAGGGCCCTCAACAGCATCTTCGGCGCCTCGTGTAGTCACCACCGCCCGCTTGTAGAGCAGGGATGGGAGGGCAGTGTCAGCAGTCGGGTGATAGAGGCCTGGACTCCGACAGCTTTGCTCCCTAGAGCCGGCCCCAACGCCTCCCTGCCCAGGCCTGGGTCCTTCCCGGGTGCTCCATGGCACCCCTTACATGCGCATCTCTTAGGCGCTTCTGAAAGAAGCTGGCCTGTGGACATTCTTTTCATCTCACTCATAGACAGGAATGCATAACTACGGGAGGGAAAGCCAGGGTCACATTGGACTCGATTAGAATGAAATCCTTACCTAACGCAGTGTATATCTGGGGGTTTTCTGAAGTTCCATTTCTTGACAACAAGCCGCAGTGGCAAACGGGAAAGGGCCAGGAGCCCTGGGGGCTGCAGGTCGGAGAGCGCCTCTGGGGTGACGGGGCGGGATCTCCCCAGCAGGGCTTCCGAGCCACGTCGGGTCACTGCCTCATTAGCCACGTACATGGGGTCTTACTATGGTCATTACGTCGGTGTGTCGTCCGTCCTAGTGGTGCAGTTCCTGGGAGGTGAGGGTGGCATTAATGACAACTGCGCGGCAGCAGGGCCCCTTCAAACAACACAAGTAAGAGCGCATCGTCTTGGGTTTGCCAGGTCTTGCTTCCTCAGGAGGTGGGGGACTCTCGACTATAACACCCAGTGGAAAACGTTCAAGACTCAAAGGAAAGCCACTGAAAACGTGATGGGGAGGTTTACTTACACCATTGTCCCATTCCTTTTGTGAAACTGCATTATTCATAATCTCTTTTAACAGAATAATGGTAAGTAAAGGCAAATTCCTAACTCCCCTCCAGGAAAGATCTTTGACCTTCCAGTGTAGGAAGCCTCTCATTTTTCCAGTTATCTCTAATACAGTGTATTCCAAATCTAAGTTACCTGTTAATACTTCTGCACATTCCAGAAATTCTGAAATTTTCTGAAAAACAAAACTTGTAAATCTATTCCAGGAATAGGACATAAATATACATAAATGTGCAAATATACAGGAAGTGTTTCTCTGAATATACATTTAGCCACACTATTAAATAACTGTTTCCAGTGGTTCTTCAGGAAATATGAATGAAATAAGATGCTAATTTGAATTTTCTAATTCTAAAATGGATCACTGAACGTATGCATTTCTTCATTTTCTAATTTCCCAAAAGATGTACCACTAGGGTGAAATTCCTTGGGAGACATTAAATTTTAAAAAGTTAACAACATGGTTTTATGATCAGCCTAATATAATTTTCACCTATTAGGTGTTGGAATTCTAACACCTAATACCAGCGACAGCTGCTCTTCTCTCAGGATTAAACAGCATAATGCAAATCAAAGAGTTGGAAGAATTGGTAAATTTTAAACTTCACAGCTTGTCACACAAAGTCATTCGGTGTGAGTTTGCAAAAATAAATGTATATAAACAAGGGATGATTTTTGTATTAGCGAGGGTTATAGACATTAATTCTTAATAATAAAAGAAATGTCAGCTGTAAGGAAATATGTTCTTTTGATGGATTATGTTTAAAACTTCCACTTTTTTTGGTACACTTTCTATCAGCTTTATGTCCACACAACACATATTATTGAATATATAAAAATCATTTTAAGTTAGAGTCATTCTTTAACATTGTATTTCAGCATGTTGCTTAAATTCTTTTCTCTTCCCTGTAATGAAACGGTATGCCACTCTCTCTCCTCCTAGTGTTTATGTAACATAACATAGCCTCACTTTAGATGGACTGCCCTGAGGGGACAGTGAAATCGTAAGGCCCATCAGAACCTTACAGAAACTCACATTGCTAGAAGAGTGCTTACTACCATTTCAATGATTTTTGTTTTACTATAGAATTCTGTATTTGTGCTGAGAAATAATAGGCTATCCGTTGAATTCCCATTTGTTTCATTAGCATTTTCTCTTCATTGAATGAAATTAAGCAATGTCGTGATCGTTGTGGAAGACAGTAGAGGGCACCCTAGTTCCACACAACCTCAGCCTTGGCCCGGGCTTCATAAGAATTTCATTTCCAGTGTCAGAGCCTAAAATAGCTGAAGGTGGGGAAGCTGGGCCATGAGTAGAACACGTGTTCACAGAGCACCCACCCTGTACCCCGGTCAGGGGCAGGAACTGAGACAGTGGCTGTGTTTGCGTGGTTGGGTGTGGTAAATGTGGCTGAGACATGAACACAGTGCCATGGTATAAGTGAGATCATGTGCTATTTGTCTTTCTGTGCTTGGCTTATTTCACCAAGCATGTTCTCCAGGTTCATCCATGTGGTCAAAAATGGCAGGATTTCCTTCTTTGTTAGGGCTAAATAATATACTGTCGTATATGTATGTTATACATATACGTGTGTGTGTGTGTGTGTGTGCGTGTGTGTGTGTACGTATCTCACAGTTTCTTTATTCATTTATCCATTGGCAGATGCTTAGGTTGTTCCATTATTTGGCTATTGTAAAAAATGCCAAAATGAACATGACAGTTCAGATCTCTCTTTCAGATACTGATTTTATTTCCTTTGACTATATCCCCAGAAAGGGGGTTACTGGGTATATAGTGGTTGCCACGGGCTGGGAGAAGGAGAGACGGGGAGATGTGGGTCAAAGGGTACAAAATTTCAGTTATGCAAGATGAATAAGTTCTGGGGATCTACTATACAACATTGTGACTACAGCTAACAACACTGCGATATATACTTCACACTTGCTAAGAGGGTAGATCTTATGGGTTCTCATCACACACACAAAAGAGGGCAGCTCTGCGAGGTGATGGAAATGTGAGTGCATGTGATTGTGGTGGTGAAGTATACATGTATCAGTCATCAAGCTGAACACCTCAGAAACCAGATTTTACATCAATGAATGGATGAATGAACAGATCTACATTTCTGGATTTAAAAAAATAAAAAGAGAAGACACCCCACAGCTTTAAAAACATGGGGCATCCGTTCCCACCCTCCTGCATCACCTCCATTCTACTGACACCTGACATGGGTCCTTAGAAGAACATGGTCTATTCTTTTTCACACTTTGCCTCCTTTATGTAACTAGGAAAATAGAGGCATATGGGGCTTTTAAAATGATACTAAATTTTTTTCTAATTTCATTGTATCTATTTTATCTTCTTTAGTGTTTTATTTATCATATCTCTATTTTGCCATATTTCATTTTATTTTGTGATGGCTCTAGGGTTTACAGCAGGCATCTTTAACTCATCATAACCTATCTTTTTTCTCTTTTCTTTTCTTTTTTTTTTTTTTTTTTTTTGCGACAGAGTCTTGCTCTCTTGCCCAGATTGGAATGTAGTGGTAAAATCTCAGCTCACTGCAACCTCGAACTCCTGTTCTCAAGTGATCCTCCCATCTTAACCTCTCAACTAGTTGGAACTATGGGCATGCACCATCACACCCAGCTAATTTTTGAATTTTTAGTAGAGACCAAGTCTCACTATGTTGCCCAGGCTTGTCTTGAACTCCTGGGTTCAAGGGATCCTCCCACCTCGGCCTCCCAAAGTGTTGGGATTACAGGCGCGAGCCACCATGCCCGGCCTACAGTCTAACTTTAATTAACATAATACCATTTCATGTACAGTGTAGTGCATGCAACTTACAATAATATACTTCTTTTTTTCTTCCTGTCCTATTCACTCCTGTTATCACACATATGACTTCTGCATTCAGTGACTTATATTTTACTTTAACAATCAATTTCTTTTTTTTTTGGTTTTTAGTTTGTGAATGTAGAATATGAAGGTGCCAACTCTTGTTGACATGTCCTTTCTTTTTAAAAAAACATTCAGTAGATTTAAGGACACAAGTTGTTTTTGGTTACATAGATGAATTGGACAGTGGTGAAGTCGAGGCTTCTAGTGCATCTATCACCCAAATAGTGTACATTGTGCCCAGTAGGTAACTTTTCATCCAGTAGGTAATCTTTCACCTCCCTCCCATCCTTCTCCCTTCTAAGTCTCCAGCATTCATTACTCTGGATGTCCCTGCATACCCACAGCTTCGCTCCCACTTATCAGTGAGAACATGCAGTATTTGGTTATCTGTTTCTGAGTTACTTACTTAGGATAATGGCCCCCCAGTTCCATCCAAGCTGCTGCAAGTGATGTTATTTTATCCTTTTTTATGGATAAGCAGTATTCCATGGTATATATATGCACCAAATTTTCTTTATCCACTCAGTTGATGGGCACTTAAGTTGATTCCATATGTTTGCAATTGTGAATTGTGCTGTGATAAACATATATATACAGGTCTTTTTGATTTAGTGACTTCTTTTCCTTTAGATAGATACACAGTATGGAGTTGCTGGATCGAATGGTAGATCTACTTTTAGTTCTTGGAGAAACCTTTGTCCTGTTTTCTGTAGAGCTTGTACTAATTCACATTCCTACCAACAGTGTATAAGGACTCCCTTTTCATCACATTCTTGCCAACATCTGTTGTTTGCTGACTTTTTAATAAGGGCTATTCCTGCAGGAGTAAAGTGGTATCTTATTGCGCCTTTAATTTTCATTTCCTTGATGATTAATCATGTCAAGCATTTTTTCATATGTTCATTGTCCATTTGTACATCTTCTTTTAAAACATGTCTCTTGATGTCATTTGCCCTCATATGAATGGGATAATTTGTTTTTCTTGCTGTTTTGATTGAGTTCCTTGTAGAACAATCAATTATTTTTAAAATAGGTTTTCAAATGAGAAAAAAATTTTATTGGATATGACTTTAATTCTGCTCATAGAAAACCCTTCGTTACTTCCTGCAGCACAGGTGTTCTATGATGAGTTCTACAAACTTATTTCTCTGAAAACGTTTTTCTTTCATTTTTCACTTTTTAAAGATACTTTTTCTCAGTATAGAATTCCAAAATTCTGAAAATTTTTGAATGTATCTGTATGTATCTGTATATACAGATATTTTTATATGTACAGATGTTCACCAACTTACAATGGCTCAACTTATGATTTTTTACTTTACGATGGAGCAAAAAGTGATGTTTCGGGAGAAACTATACCTTAAGTACCCATCAACCATTCTGTCTTTGACTTTCAGTAAGTAGTCAATAAATTGCATGAGATATTCAACACTTTATTATAAAATAGGTGTTGCTTTAGATTATTTTGCCCAATTATAAGCTAACGTAAATGTTCTGAACACGTTTATGGTGGGCTAGGCTAAGCTATGATGTTTCGTAGGTTAGGTATATTAAATGCATTTTCGACTTATGATAGTTTCAGCTTGCAATGGATTTATCAGGATGTGAGCCCATTGGTCAAGAAACAAATACAGTCATACAATGTAAAATGACATTTCAGTCAACGATAGAATGAATATACAATGGTGATCCTATAACATTATAATGGAGCTGAAAAATTCCTATTAGCTAGTGACATCATAGCCATTGTAATGTCATAGCACAACTACTTAGTTTTTTTTAAATTTAGTGTAGCCTAAGTGTATAGTCAGTGTTTAAAAAGTCTACAGTAATGTCCTGGGTCTTCACATTCACTCACCACTCACTCACTGAATCACCCAGAGCAATTTCCAGTCCTGCAAGCTCCACTCACGGCAAGTGCCTTAAACAGGTGTTTCATTTTTTATCTTTAATGCCAATAGGCTATGCCATACAGCCCAGGTGTGTAGTAGGCTATACTATCTAGGTTTGTGTAAATACACTCTGTGATAGTCACACAATGACACCAATCAACTAATGATATATTTCTCAGAACGTATTTCTATTATTAAGTGACCCATGACTGTACGCTAAAGCCCTGTTCCACTGTCTTCGGGCTTGCATTTTTTCTAACATGAAGCCTGCTGTCATTCTCCTCTTTATTTCTCTATACGCAATATGTCTTTTTCTTGTGTCTGATTTCAAGATGTTCATCATTTTTTTTTTTAGTATTTCAATTAGAATTTGTGACTTGGTGTATTTTTCTTTCCTTTATTCTTTCTTTTTTCTATTCTGTTTTGGAATTCTTTGAGCCTTGGATATGTTAGCCTATAGTTTTCATCAAATTTGGAAAATTTTTATACTTTTTTTTTTTTTTTACATCTTTCTTTCTGCCTCTTCCATTTCTGCTTTCTATTGTCCCCATAGGTCACTGAGGTTTGGTCAGTTTTTTTTTCCTCTGTACTTCACTTTAGATACTTTTTATTTCTCTTTCTTCAAGTTCATTGATCTTTTCTTTTGCAGTGTCTGGACTGCTATTGAGCCTATTCAATGTGCTTTTCACTTCAGGCATTGCATTTTTCATCTGTGGAAGTTTTGTTTTTTTCCTTAATATATTTCATGTCTCTCCTTGTTATTTTCATATTTAAATCTAAGAGCATATTTATCACAGCTATTTTAAAGCCATTGCCTGCTAACTTTGTCATCTTTTGGTTCTATTTATGTTGACTGCTTGACTGATTTTTCTTCTGATTATGAACCACATTTTTCTGCTTCTTGTCACTTCTGCTAATTTTTCGTATTGGAGGTTACACATTGTTCATATCCTGTTGTTGAGTGTCTAGGTTTGGTTGTCTTCCTTTCAAGAAAGTTGTACCTCATGCTGGCAGGAATTTAAATTACTTGAAGTTCAGGTGGATCTTTTAGAAGCTTGTTTTCAAGCTTTGTTACAGCAGGTTTATAATAGCTTTATTCTAGAACCAGTTTAGCCCACTCTAATATGTGTCTCCTGTGGTGACTCCATTGAATGTCCCAGGCATTCAACAAGGACCTTCCACTTGATTCTCTCTCTCTCTCTTTTTTTTTTTTTTTTTTTTTTTTTTTGAGATGGAGTCTCGCTCTGTCACCCAGGCTGGAGTGCAGTGGCATGATCTCTGCTCACAGCAACTTCTGCCTCCTGGGTTCAAGTGATTCTCCTGCCTGAGCTTCCTGAGTAGCTGGGATTGCAGGCGTGCGCCACCATGTCTGTCTAAGTTTTGTATTTTTAGTAGAGACGGGGTTTCACCATATTGGTCAGGATGGTCTCGAACACCTGACCTCGTGATCCACCCACCTCAGCCTCATTTTTTTTTTTTTATTTTTTTTGAGAGACACAGCCTCATTCTGCCTCCCAGGCTGGAGTGCAGTGGCACCATCATAGCTCACTGCAACCTTGAACTCCTGGTCTGCAGCGATCCTCCCACCTCAGTCTCTGGAGTAGCTGGGACTACAGGAACATGCCACTGCCCCCAGCCCAATGTGATATAAATATGTATTGTGAAATAATTACCACAATCAATCTAACCTGTCCATCACCTCACATAGTTACAGGGTGTGTGCATGTGTGTGTGTTTAAAACATTTAAGATTTAAGAAACCGGCAGTTTCTCAAATATCAGTTGCAATGTGGAATCTATGTACAAAGACTATTTTATTTCTTCTTCACAATCTGCATACCTTTTATTTCCCTGTTTTGCCATTTTGCACTTGCTAGGACTTTCAGTAGGAAATTAAATGGAAGTGGTAAAAGAGGACATCCTTGCCTTGTTCCCAATTTTAACTTCCGCATTTTTAAAATAAGTTAAGAACAGGAGTCAGTAAACCATGGCCCGTTGGTGAAATCCAGCCATTGCTTAGTTTTATAAACAAGGTTTTATTGGAAGACAGCTGTTCATTTGTACATTGTCCATGGATGCTTTCTTGCTGCAATGACAAAGGTGCATAATTGTGACAGAAATCAACTGGTCTGCAAAACCCAAAATACTTATTCCCTGGTTCTTTACAGAAAAAAAAATTCTGACCCCTGGTTTACACTATTTGCAGTGATAATGATCAAGTATACATTTGCATTCATTTTTATACTTTCTCCCATCTTATTTCATGTTTTTATTTGCTCTGTCGTTTTTATTCTTCCCTTCTTATCTTTTTCCCGATTCCATTTATTTTTCCTCTAACAAATTGAAGAATTTTTTCTCTACTAAGTGTTTTTCCATTTAAATTTTCAGAGTCTGGCTGGGTGCGGTGGCTCACGCCTGTAATCTCAGCACTTTGGGAGGCTGAGGCAGGCGGATCACCTGGGGTCAGGAGTTCGAGATCAGCCTGGCCAACAAGATGAAACCCCCTCTCTACTAAAAATACAAATATATATATATATCTGGGTGTGGTGGCAGGTGCCTGTAGTTCCAGCTACTCTGGAGGCTGAGGTACAAGAATCCCTTGAACCCAGGAGGCGGAGGTTGCAGTGAGCCGAGCCGAGATCATGCCACTGTGCTCCAGCCTGGGTGACAGAGCAAGGCTCCATTTCAAAAAATAAAAATAAAAAAATAAATTTTAAGAGTCAAAAATTCATCAAGAGTCCACCCTCTGTCTGATTAACTTAAGTGCTTTTAAAATCTGAGCACCTATCATCCTTGACTGGACACACTGTCATTTCCAGTCACTATTTTAAATCCCTCATTTTTATAACACCATGGATTAGACACTATTATTACTGTGATTTCTACACAGTATTTTTTAAAGTTTTACCTTTTCTTTCACTATTTTTACTATCGAAAATCTTTTTCCTGGAGTCTTTTTTCTTCCTCTTCTCTGCTGAAGTTCATTGTTTAGATTTCCTTAGTATATGTCTGCTGGATTACATGCTTGTGTGTGTGTGTGTGTGTGTGTGTGTGTGTGTGTGTGTGTGTTTGGGATTTTTTTCAATCTGAAAATATCTTGGTAAGACCCTCCCCTTCTCTCTTTCTTTGTCTCTCTTTTAGTGTTTTTTGAGTATACTCAGTGTGTCTCAGTGTACATTTTTAGATGCTTTTCTATGTGGAATGTATTGTATGCTTTTCTATTCTATGATTTTGTGGTTTCTAATACAGTTTTAAAAATCTGGACTGCTCCCTTGTTCTACTTATTTTCTCATTCCAGCATATTAATGAGCTATCATTAGGACTTCTCACTCTGTCATCCACATTTCTTAATTTCACATATTTCCAACTTGCTTTTCCTTGCTACATTTATTTTTACTTGCCAGTTTGTGAATTTTCCTTCATGCTGTCTCATTTATTTAAGCTATGGATAAGAATCTAGTCTTAATAACAACATTTATTTTCCAAAAGTTGTATTTGGTTTGTCAGATGTGCCTTCTCATTTTGACAGTTTCCTGTTCCTTGCTGACTTTTCTTATTTATTTATTTATTTAGAGATGGTGTCTCACTCTGTCACCCAGGCTGGAGTGCGGTGGCATGCTCTCAGCTCACTGCAACCTCTGCCTCCCAGGTTCAAGGGATTCTCATGCTTCAGCCTCCTGAGTAGCTGGGATTATAGGCATGAACCACCTCACCCTGATAGGATTTTTTATATTTTTAGTAGAGACAAGGTTTCACCATATTGCCCAGGCTGGTCTCGAACTCCTGACCTTAAGTGATCTGCCCACCCAGTCTCCCAAAGTGCTGGGATTACAGACATGAGCCACCACACTGGCCTCTAACATTTATATATATTCTAAATACAATAATTATGTGCATATAGACATAAATCATATATATAATTTTGTATTTAAAATACATAGTAATGTCAGCATGGCTATTTTATCTAGATGTCTGAATATTCCGGTACCTGAAGTTTTTGTGGGTCTAATTTGTTTCTCCCATTGACTGCCTCTGTGATGATGCCTCGTTTACTTGGTGTTGGGTAATTGTGTACTTATGTATGTAAATTCTGCAAGTTGCAATTGGGAATACTTTTCTTCCATGAGGATTTCTATTTTTTCTGCTTGTGTTGGGTTTACCGACCTGGATTTACTTTAATCTAATTTTTTGTCATCGTTTTTGATTTTTCTCTGACCAAGAGGTTGGTGTAGAGTTGATTTCCAAACTCCAAGGCAGTTCTACAGCCTCACATATTCATAATAGACTCTCCTCCTCCTCCTGTTCCTCTTCTCCTCCTTCTCCTTTCCTTTTTCTTCTTTTCTTCAGAAGCCACAGCAGAAACAAGTTTCCTAAAAAACTCTCTTTTCTGGAAAGCAGCTTTTTAGCTGGCCCTCCCCTTCACTGCGATTGTAAGAATTTACGTGTCCTAATTGAATGTAGAAATATCCAGTTGGGCCCCCACTTTCCTTGGGTCCAATGCATAGTCTTCCATGTCTCCGAGGTAACTACTCAGCAGATCCAGCTCGTTGTTTCCTTCAACATTCACCCTTGGGAATTTCACTTACTTTCTATGAAGCACATCACTACATGGTATAGGTCTGTCATAATTTATCCTTGATTTACTTTCATTGTGTAGGTAGCCATTTAGAGAATCCCATTATATTTCCAGAAATAGAAGTTTCTATTCTAGTTTTATACCTATTCTAATGCAGGTTACATTTAGAAATGTTTTAATTTTTTCTTTATGTGATTGTGAGATCAAGAAAGAAAATGAATTGACCTTTAATAGATGCATCCATATTCTGATAATAAATGAGGAGTGTGCACCACATCCTCTGTGTTTTATGAGCTCCAGCTGGCCAATTCTGTGTAAAGCTGGTGAGCATTTATGTTTTAGCTATGAAAAAACACAATGGGGAGCTTACCCAGCTCCATAGAAAGCTCAGTAGAAGCAGGGTCATGATCACCCTCCAAAAGCAAGTCTTACGGCCCATTACATCAAGCAGGTAATTCCTACAAATCATAAGAATTGTGGACTAGAGTTACCGCTCAGATCACAACTAATTGTTTTGGGAAAAGTGAGACTCATGTGAGACTGAAGTCACAAGTTTATCAACATTTGTCTGGAAATTTGTAAAAGTAATTATTTATCTTAGACTTTGATATGTCAGGATACATGAAATTCTAAAGTAACCATGCAAAGGTGCTAAAGATGACTTCCATATGTGCTGTTGAAGGAAATACACATTAAAAGCAAGGATTTAGAAAGTTTGAAAGTAGAGGATGAGAAAAGATAGACCATTTGGCCACTAACCAAAATAAAGCCAATATAGTCATATTAATATCAGATAAACCAGACTTTAAAGCAAAAAGGTTTGCTAGAGATAAAGAGATGTATCTCATAATTTACTAAGAAGATATAGTAATTTCATATTTCAAATAATTAATAATTCCAAATTTCTGAATAATTCCAAAGTTGTAGTATCTTTTAAATAATTAGACTCAAGTGTATAAAAATTGTCAGAATTATCAGAACTTAAGAGAGAAACAGAAAAATCTCCAATCATCATGGAAGGGCTTTACTCACTTCTCTCAGCAGTGATTTTTAAAAAGCAACTGAAAAGAACGGGTACATATACAGAAGACTTAAAGAATCCCCTGTTTTTAACACTGTTTAAAGTTACACGGCCACACACTGAAAACACTGTCCCCTACAAGGCAGAATATATGTCGATTGGGTAACAAAGAAATAAAGAGTATGATCTCAGAGTATAGTGAATTAAGCTGAAAATCAAAAACAAAAAACATACAAGCAAAAACCTCACAGAATAAGAAAAAAGAAACCTGTAAAATCTCAAAATATTTGAAAGTTAGAAAGCATACTTCTAAATAACTCTTGAGTCAAAGAAGAATGCACAAAAGAAATTTTAAAATATTTTAAACTGAATGATAAAAAATATGCCACATCAATACTTCAGGAGACAGCCAAAGTTATGATCTGATGGGAACTGAAAATTACATACACACGGAAAAAGCCTAATTATAAAAAAATTTACAAAAAGGAAAACATATTAAATACAAAGAAAGTAAAAAGAAATACATACAAAACTAAGAGGCCAGGCACAGTGGCTCACAGCTGTAATCCCAGCACTTTGGGAGGCTGAGGTGGGAGGATCACTTGAGGCCAGGAGTTCAAGACGAGCATGGACAACATAGTGAGACCCTGTCAGTAAAAAAAATAGAAAAATTGTCTGGGCACAGTATTATGCACCTGTAGTCCTTGCTACTCAGGAGACTGAGGCAGGAGGATTTCTTGAGCCCAGGAGCTCAAGGTTGTACTGAGCTATGATCATACTACTGCACTCCAGCCTAGGAGACAAGAGTGAGAACTTGGCTCTTAAAAATAAAAATAAGAGCAGAAATAAATTTAAAATAACAGCTGTCTCTATTCGTGTTGCTATAAAGGAATACTTGAAGTTGGATAATTTATAAAGAGAAGAGGTTTATTTGGCTCACGGTTCTGGAGGCTGTACAAGAAGCAGAGTGCCAGCATCTGCATTTGGGGAGGGTTCAGGCTGCTTCCACTCAAGGTGGGAGGGGAGGGGGAGCCCGTGTGTGATGAGATCACATGGTGAGAAAGAAAGCAAGAGAGAAGAGAGGGAGGCGCCAGGCTCTTTTTAAAAAGCTTTCCTGGGAACAAACAGAGGGAGAACTGCCTCTCTCCCTCCCTCCTAGGGTGGGCATTAATCTTTTCACGAGAAATATGCCCCCATAACCCAAACACTGCCCTTTAGGCTCCACCTTGAAAACTGGGGATCAGATTTCAACAGAGGTTTGGAAGGTCAAATATTCAAATTATAGCAACATCCAATAGAAAAGGCCAAAAGTTGGTATGAAAAGATAAATAAAAATGATTCACTCCTGACCAGATTGATCAGGAACAAAGGAGGGAAGGTAGGGAAGGTATACATAATTGCTATTATGAATTTTAAAAGGGTAATCACTACAGATCCTATAAATATTAAAATATACTTTTAAAAATTATAAAAAATTAATGCCAAAATTTGACAGTTTGGGTGAAATGAAGAAGTTCCTAGAAAAACACACTTCTCA
This sequence comes from Homo sapiens, assembly GCF_000001405.40. Lineage (NCBI taxonomy): Eukaryota > Metazoa > Chordata > Mammalia > Primates > Hominidae > Homo > Homo sapiens. The sequence continues at coordinate 26,854,198 of NC_000015.10, read as the reverse complement.
CAACTGATGCATTAAAAATACAAATATGAATACCATTACTACTAACAAAATTGGATCCATAATTAAAATTAATGGAGAAAACTCTAGGCCTGGATTCCATAAAACATTTTAGAAAGACATAAAACAAATACTTTACATATTCTTCAAAGAATAAAGAAATATTTTCCAACATTTTTCTAAAGCCAAACTGCAATACCAAAATCTAAATGGAAATTGCAAAAAAGAAAATGTTCTGGACAATCTCTTTGATAAAAAGAGGTATAAATAAATATATATCAGATAATATCCAGCAATTTATAAGAATGCTAAATATCATGACCAACTTGGACTCATTTCTGGAATCTGAAGTTAGTTTAACATTTGCACAATTCTTACAGCTCACAAGTAACAACAACCAAAAAACTTTATTCCCATTTAGTAAATATAGAAAAAATTAAATTATCTTTCATAATTAAAAACAACATGAAGTATCTAAAGGAATATATTTAATCTGATGAAAGATCTATTATCAACACATCAGTTAAAATAAACAGAAACTTAAGAAAGAGCATCAGAAGGCTGGGCGCAATGGCTCACACCAGTAATCCCAGCACTTTGGGAGGCCGAGATGGGCAGATAACCTGAGATCAGGAGTTCAAGACCAGCCTGGCCAACATGGTGAAACCCCATCTCTACTAAAAATATTAGCCGGGCATGGTGGCGGGCACCTGTAATCCGAGCTACCCGGGAGGCAGAGACATGAGAATCACTTCAGCCCAGGAGGCAGAGGTTGCAGTGAGCCAAGATCTCACTACTGCACTCCAGCCTGGGCAACAGAGACTCCATCTCAAAAAAAAAAAAAAAAAAGTAAAAGAAAAGAAAAGAAAATGAGAAATAAAACTTTCATTATAACTGGATTATATTGTTATGTCCACAGAAAAACCAACCATCAAGAGATAAATTATTAATATTAATACATGTGTTTAGTTGATTGCTGAATACAAGGTTCAGGTATAAAACCAATTTTCACTTACACATATTGGCAACATGCAAGTGACGAACAGTAACAGCCCTCCTGGCCTTGGCTGGTATTACATAAGGCCGCACTCAGCAATTGCAGAATATTCTTTTTTGTATTCTTCAAGTATGCATGATACCTTCACCAAAATAGAGCATATGCTGCAGCAATAAGCAAGTCTCAATAATTTTAAAGAATCATATGGAGTATGTTCTCTGACCACATGTAATTAAGTTAGAAATTAATAATTAAAAGCTTTCTGAAAATGTCCCCTAAGTATTTGGAAATTAATAACACATTTCTATATAACCTACAGATCATAAAAAAACAAGAAAAATTAGAAAATATTTTAAATGTAATAATGAAAATGCAATATATGAAAATTTATGCGGTGAAGATAAAGCAGTGTATAGGGGAAAACTTATAACTTTAAATGGTTCTATTAGATAAGAAACAGAATCTAAATTCAGTTGCCCAAGATTTAACCTTAAGAAGATAATTTTTTTTTAAAAAAAGAGCAGTATCTGCCAAACAAGTAACAAGACAATACTAAATATAAGGCAGGAAATACATGAAATGGAAGAAAAAACAGAAAAATTAAGCCAAAAGTTCTTTCTGAAGAAAAGATTAATGTAAATCACTAAGCTCATAGAGAAGCAGGAGAGCAAGAGCACAAAGTGCCATTTCTCAACAGATGTTCGCTTGATGATAAATTGTTGTCCTAAATATTTTGTTGTGTGCACTTTGTATGTGATTTTGTTTTGCAATACAAATAGTTTCAAAAATAAAAAAAGAAATAATCATGCATATGCCTACTGCTATTTCTATGAGGATAACCATGGTAATTTGGTACTAGGGTCAAACACGTGCTGTCTTGCACACATGGCCCGGCCACAACTGCTATCAGCTCACGGCCAGTCCTGTGACATCTCTACCCTCACTCGCTCATACCCTCAGAATTACTTTTAAGCAAACTTAAGATATCATATCTTTTTATCCATAAATAATTCATTTTGTTTTCAATACACATATTCTTAAATTTAAAAAAAGCAAATTGCATAACAATGCTTATACTATGAAGCTATTTTTAAAGGTTTAGGTGTTTATAGCCTAATTTGGGTGCATGTACAGAAAGCCTTGGAAACTTGCACATCAAGTCAGCATATAAATGTGTTTTGCTTCTCTACAAGGAATTGGAAGATTATTTTCTTTCAGGATATAGTGTTTCACACCCTGTTTGCTTCCCCTAGACACAAATGTTGGACCTTATGATACCCATTTCAGCCTGTATTTAAAAATAGGACTTCAAATACATCTAGAGTTGACCACATACTTGCCAAGAAGGAGGGGAAATATCCATGTCTGGTAGCTTAAACACACACACACACACACACACACACTAGGAATAGTTTATTGTAGATAAATAAAATAGGTAAGAGGGTAAAAGTGCTGGGAAAGGCAGAGACAACAGGTCCAATGTAAAAGTTTAGCATACCTTCACCACACACCATCGGTAAGGCTCTGAACAAGTAACAGAGGAGAGTGTGGGAATATCAGCACGTGGTCCATTCTTGCAGCATCTATAGTGAGAATGATCATCATTCTCAACAACCAGACAGTTGACCTCTCATAAAATGTCAACATCACTTAGAAGGGACATCCACATTTTATGAAGGACCCCAGAAGAGTCCTGCAGAGGAACCTCAATCACATCAATGTGAAACTCAGCTTCCTTGGAAAGAAAAACAAGCAGCCCTGGGTTGATGAATGGTAGGAAAAAGAAAGAAATCAGCTATTTTTGCACTCTATATTGTCATTGACCAAACATGATCAAGGATCTCCACTACAAAATGAAGTTGCCTGCATTCACCTTCCCAACAAAGTTATCATTCAGGAGACCAGGTGTCCTGCTGACATTCACAACTTTTTGGATAAAAAATATATCTGCAGAGTTTGGATGAGGTCGGGTGTTGCTTGATATTTTAAGCCCAGGAAAACAAGTTAATTCCTAAGTGAAATGGCATGGAACTTGTATCAAGTTCAGCTGCATTGATTCAGCAAGCCATGACAGGTTAAAAAAATCAAAAGAAGAGGCTGGGTGCGGTGGCTCATGCCTGTAATCTCAGCACTTTGGGAGGCCAAGGTGGGTGGATCACCTGAGGTCAGGAGTTCAAGACGACCAGCCTGGCCAACATGGCGAAACCTCGTCTCAACTAAAAAAAAAAAAAAAAAAAAAAAAAAATTAAAAAAATTTAAAAATTAGATGAGCATGTTGGCAGGCACCTGTAATTCCAGTTACCTGGGAGGCTGAGGCAGGAGAATCGTTTGAACCTGGGAGGTGGAGGTTGTAGTGAGCCATGACCGAACCACGGCACTCCAGCCTGAGCAACAGAGTGAGACTCTGTCTCAAATAAAATAAAATAAAATAAAATAAAAAGAATACCAGAAGATTTGGAATGGTATCTATTTCTGTGAGAAAGAAAGCTGACGAATAAGATACAGAAGTTCTTCATTGAAACAAGATGCTGAATGATACCTAAGACCAATTTGTCATATATTTTTAAGAACAATAAAACTATTTTACTGATCAATGGAAGACCCAATACATATTTGTACAGAACCAACAGTATGTTGAGTTGGGAGAGGTAAAAATAGACCACAGTACACTGATCTGAATTGAGAATGTGATACAAAAGAGGTGGCAAGCACCCGGGAAACGCAGTCTCACACTAAACTTCCATTTGAGTTAAATCGTTCACATTCACAGGCTATAGCAGTACTTGCTAAATGTGGTTAAAATCCCCACTTTGACAAAATAGCAGAGACATCTCCAGATTGGCATATGCCTGCAGAACAGTTTGCCTTCCTCAAGGAAAGGTGCTGCCTACTATGATGTTGTTAGCTTTGTTAGCTTTTGGTTTTGTTTTGATTGGATGTTTTCCAGCCTTCAGAATTTTGAATTACTGTCATCTTTTGAAATAATGCCATACTAATTCAAATGCCAGCATAAATTAAAATACTTCTTAAGTGCTTAGAAGAAATTAACATCAACGAGCCACATAGTTTTAAAAGAAACATAATGATTTCTCCTAACGTAAGCAAAGAAGCCTTCCAATACACACTCAACAGATGAAGCTGCTGCTGAGTGACTGGAAACTGAGATTCCTGGGACTCTGTTCTACCAAAAACAGTATTGGCAGTCAGGAGAAACAGTTCTGAATACAGATTTTGGGGTCCGACGGATCTGGGTCCAAGTACTGACATTGGACCCAAATTACTATTTGGGTGACCTTCGTGCAAGGGATTTGGGCCCTTTGGTCTTCCATCTCTAAATAGGATGATGACCTTTGCCTCCTAGGAGGGAGATGAGGAGAAATTGAGATAATGTATGTGAAGGTGGTGTGCCCACCTAGCCCAAGTGCCCAGTAACTATCAGCTCTCAGACCACTCTTTTGCTCGCTTGACACTCCGTGTTCATCCAAGTAAGGGGGCTACACTTTAACACAGAAGGTAAAGTTCGGGCATAAAATGAAAACAAACAACACTCTTCTTCCCCGAAAAGTATGAATTATTGTTATAAAGTATCATTTTTAATGTCCCCTTAAAACATTCTCCCATGTCCCATGTGTCCACATCCACAGAAGTTTTATCCAGTTCTTCATCACATCTCTAAGGCATCTCCAATTAGTGGAAATCCTAGAAAGATCATCACTTGGACCCAGGTGTATTCACTTGCTAGCCCTGCCCTGTTGTTCAAGTCATTTCAACTCCCTGAGTCCCAGCCTTGCTCTTTGTAAAATGGACAACAATGTTTACTTTATGGAGCTTATGTTCCAGTGGAGAGATGTCAAACACAAAAGAAGGCAGGTATGGTATGTCAGCTAGTGATAAAAGATAAGGAGAAAAATAAAATGAAAGTAGACAGGAAGTGTTGGAGGAGGAACAGTTTGAGATTTTACCTATGGTGTCCAGAGAAAAATCACATATGACTTGAAGAAAGTGAAGCAGTGAGTCCTTCAGAAATCCAGGACAAGAACAACAAGGAGAAAAGTACTGGAAGTTCAGGAGATGTCAGCAGGAGGGCACCAGGTATACTCAAAGTTTGGAGCTGAGGCCAGTGTAGTGGGAGGGTTAGGTGACTGAAGCTTGAGGCAGTCAGGGCAGAGAAGTCTTAGGGCCAGCCATATGACCCTATAGGTAACAGCAAGACTTTTAGCTATTTACTCTGAGAAGTGAAACCACCAGAAGATTTGGGCAGAGCAATGACTTGGTCTGATGTTCTTTTAGCAAGATCTGTGTTGGGAAGTGTTAAAAGAAAAACTTTAGACAAATTAAATTAAACAGAATTTAATTGAGCAAAGAATGATTTGAGTCATGAATTGGGCAGCACCCTGAACAGGCAGAGTTTCAGAGAGCTCCACCCAGCAACATGGGCAGGCAGTATTTATACATTAAAAAGGGAAGTGCCATACAGAAACAGCTTGATTAGTCATGGCTGGGCATTTGCCTTACTGGGGCATTGCGTGGTGATGAGGCATTTGCCTTATACAGGCATGGTCTGATGAGTTGGCAGCCTGTGATTGGCTGAAGCTCAGTGGCTGTGACTGGCTGACACTAAGATATTTGTTACAAGAATAATACCCTTAAGTTAGGTTGCAGTTGTTTTTTGTATACTAATGTGGGTTACAGTCCTCTATGCAGGAACTTGAAACACGAAGGCAGTTTCAGGCCACATTTAATTTAATTTAACAGAAGGAGATGCCTGGGAGCCAGGGCAGAAGGGTGGAGTCCAGTTGCAATAATTGAGGTAAGAGATGATGATAGTTTTGGCCAAAGTAGTAGCAGCAGAGGTGTTAAGAGACTGTTGAAGACAGAGCCACAGACTATGCTGCCATTCAGACGTGAGGTTGTATGGGAAACAGAGAAATTAAGTTCTGAACAACTGGAAAGATTGCCAGTTACTTAAAACATGGAAGACTGCGAGAAGATCAAATTTGAAAGGGAGAAAGAAATATCACCTTAGTCTTATGCATTTTAAGTTTGAAATGCTTATTAAACATGAATCTTGAGTTCTTGGGAAATGTCTGAGATGAAGATGCACATATAGGGTCCTTCTACTCAAACAATTTTGTCTATAGACATAGAAATGCTGTTAAGAAAAAGATGGCATAGACTAAGGGGCAACTGAAAAAAGTTTCATGAAGGGCACCAACAATGGTCACCATTAGAACTCAGAGCATAAAAATGGTAGGAAGCTGGTGTAGACTCTGGGAGAGCGGTCTGTAGCCATGGGAGCAGGACCACCAGAAAGGGCTGTGTCACCGGTAACAGGACAATGCCATGGACAGACCACGTCCTGGCAGTATAGGAGCTGAAGCACGGGCACTCCCAGCATCCCCCTCTACCTGCTCACTGATGAACTGCTGATGCTTGCCATTGACTGAGCCAAATGAGACAGCAAGGAAGCCCACCTGTTATAGCCCACAGATTGAACATCCAAGACACAGAGACGGCAGTGAAGGGTGGACAGGGAGTATCGAGAGGCAAAATGAGAAGAGCAGACACTGTGAATCACGTAGGGAGCATGCATAGAAAGAAATGAGATGTTCCGTGGCTGAACAATGGGCCTTCCAACAATTTAAAAAAAAAAATAAAGGAGGAAAAGAAGATTCACAAGGGAGACTACCGTGATCAGCCAACTCAGGGGAGGAGCAGAAGCCAGGTAGGGTGCAGAGGTGGCTGGGCGCACTGATGCCTCCTGGACTCAGACCAGCCTATGCGCTCCTTCAAAGTTGACAGATCACTGAAGTTCACTGGGCCTCGGTCTCCTCATTTATGTAAATATTAAAAAAAAACACATTAAACTGGATTATCACTATGATTCTCTTCATTTCTTTACTATGCCATTTGTATATCTCTGTTGGACCTTGAAGAGGTGGCTCCTCCTCGCTGTAGGGCCATTCCTTATTTCCAGAATACAAGACAAAGTTAACGTGGATGCACTCAAATGTTTCTTCAGCCCACCCGTCATCCCATCAAGTGTCCTCCCATGTCTGTGATGAGCTAAAGAACTCAACAGAAAGTGACAAGAAGTGGGTTCCTGTAGGAGTTCTGGACCTGAGTGAACTTGCAAAGTTTCCAAAGCTTTCTCTGCCTCAGCTTCTTCCAGTATAAGGAAAACATCTGTTCTGGCGAGATGAAAGAAATGCACAGCAAGTTGTTTGGAAATCTGTAAATGCGATGCAAGTGAGAGCTATTATAACGCAATTAGGTCAGTGTGCCACGCTGTCCCCCAACATGTGAGTGAAAGTATTATTTAGGATATTTAGGACAGCAGCAACTATATGAAAAGCAAAATCAGCGGGGTTTTGGTTCAACTAAGTTCATCAAATTCTGGTTTAAAGAGATGCATGATTTTGAGGCTTCTCAGAGCTTTTCATATGCTAATCAGTTTTATGACCGTCTAAAAGAGAGAAAAATGCAATGATTCCCGAAGTAACTCAGCACCAAAATCCCTTTTTCAAAGAGCATTTCACAGACCATATTCGGTTATTTTTTGCTGCAAACCCAACAGAAATGCCAAGTGACTGTGATCATAATCCTATTAGCCGAAGTAACGTGTATTGACTGTCTCCTGGGCCAGCATGGCCGTTAGGTGCGGGCCTCGGAGTCAGACAGGTGTGTCCACTGTGTGCCTCAGCTTCCCCGTTTCAAACGGGTGTCTCAGCTTTCCCTTTTCTCTACATTGGAGGTAACACCAATTCCCGATGCTTAGGGTGTAGTGGGGAGTCTGCGAGCTAAAGACTGACAGCATTTGTCCCAGTACCCGCTGCTTGGGAGCACTGCACAACCATTGTTTTGTTGGTTTGTTGTTTTTGTTTTGTTTGTTTTGTCTTTTGAGATAGAGTTTCGCTGGAGTGCAGTGGCGCGATCTTGGCTCACTGCAACCTCTGCCTCCCGGGTTCAGGCGATTTTCCTGCTTCAGCCTCCCGAGTAGCTGGGATGACAGGCACGTGCCACCACACCAGACTAATTTTTGTATTTTTGGTGGAAACGGGGTTTCACCATGTTGGCCAGGCTGCTCTTGAACTCCTGGTGTCTGGTTATCCGCCCGCCTCGGCCTCCCAAAGTGCTAGGATTACAGGCATGAGACACTGCAGCAGGCCTACTACTTTCATTATTAGTCATCACAAACCCCTCCTGAGGGGGGTTCCCTAATTATTCCTTTTGATGCACAAGGAAACTAAGGCTCAGAAGTAACTGATCTGAAAGCATGCTCTCGTGCTTAGAAAGCGGGAGGGCTGAGTTCTGTATGTGCTCGGTGTGAATCCACCCCACCCAAAAAGCGACGGCAAACTCATTCCCACTAGGGATGGAGCTCTGCAGGGGGCGAGTGTGTGATTGTCTTGGGTTGGACATTGGGACTTGCAGTGCTATGCAACATTTCATGTGCACATCTGTACTGACCTCAGACAACGTTCTGCACTTCCGGGAGCTGGAATAGGTTATTTTTCAATGGAATTCAGCACTTCCCAGTAGAAAAGCTGGAATGTGTGATGTGAATACTATTAAGCAGTAGCTTGCATTTATTGATTACTTTGGGTTTCAATTTTGGCTTTTCACCCTTCTGCTTTGATTATTTTCCATTATGTTTCTCCCTGTTCGTTTTCACCCAGGTCATTCTTGCTAAGGGAATATTTATCCAGTTCATTCTTAACCAATGAACTTTAATATGCTTTAATTATGCCTGGTATTTTGCAATATGAAAGGAAAACTAAAGGAAATACTTTCTAAGGGTAGAATTTAATGTGTTTGTCATATCTAAGTTAGGGGAAAGAAGTATATTTAGATAGCAGGGTCTTTCTTCATGTCCCCAAATCATAAGGGGAGTTGGCCTTTATTTTTTTCTATCCCCAAGGCTGGCTTCACCTACACACATGGTTTGGAAACAATGGTCAACCTCTGACTCTTTGGAATTGGATGTTTAATCCATTTATTATCATTTTTTGCTAATGCAAAATTAATTAAAATTTAATAATGAATAATCTTAATTATCAATTTATAATTTTATATTTTAAATATATACTATTAATATGTAAAGCATTATAATATTAAATTATTTTAATGCCTAATTTAAGTAATACTTTTAATATTAATTTAATAACAAATTAAACATTATTTTTTTGTCAGGCATATACTTTATATCACATTTTTGTGTTTCTCCTATGTGATGGGTTTTTGTTTGCTTTTGAGATAGAATCTCACTCTGTCACCCAGGCTGGAGTACAGTGGTGCAATCTTGCCTCCAGGTTCAAGTGACTGTCCTGCTTCAGCCTCCCAAGTAGCTGGGATTACAGGGGCACACCACCACAACTGCGTAATTTTTGTATTTTTAGTAGAGATGGAGTTTCACCATGCTGGCCAGGCTGGTCTCAAACTCCTGATCTCAAGTGATCTGCCTGCCTCAGCCTCCTAAAGTGCTGAGATTACAGGCGTAAGCCACTGCACCTGGCCTTGTCATGTTTTTTCACAGTGTAACTTTACGAAGAATTTGCATTTTCCCTTTAAACCAAGACTTTTTAAATGGAGACATTATTAGGGAATAGGTAGAGAAATACAGTGTTGTTGCTATTTGTTTATTTCTTTCCTAGTTTTATTGTATGGCACATTATTTCTTTCATTGTGATTTATAGAGTTGTTTTCTTCTTTGTGGCCTAATACTGTATCAATTTTTATAAATTTTTATTTGCACTTGAAAAGAAGGTATATTCCCTTATGGCAGAGTTTTGAGGTTAATATATTTCTATTGGAGTTGCTTCGTTGAATAATTTTAGATCTTCTATATTCTAACGAATGCTTTGACTCTTTGATCTGGCCTTGTCTGAGAGAGGCATGTTAATGCCTCTTGTTAGGAGTTTCTATTTCTCCTAGGATCTCTTTCATATTCTGTGTCCAAAAGTTGTTTATTTTTTATTTGGGGTGTAGATATTTATACCTTCTATATATTCACATGGGAAGGTAGCCTTTTATAAAAATACCCATCTTTTTTCTCATTTAATACTTTTTATTACATTATATACCTTTCCTAATATAAAAATCACCATTCCTCCACTTTTAAAGTTAATAGAGAATTTTTAAAAGAAGTTCTCAGTTGATACAAAAATTGACCAGAGTGCAGAGTCCACAGTGCCCCCACACACCTCTTCTCCCTCCAAACAGTTTCCCCTGTTATTTACATCTTGCATAGTTGGGGTACATTTGTTTCAGTTGATGAACCAATACTGATAGTTTATAATTAACTAAACTCTACAGCTTATACTAGAGTTCACTCTTTGTATATTTTATGAGTTTTAACAAATGTATAATGTCATGCAGCCTCCATTACAGTATCATATGGAAGTCTCACTGCCCTAAAAAATCTCCTGTGTTCCACCTGTTCATCCTGCCTTTCCCCCAACCCCTGATACCCACTGCTCATTTTCCTGTCTCCCCTGCTTTACCTTTTCCAGAATGTCATAGAGGTGCAATCATGCAGTATATGCCCTTTGGAGCCTGGCTTCTTTCATTTATGCAATGTGTCTTCAATATTTCGATAAAATGTTTTTATTTTGTTAAAGTTTTCTAGAATTCTAATTTTAAATATTTGTTCTGTTTCATCGCTGTAGTGTACTGGTTTGGGAATTTCAGTATTACACATGTTAGATCTCCCTTGCCTGTCTTACATGTATTAATTTCTCTCTTGCCTTTTTTATATTTTTTTTATTTATTGTTGAACATTTTCACTCTTCTTTTTGTTTTTTATTTTTCTTCGTGTGTTTTTTACGATATTTATCAATCTTATAGTTTTTTTAATTTTCAACCATTCTGAAATATTAGATTAGAGGTTTTGTCTTTAATTTGGGTTTTCCCAGAAGCAGACCATGGGAAGTGGATGACAGTGAAGTGTTTTTTGGAAAGGACGATAACCAATTAAGGCTGCATTGTCAAGGAAGTTTCCTTTCTGTAGAATCGCAGCATCTTCCCCTGGGGAACTCAGAAAGCTGAGGTAAAGGTGCTCTCCTGAACAAGCCACCCAAAGGGTGCTCCAGCTAGGTACTCAGCAACCCCCACCACCGGGGGAAGGGTGCTTCAGCTAAGTGCTCAGCAGCCCCCACGACCGGGGGAGGGGCGCTCCAGCTGGGTACTCAGCAACCCCCACCACCGGGGGAAGGGTGCTTCAGCTAAGTGCTCAGCAGCCCCCACGACCGGGGGAGGGGCGCTCCAGCTGGGTACTCAGCAACCCCCACCACCGGGGGAAGGGTGCTCCAGCTAGGTGCTCAGCAGCCCCCACCACCGGGGGAAGGGTGCTCCAGCTGGGTGCTCAGCAGCCCCCACCACCGGGGGAAGGGTGCTCCAGCTGGGTACTCAGCAGCCCCCACCACCGGGGGAAGGGTGCTCCAGCTGGGTACTCAGCAGCCCCCACCACCGGGGGAAGAGTGCTCCAGCTGGGTACTCAGCAACCCCCACCACCGGGGGAAGGGTGCTCCAGCTGGGTACTCAGCAGCCCCCACCACCGGGGGAAGGGTACTCCAGCTAGGTGCTCAGCAGCCCCCACCACTGGGGGAGGGGCGCTCCAGGAGGGTTTACTTCTAAGGCGGACCCAGTGTCTCTAGGGACGCAGCCACAGAAAATGCCCCGGCAATGCCGAGCAGACGCCAGGAGTGGGCTGGCATGCCCTGAACATGAGAGAGGGGGGCTCACAGCACCAGCTGCAGTTTTCATCTTTAGGTTTCTTTTCATCACATTTTTTTCCCCGGTAGGTTTCAATATTTGTTGGAATTTAAACATTTTTCCAAGTACGTGTTTTGTAATCCTTTTTTGTTTTTTATCAGGACAACTCTGTGACAGCAGCGACTGTCCAGGGTCCCTTTCAACTCATGGCTCAAGGACACCCTTTTAAAAGGACAACTGTCTCAAACTATTAAAAATACCCTCGTGTGTCCGCTCCTGTCCCTCAGGATGCAGTCTGATTGGGGAAGCTTCCCGTTCCCACCGCAGAGCACCGCCTTCACCTTTACCGGCTCTGTAGGGCCGCCTGCAGCCCCTGCCCCTGCCCCGATCTCGGGGCCTTCTTTTTCCTAGGATCCCAGGATGCCCACTTTAGGTTTTGTTGCCATTCGTTTTTCTTTCAGGTGGATCCTTGTCCTTTGGAGAGAAAGTGTTTGTTTGCTCTTCCTGGCATGCCAAGTGATGTGGGTTTCCCGTTTAATGTTCACCTATCCGTTAAACTTACTTCTAACTGAGGGAAGCCTTTGGGGCTGTTCTGGTTTTTCTAGGATTCATTCCTTTAGATTTTTGCGCAGCCTACAGTTTTCTTATTGAGGCGGTGGTGGGCGAGTGAGTATTTCGTTTTCCTTCCAGGACTCCTAGGGCCAGGCGATGCTTCCATCTTCCCTGCCACTGCAGAGTAGCTGCTGGTCCCACGGAGACTCGCAGCTCTCCAGTGCTTGCCTGTGCCTTCCTCTACCATGGGCCTCACGGGGACTCTTTCTCACCTGGTTCTGCTGAAGATGCTGTCAGCCCCAACGGTCACCTCGGCTACCCTACTTGCTTGCTTTGCTTTCACCACTGTACCCTCAGACATAAAAGGAACAAACAAACAATAATCAATAAACCTATGTTGCAACCATATTTTTGCTGCTAGACTTTCTCTGTTCTTTTTTGGGTCTGTCTTGGTAAGATTTATTTTTGTCCGAAAGTGATCATTTTATCTACATTGTCAAAGAATATTAGAACAAAGATTTTCACAATATCCTCTTATTATTTTTGTGATTTGTGTAGTGGTGCTCATGTTTTATTCCTAATATTGATTAAGTGTGTTTTTTTTTTTTCATTCTTGTTGGAATTTCACCAGGGATGTCATTATTTTTTGTCTTTTCAAAGAACTGAATTTTGGCTCTATTATCTTTGTTATAGGTGTGTTTTCTTTTTCTTTAATCTCTGCTGTTTTATTTATTCATTATTCTTGTCTTCTATTTTTTGAGAATTTGGTTTTCTTTGCCTGCCTTCCAGGAGTCTTTGGACATCTTTTCTCTTCCAAAATAAGCATCTATGGCTATAAACTTTTTCCAAATAATTTTTAGTTGTATTCCACAAGTTCAAAGTAGTTTTAAAAATATAGTTCATTTTGGATTTTTAAAAATCCTTATTTCTTCTTTGATCTATGGGTTGATTACCTAGCAAATGGCAATTTTGTGTTTATCTTTTTCCATTGGTTTTGAAATTAATTGCATTATGTTTAAGGAAAGTAGTACACTACTTTCTCCTTTTGAAATTTATTGAGACAGGCTGTACAATGGAATAACATTTGTAAATATTCCACCCGACCTTGCAGAGAGCATGTATTTCACATTTATTGGATAGAGTGTTCAATATGTGTTCATAAGGTCAATTTTGTGAATCATAGCGCTCAAGTTTTCTATAGCTTCACGAATATTTTGTCTATTATTAATAGATATGTGTACTGAAATTCTTACATTGTTATTGTAGATTAATCTGCTTTCCCTCATATTCCATAAATGTTTTCTTTAAAAGTTTAAAAGAATACATTGGTATATGAAAACAAATTTCAAACAGTTTATCTTTTCAGTAAATTGGATAATTTTTTTATTCTAAAATATCCATTTGATTTCCAGTAATTATTTTGCCTTAAAGTCTACTTAAAGTAGAAGTCTACTTTGATTGCCTTAAAGTCTGCAGCCACATCAGTTTCCTTTAGGGTAATTATTTCTAGTATATATCTCTGCATTCTCTATTTTTAATCTTTCTATTGAGTCGGATCATAGTTGAAATAGACATTTTTGTAAGTAAACATGAGTCACAAGCAATGTATCCTGTGGTAGATGTGTCTCTTGTAAACCATGTGGCTGGATTTTGCTGTTTGAAAAATATCCAGCCAATCTGAGAATTGTTTTAAATGGATTATATATTTTATTCATATTTATTGACAATTTTTCAATTTAATTTTGAACCATATATGAAATCACCATTTTTATGTATTTCTGTTGAAGTTACCCTCCTTGTCTTTTAGTACTATTTAGAATGCTGTCTCCAAAGCAAAAGGGCAAGAAAGGAAAGAAAGGGCATGTGTGTTTTCATCTTCAAGTGCTGTCATTATATACAGAGAAAGCCCAAACACTGCAATAAATACTAGAAATTGTTTTTAACAGTTTACAAAGGTGGCTGGCTACTTAATCCACATGTGTTCTAAGTGAAGCCTTACAAATCATCAAGAAGCATGTAAAAATACAAAGATAATCTCTTTCACATTAAACACAGTTGACAAAACACCTTAGAGTAAATGTAAGTACACTAAGGTTTTAATGAATAGAATCACAAAAAGTCATTGAAAGATGTAAAAAAGAGTTGAATAAAAGGTTAAGAGTGAAAATATCTGGCTGGAGAAACCCATTGAACATACGTCAGTTTCCATAGGTTTTACGTTACCGTGTCCAAATGTGGGAGCAAGCACTAAATTATAGAATTATTAGTACCGTTATAGCTCGGTCTGCTTTCATCTCTAATGTATGCACACTGCAATGAAGGATAGCATATATCAAACAGCACGTTACTTAACAGGGGGAAAGACCTGCTTTTAATTTTTTGTGCATTGCACAGGCTTACTTTGAAGCATTAACATTGGAGCTTTCACATATGTGTCTGTTTTTATACATTGCTTTGATATTCGACATTTATTATAACAAAACATAAAAAATAAAAAGGAAGGTGAAGGAGAAATGAACACATACGGAAAAACTGTCCTTTTGGAGAATGAATGAAAGTTGCAAATTTTCACCTTCTTTTGATTGTAATTAACTGACATTCAAAGGGTCTGAGCTAGGGCTCAGTCCTAGTCTCCGCCCGCTGGGTTCCGCTGAGCCCTAACTCGCCCTTCTACAGCCTCCTACACCTCTCCAAGCCCCATCTCTCTTCCTTGGAGAATCCAAGCGTGATCTTTACAAAAACAAAACAAACAAAAGAAATCCCATCAGCCCCAGCTCAATGGGTCCTCCTCACACTTAGAATAAAATGACAGTGACACCTGAGAGCCCCACAGGCCCTACATAATCTAGCCCCTGTCTCCACTCCGTCCTCCGTGCTCTCCCGCTCCATCTCACCCCTCTGCGCCGTTTCCACGAAGGTAGAGTCGCAGTTTTCTGAAGGAGGCTGGAGGGGTGACCTGGCCTCCTCGGAAGGGCAGGGCGAGCTCCTCTTCGCCCTCTTGTGGCCATGAGGAGAACTGTCCGATCGTGGCCAAGACGCCGCAGTGGGTGATGGAAGGACGCCAGAGCTGCCAATAAAGAGAGTGGGGCCGCCGGGCTCCAGTGTTCCTGCAGAGTGACCCAAGAACTCCTTAAGTACCAGCAAAAGAGCTGAACGACGAGACGTGGGCATCAGAGAACATATATCACACATTTAAAAATCTAGATAATGCAAAATAGATGAAGACGTTTGAGTGATGAAACAGTAGAAGCAGCAAACACCTGGCTGCCTAGAGAGGGAAACCTTGGAGAAGCTGACTGCCGGGTGCATCCCAGAGGGGGACTGCCAGGTGCATCCCAGAGCGGGAGAAACACCAGGCAAGATTGCTAACCGGGACAGAAACCAGGAGGTTAGTTATGTCTATGAGGAAGCCACGCAAGAGACTCCATAGCCAGACTTGCGCATAGAGGTAATGTGTATAACCCACAACCAGACCTGTGCACAGTGGCAAAACTTGGCAGGACCATTCTCAGGAAAATGGACAAATGAACATGGTCATAACTGGAATATCAGAAGGAGAAGTGGAAAGAATGGAACAAAGGAAATAATGGACAAGTTATTTACAAAATAAATGAAAGACACCAAAGTACAGATCTAAGTTCAGAGAACATCAAGCAAGAAAAAACAGAAACAAACAAACAACTAGGCATATTAGAGCCAAAGTGATACATGTGTAAGACTAAGAGAAAATCTTCAAGGCAGCTGGAGGAAAAAAATATACACTATTAGGTTGGTGCAAAAGTCATTGCAGTTTTTGCATTATTTTCAAATGGCAAAAACCGCAATGACTTTTATACTAGTATAATATGATATATTCAAAGGAACAAAGATAAGCATTACGGCTGACTTCAGAATCCATGCAGCTAAGAGACAACAGAGTGACACTGTTAAAGTGCTAGAAGAAGGAAAGGAAGCAAAACCCCCTATTGTGATTCAGTGAAAGTATCATTAAAAATGAAGTGGGTATAAAGACTTTGTTGGACAAAAAAAATTGTAAGAATTTATTACCAGCAGTTCTCCTGAAGAAAATTTAAGGAAGGTCTTCAGGAAGAGAAAGATGATACCAGATAGAAGTTAATATACACAAAGGAATAAAGAACACTAAAATGTAATCAGTGAAGGTAAAAATAAAATTATTTATTACATTCTTTTCCTATTCAAATTGTTCTAAAAGATTACTGACTGCCTAAATCAAAAGAAGGAAAAATGCATATTGTATGATTATAGCCTATGAAAAAGTAAAATTTACAATAACACAAAGGATATGAGAAATAAATTGGGAAAATACTGTACATTTTTTCACTGTTTATAAAGTGGTATGATATATGAAGAGAACATATGAATAATTAAAATGTATATGGAAAACTCTGTGGTAAGCTATAAAAATGGAAAAGATAAAAAAGTCAATAGAGAAGATTAAATGAGTAACAAAATGCTCAAGTAACCCAAGAAAAGGTAAAACAAGAGGGAAAAACAAAAATGAGTTGGAAGAGATAGAAAAAAATACTAGTAAGAGGGACATACATAAAGGGGGAATATGTCTCCAGGAAGACACACAATCCAAAATGTTTATGTACCTAGCAGTAGAGCTACAAAATACATGGAGCAAAAACTGATGGGATTAAAGAGGAAATGTACACATACATAATTATACTTGAGACTTCAACATTCCTCTTTCAGTAACTGACAGTGAAACCAACCCAATAGTCCCACAGACTGTCCATTTTGAATACACATAGAAATGTATCCTTTTGGTCTTAAAGCTTGAAAGTTATATTTGCTTTATCTGCGTTCCTTCCCCAGGAAAGGACCTTCTGGCCTCTTAAAAAAAGTATCAAAGAACTGAAACTCACCATATCAGTCTTCTCAAAAAAGTATAAAAGAACAGAAACACACCAGATCACCACATCAGATGCCAGGACCCTCATTTACCATGATTGCGTCTTTGCCACTCCCTAGGTTTTTTCTTACACATGGTTACATTTCTTCACTGCTATACAAACCCCTAGTTTTATTTGGTCAGGGAGATGGATTTGAGACTGAGCTTACATCTCCTCGGCTGCAGCACCCAATTAAAGCCTTCTTCCTTGGCAATCCTTGTTGTCTCAGTGATTGGCTTTCTGTGCGGTGGGCAGCAGGACCTAGATGGAACCTCTGGTGTTTCAGAAATAATAGAACAGTAGGCTGAAAACTGGTAAGGATCTAGCTAACCTCAACAATACTATCCAACAACTTGACTGAATCAGTGTATATAGAACACTATAGTCAACAATAGCAAGCATGTGGATATTACAACTTCTCTGCAGACATTAAAAAGATAACAAAGAAATGATAGCAACAACTCTATGCCCATCAATTCACAAAATTAGATGAAACCTAAAAATGATTTGAATGATACAGGCTATCAAAACTTGCTCAAAGGGAAGTATGTAAATGAATAGTTCTATGTCAATTAGATAAGTTGAATTGATAGCTCAAAACCTTCAATAAAAAAATTCCAAGCCCAAATGTTTTCATTGACAGATCCTATAAACGTTTAAGGAAGAAATAATACTAACTTTATTATACTTTCTCCAGTAAATAGAAAAGAGAACACTTCACAGTCACATTTTCAGCCAGAATTGCCCTAATAACAATATCAGATAATTATATCAAAAGAAAACTACAGTTCAATATCCCAAAAAACCACTAATACAAATAATCCTTGACAAAATAATAGCAAATCAAATTCAGAAACATATAAAAAACTTACATCACAATCATGTTCTTATCTCAATGATGGAAGCCTAGTTCGATATTTAAATATCAATCAATGTAGTTTACTGTACAACAGACTAAGAAGGAAGTCAAATAATTATCTCAATAGGTGCGAAAGAAACAGGCAAAATTCAAAAGCGATTCATGATAAAAACTCTTAGCAAAAATTAATGGATGTAAAAAACCATATTAATAAATAGAAAATAAACCATATGATTATTTCAATAGATGCAGAAAAGCGTTTGGAAATATTTAACACTTTTACATGACTAAAAATAAAACACTCAACAAGCTAATAGTGGAAGGGAACTTCCTCAACTTGATCAAGGGCATGTGTGAAAAACCCACAGCTAACATCTGCTAAGATCGGGAAGAAGATAAGCGTATCCCTTTTCACTGCTTCTATTTGACAATGTACTGGAATTTCTAGCCAAGGCAATTAAACAAGAAAAAAGAAATAAAAAGCACCTAGATTGAAAAGGAAATAAAACTGTCTCTATTCACAGATGGCATATCTTATATATAGAAAATTCTAAAGAATCCACAAATACATACTGAAAAACCTATTACAACTAATAAACTAGTTTAGCAAAGTTTCAGGATACAAATCAATATGAAAAATCACATGTATCTCTATACATTAGCAATGAACAATCTGAAAAGGATATTTTAAAAACAATTTCATTCACAATAGCATTGAATGGGATAAAATACTTAGCAGTATATTAAGTCAAGAAAGTGTAAGTCTTAACATACTGAAAACTACAGAACATAGTTGAAAGAAATTAAAGAGGACCTAAATAAATGAGAAGATATTCCATGTTCATGGATTGGAAATTTTAATACCATTAAGATGGATTTCTCCCCATATTCACTACAGATTCAGTGCAATCCCTATAAAAATTCCAACTGCCTCATTTTGCAGACATTTATGCATCCATCCTAAAATTCATATGGAAATGCAAGGGACCTCAAGTAGTCAAAATAACCTTGAAGAAGAGGAACAAAGATTGAGGACTCAAATGTCCTGGTTTCAAAACTTACTACAGAGCTACAATAATCAGAATTGTGTGATATTGGCATAAAGATAGGCATATAGATCAATGGAACCAGATTGAGAGTCCAGAAATCAATCCATGTATCTCTGGTCAATTGATTTTTGGCAAGGGTGCCAAGAGCATTCTGTGAGGAAAGAATAATCTTTTCAACAAATGGCACTAGAAAAACAGATATCCACATGCAAAAGGATGGATATCCATGTCACACCATATGCAACATTTAATTCAAAATATAGCATGTATAAATATAGGTGATAAAACTATAAAATTCCTTCAAAGAAATGTAGGTGTAAATATTTGTGACTTTGGATTAGGCAACAGTTTCTTAAATATGACACCAAAAGCACAAGTAATCAAAGGAAAAAAAAGCTAAATTGAGTTTCATCAAAATCAAAAGCTTTTGTGTATCAATGGACACTATCAAGAAAGTGACAAGTGGCCAGGCACCATGGCTCACGCCTGTAATCCGAACACTTTGTGAGGCCAAGGAGGGCAGACCATGAGGTCAGGAGATCGAGACCATCCTGGCTAACACGGTGAAACCCCATCTCTACTAAAAATACAAAAAATTAGCTGGACGTGGTGGCATGTGCCTGTAATCCTAGCTACTCGGGAGGCTGAGGCAGGAGAATCGCTTGAACCTGGGAGGCGGAGCTTGCAGTGAGCCGAGATCGCGCCACTGCACTCCAGCCTGGGCGACAGAGCAAGACTCCGTGTCGGAAAAAAAAAAAAAAATAGAATTTATCATGTGATACGGCAACTCCACTCTTAGGGATTTACATAAAATAATTGCAACCTTATGTTCATACAAACATATATGAACATATAGGACTTTTCATAGCAGGATTATTCATAACAGGCAAAAGGTGAAAACAACCCAAATGCTCCACAACTGAGGAAAGGATAAACAAAATGTAGTCCATCCATATAATTTGTTTCAGCCACAAAAAGTAATGAAGTACTGCTACATAGTAGAGTAAGGATGGATCTCGAAAACATTGCACTAAGTAAAAGAAGACAAACACACACACACACAAACACTACTTTATGATTTCATTTATATGAAATGTTCAAAATACGCAAATCTATAGTGACAGGAAGTAGATTAGTGGTTGCTAGGGAGTGGGAGAGAGGGGAATTTGGAAATACGGGTTTCTTCTGGAGTGTGGAAATATTCTGGAATTAGTAGCTGTGGTTGTACAACATTGTGAAAATACTAAAAATCACTGAGTCATAAACTTTAAAATAGTTAAAATGATGAATTTTCTGTTATGGGAATTTTATATGAATAAAAGAAACAAATACAAAACTCTTAGTAAACTACTAGAAAGGGACCTCCTTAACCCGTTCCAGGGCATCTACAAAAAAATCTACAGGTATCATCAATCTAAATGGTGAAAGAATGAATGTTTCCACCCTTAGCAGACCACCTTAGGAGGCCCCTTCCTTATACTGCTAATTGACATTTTCCTGGAAGCTGTACCCAGTGCAGTAAGTCAAGAATAGACCTACATATTGTAAATGAAAAGGTAAATCCTGTCTGTACTCATGTGACATAATTGTCTAGAAAATTCAAAAGGATCTACAGAAAAACTTCAAGAAAAAGTGAGTTCAATCAGATCTTATGAAACACGGTCAATATACAAAAGTCCATATAATGTCTACAGGTTAGCTATTGACAAATGGATTTTTTCATTTTAAAAATATAATTTATATTTTTAAATTCTTAGGTATATATTTAACAAAATACATGCAAAGTCTGTACGCGTATAAAGAGGTAATGGAAGAAATCAAAGAATACCTAAATAAAGGGAGATATATCATGTTTGTGGCTTAGAAGATTCAATATGTTAAAATGTCAGGTTTCCCCAATTTGATCAATAGATGCAATGTAATTTCAGTTGAAATCTGAGCAAGGTTTCTAGTGATATTTCTAGTGATATTCTAGTGATATTAAGCTGATGCTTAAATATAAGGAATGCCAAAGAAAACAGAATAGCTAATACAAACATTAAAAGTAACAAATTTGGAGGATTCGCACTACCTGATTTCAAGATTCATAACAAAATCACGATAATCAAGAGAGAGTGGAATTGATGAAAATTTAGAGACATAGATCGATGAAACAGAGTAGACAGTCTAGAAATACACCAACACAAGTCAGGTCAACTGACTTACGAGAAAAGTGCAAAAACAATTCAATTGAGAAATAATGGAATTTTCTACAAACGGTGCTGGAACAATAGAATATTCATATTTTAAAAAAACACCTTACATAAATTGATGTAATTAAAAGTGATCATGGATCTAAATATAAAATAAAAGGTGGTAAAACTTCTAGCAGAAGGAATAATAAACATCAGTGAAAGTCTGGTTTTGGAAGAAGTTAATTGTAGATATGATGTTAAAAGCACGATTCATAAAAGGAAAAAATGATAAATTGGCCTTCAGCAATTTTTGCCCTTTGAAATACACTGTTAAAACGAAAAGACACGCCACAAGCTGGAAGAAAATATTTTTAAGCCACATATCTGATAACCGAATTTATCAGATACAGATTCTACCCAGAATATACAAGAAGCTCTCAAAACTGAAAAATAAGAAAACAACACACTTTTTTAAATGGGCAAATGATCTGAACAGACATTTTACCTAAGAGGATACATGAATGGCAGGTAAGCATATAAAAGATGTTCAACATCACTAGTTATTGGAGAAATGCATAGTAACCTACAATGCGATACAATTACGCATCTACTGGACTGGCTAAAACTTAAAAACAAAACAAAACAAAACAAACAGAACAAAAACAAGAACTGAAACCATCAAGTCCTGGTGAGGATGCAGAGAAACTGGATCTCTCACACATTACTGTTCGCATCCAAACCGGGCCACACAGCAGGAGGTGAGCGGTCAGCAAGAGAACTTTGTACTTATCTGCCTCGCTTTGCTCACATTACTACCTGAGCTCCGCCTCCTGTCAGATCAGCAGCTGCATTAGAGTCTAATCTAATGCAACTTTGAAAGTCCATTTGGCAGAGTCTTTTAAAATTAAACACACATTTACCACCTAACCCAGGAAAGCCACTTCCAAGTATTTATACAAATGGAATGAAAATTTACATTCACACAACCTTTTTGGCACCAGGGACTGGTTTCATTGAAGACAATTTTTCCACCGATTAGGGCAGGATGCGGTGGGGAGGATGGTTTCAGGAGGATTCAAGCACATTACAGTTATTGTGCACTTTATTTATATTATTATTACCTTGTAGTAATGGAATAATTATACAGCTCACCATAACGTAGAATCAATGGGAGCCCCAAGCTTGTTTTCCTGCTGAGAGGTGACAGCGGGTTGGCAGTCCTCATAGCCGTCGCTCGCTCTCGGCGCCTCCTCTGCCTGGGCTCCCACTTTGGCGGCACTTGAGGAGCCCTTCAGCCCACTGCTGCACTGTGGGAGCCCCTTTCCGGGCTGGCCAAGGCCAGAGCCGGCTCCCTCAGCTTGCAGGGAGGTGTGGAGAGAGAGGGGCAAGCGGGAACCGGGGCTGCGCGCGGCGCTTGCGGGCCAGCTGGAGTTCCGGGTGGGCGTGGACTTGGCGGGCCCCACCCTCGGAGCAGCCAGCCGGCCCTGCCGGCCCCGGGCAATGAGGGGCTTAGCACCCAGGCCAGCCGCTGCGGAGGGTGTACTGGGTCCCCCAGCAGTGCCAGCCCACCGGCGCTGCGCTCGATTTCTCACCGGGCCTTAGCTGCCTTCCCGCGGGGCAGGGCTCGGGACCTGCAGCCCGCCATGCCCGAGCCTCCCACCCCGTCTAGGGGCTCCTGTGCCGCCGGAGCCTCCCGGATGAGCGCCGCCCCCTGCTCCACGGCGCGCAGTCCCATCGACCACCCAAGGGCTGGGGAGTGCAGGTGCACGGAGCGGGACTGGCAGGCCGCTCCATCTGCAGCCCTGGTGCGGGATCCACTGGGTGAAGCCAGCTGGGCTCCTGAGTCTGGTGGGGACGTGGAGAACCTTTATGTCTAGCTCAGGGATTGTAAATACACCAATCGGCACTCTGTATCTAGCTCAAGGTTTGTAAACACACCAATCAGTACCCTGTGTCTAGTTCAGGGCTTGTGAATGCACCAATTGACACTCTGTATCTGGCTTCTCTGGTGGGTCCTTGGAGAACCTTTGTGTCTAGCTCAGGGATTGTAAATACGCCAATCGGCACTCTGTGTCTAGCTCAGGGTTTGTAAACACACCAATCAGCACCCTGTGTCTAGTTCAGGGTTTGTGAATGCACCAATCGACACTCTGTATCTAGCTACTCTGGTGGGGCCTTGGAGAACCTTTGTGTCCACACTCTGTATCTAGTTAATCTAGTGGGGACTTGGAGAACCTTTATGTCTAGCTCAGGGATTGTAAACGCACCAATCAGCGCCCTGTCAAAACAGACCAGTCGGCTCTACCAATCAGCAGGATGTGGGTGGGGCCAGATAAGAGAATAAAAGCAGGCTGCGGGAGCCAGCGGTGGCAACCTGCTGTGGTCTCCTTGCACAGTGTGGAAGCTTTGTTCTATCGCTCTTTGCAATAAATCTTGCTACTGCTCACTCTTTGGGTCCACACTGCTTTTATGAGCTGTAACATTCACCGCGAAGGCCTGCAGCTTCACTCCCGAAGCCAGCGAGACCACAAGCCCACCGGGAGGAACGAACAACTCCAGAAGCACCGCCTTAAGAGCTGTAACACTCACCGCCAAGGTGTGCAGCTTCACTCCTGAGCCAGCGAGACCAGAAACCCACCAGAAGGAACAAACTCCGAACACATCCAGACATCAGAAGGAACAAACTCCAGACGCGCCACCTTAAGAGCTGTACCAGTCACTGCAAGAGTCCTCGGCTTCATTCTTTAAGTCAGTGAGACCAAGAACTCACCAATTCCGGACACACTGCAACTAGACAGTCCTATCTGGGGGCGATGGGAGACAGTGACAGATCATCAGGCATTAGAGTCTCATAAGGAGCATACAAAGTAGATCCCTTGTGTATGCAGCTGACAACAGGGTTCATGCCACCACAAGAATTTAATGCCCCCACTGATCTACAGGAGGCAGAGCGCTGGTGGTAATGTGAGTGATAGGGGACGGCTGTAAATACAGATAAAGCTTCACTCCCTGGCTTGGGGAACACTCATCGGCTGTTTGGCCCAGTTTGTAACCATGGCCTGGTGCATGGCTGGTGGTTGGGGACCACTGCTGAACATGAAATATGTAGCACCTTTTTTCATGCTTTGCAAAGACTGAAACAACCCAGACAGCCTTCAGCAAATGAATGGATAAACAGTCTCTAGTGCATCCATAACGTGGAGCACTATTTAGTCGTAAGAAAGAAACATTTATTCATTCATGCAACATGGATGGATCTGGAGTGAATTTTGCTTAGTGAAAGAAACCAAACCCAAATGACTGTATGTTGTTTGATTCAACTGTTACAGTGTTTTGGAACAGGTAGTACTATATCAGAGAACTGATCGGTGGTTGCTCGCAGCTGAAGATGAAGGATTGATGACAGCCAAAAAAGGCCATGCAGGGATAATTGTGTGTTTGTGTGTGTGTGTGTGTGTGTGTGATGAATTGTCTATTCTGTATGGTACTTTGCTGATGGATGTATAACCCTAGGCATCTGCGAAAACCCATGGAACTATACACCACAAAGAGTTAAGTGCATATTTTATTCCAATTTTTAAAATCAACGAGGATATTGATAGAAGCCAAGGTCGAAGCAAACTGTGACCAATGAATCTAACTCTATTACAAATAAATGTTGTAGTCATGTTGAAGGAAAAGGCTGCATTGATTGTCTCAGGTGTGAGGACCCTTAGAATGCTGAGAAGAAACTGTCAGTCCTTTTCAGGATGGCCCGACGTGTATGTTCGGCCTGAAGGGCTTCATTCATTCAGTTTTCTCTTATGTGGACAGTCAGCCTAACTGAAATATCAGAATGCTTGAA
Source organism: Homo sapiens (assembly GCF_000001405.40). Lineage (NCBI taxonomy): Eukaryota > Metazoa > Chordata > Mammalia > Primates > Hominidae > Homo > Homo sapiens. The sequence continues at coordinate 26,829,094 of NC_000015.10, read as the reverse complement.
GAAAGAAGGATGGAGTAGAGAGGATCCCAGAGACGTTAGAGACGTTGGAACCAGAGCGAATCCATTTGAGCAAGGGCTGGGAAAATGAGGCGGGACTTACTGGGCTGCATTCCCAGAAAGTTAGGTATTCCTAGCCTCTAGATGTTTATGGTTAAGGGAACAGACTGATAATGTTTACTAAACAGACCCAGACTTGGGAATGCCCAGATATCCTGATATCTGGAGAACAAACGCATTCCTAATTTTTCTTTCAAGATAATAATATTATTTCAAAATATAGTAATTAAGAAAATTAATTCTTTATCACAAACCTTTGTACCAGAGCACATCTCCTCATGATCTTTTTTTATCCTATATACATACACACACGAGCATTGTACCTAGGGTGGACACGTTTCCTCCTCTTACTTTCAGAAATGCCCGACTGTCTATGGAGTAGCTGCACTTTCAACACTTTACTTTCTTAATAAACTTGCTTTTGCTTTGCACTGTGGACTCGCCCTGAATTCTTTCTTGTGCGAGATGGAAGAACCCTCTCTGGGGGTCTGGATCGGGACCCCTTTCCTGTAACAGTGGGACAGCTCAGAGTCTGGATCCAAATGTGTCTCCCACCTACCCCACTTACAGACTCTTCAGGTAAATAATTATTAAATTCCCATTTTTTTCCTTCAACAAATTTTGCTACTGGTAATCTGAGCCATCCTATGGGATGTACCTTCTGTGTACCATGTTGAGGAATTTACTCCAGCATGTGCTTCTGTACAGTTGGTGAGGAAATCAACATTAAAAAAAAAAAAAAACACCTGAGATTCAGGAAACTGTATCCAACAAATGAATGCAACTATTGGAAGTCCTGGTGTTACAGGAAAGGGGCCCTGATCGAGACCCCAAGAGAGGGTTCTTGGATCTCCTGCAAGAAAGAATTCAGGGAGAGCCCTTAGTGCAAAGTAAAAGCAAGTTTATTAAGAGAGTAAAGTGGAGAAAGAACAGCTACTCCATAGACAGAGTGGGACGTGGGACATTCCTGAAAATAAGAGGAGGAACGCATCCACCCTAGGTACAATGCTTGTATATATGGGGAGATGTGCTCTGCTACAAGGATTTGTGATAAAGGATTAATTTTTTAATCCTTACTATATTTTGCAAGAATCAATATTATTAGCTTTAATGCAATATTAGGAATGCCTTTGTTCTCCAGATGTCGTGATATCTAGACACTCCCAAGTCTGGGTCTGTTTAGTAAACATTATTAATTTGTCCCCTTCATCTTAAATATCTAGAGGCTCAGGATACCTAACTTTCTGAGAATGAAGGCCAGCAAGTCCCAGCCTTATTTCCCCGGCCGTCACTCAAAATGGAGTCGCTCTGGTTCGAAAGCCTCTGACACTCAGATCACAGCTGCTGTGCAGCAAGCAAGAAAAATAGCCAGTGTGAGCTGGGGCAGGAGGGAGCTACCTGGGTGAGGCAAGATGTTATGGATTAGACATTATACCTCAGGGTTTGATAATGGCAAAGATATTGTGCAGAGTAAATAAGGGGTCATAATCAGTAGGAACCAAATGTTTTGCAGAAGATTCCTAAAGACCGTCCCCTGGGATTGCGTTGGCAAAGACTGGGTCATAAACTTTCACATCCCACAGGCAGGGAGACATCATTATTAAGTAAAAGGCCAACATCCTTTGAACTTAATGGGACTTTGCACGCCCCGAAATAGCTATCTTCTGTCATCAAGAAAGTAAGTGGGGAAGTCAACACTTTCCACAGTAGCATTTCACCAACCCATGAGAAAAGACTGCAAACTTGGGCCCAGAGTCTCACCTTCCCACAATGCCAGGACAACAACATCCCTAAATCTTAGGTCACCCCAGGAGACAGGGCAGAGAAGGGAAGCAGCAGACTCAGAACCAAGTGGAAGTTACAAAATGCCTGAGGAAATTACATAGGTACATAAATTGTCTGCACTTGGCAGGTGGGGGCTTGGTAAGTACAATTATTTGAAGTAAATGGTTATGTTTGCACACCAGAGTCTGTGACTGTAAAATTCACACTACTTCTGTAATAAGCCTGCATTAATTTTATAATCAGAAAAAGGCCATGTTTTAAAAGTAGCAAGAGGTAGCTGGGCGAGGTGGCTCACGCCTGTAATCCCAGCACTTTGGGAGGCTGAGGTGGGCAGATCACCTGAGGTCAGGAGTTCAAGACCAGCCTGGCCAACATGGTGAAACCTTGCCTCTACTAAAAATACAAAAATTAGCTGGGCGTGGTGGCATGTGTCTGTAATCCCAGCTATTCGGGAGGCTGAGGCAGGAGAATCTTTTGAACCCAGGAGGTGGAGGTTGCAGTGAGCCGAGATCGTGCCACTGCACTCCAGCCTGAGCGACAGAGCAAGGCTGTCTCAAAAAAAAAAAAAAAAAAAAAAAGTAGCAAGAGGTAAGCAGAAAGCACAGCTAGTCATGGAACTGGAGAGAGGTGTTGGCTTTTTGCAGATGAAGATGGTAAGCCATTATTCTATTAAATGGCATTAATAGAATAATTAATAGAAGCCATGCTTCTATTAAATGTGTTGTGGGAAGGCTTGATACCCATTTGATCAGTCATAGTAATCGCCTTGGCAATAAGCACTAGTTTGATTTTACAACAAATATTTCCATACCAAGATTGATTTTGTAGCTTTTCCTGTGAATATTACTGGTGTTACTAGACTTGCAATGGCAGCTTCCACTTACATTGCAATTGATTGCATTAAAAAGGCTTTGCAAGGCAGAGAAATTCAATTTGCCAGCCATTTACTCCAAAGATATTTTTCTGAGCAAGAAAAAAAGCAAAAGATTTCTCATCACTAAGAAGATTAAGAAAGTTTCAGAGCCTCAGGAGAAAATGTAAAAAGAGGCTGGTCAAACAGTCAGAAACTACATTATTGAAGAGCAATTCTGTAAAAGTCATCGAGGCTTTTTCGTCTTCTAATGACTGTTGATTGTCTGACACTGCTCAAGGCTTGGCAGGTTCTGGGAAAAAGAAATACCAGCATAACTGCTCATATACTTGTTTTGAGCTACATTCATTTTTTTGATATAATCGTTATGTAACATATATCCTAAGTGTTTTAATTTTTGTAAAATATACATTATGTTTAAAATTACAAGAGATTTAAAATTTTTTTGAAAGATATTTTCCTATAATCTCAATTCTATTTTTTAAATTCATCTATAATTTATAGTCACTTTATGATTATGAAATGGTATAAGAATTTGGACACTACAAAAATTAACTCGTTATTTCAATACTCAGAGTTATGCATTATTTAAATTTCATCTATTTACTAAGCATACACAGGCAAGGTTTAGTATTAGGATGTCATTTAATATTGTGTTGTGAGCATTTTCTTATATCATTAAAGATTATTGAAATAGATGATATGCCTGATTAATATTCCTTTAAAAGTCTGTTACCATATTTTATTGAACAATTTCTGTATTGTTGGACACATATGCTGTTTCTAATAGTTTAGTAGTAAAATGTATTGAGATAAATATCAACTTTTTTATAATCAGCTTTTTGGCCATGAGCTTTTTTAATAATCAGAAATCAGCACATGTTATTTTCTACAAGCAGATTCCCACATTTGTAATTACTACCCAGCTATTCACTGTTTAATTTTACTATAAATTATTTTGAAGATATTATCAGTTTAAGATATTTACATATCATTCATTAATCATAATAGTACTTGCACTATGCAGGAAGTACCATGAGGATGTACATATAGTTCATTGAAGAACATGTAAATTATTTATTATGTTAAAATAATAATAACTCTTATTCTTAGTTTATTAAAATTTTGTTTTAAAAATAAAAGAAAAGAAGTGTTGGTTTTTATTAAATATCACTTCTGCAGCTATTGATGGGATGGCATAGCCTAGTTCATTTGTTATTTTGAAGCAATGTGATATATTGTAAGATTTTAAAAATGGGAAAGAAAATCCTTCATTGCAGTAAGTACTATTTGGTTATTGAAAATTTTCTTTTAAAATTATTGTTGAGATTGACTTAATTCTTTTCGGGATTTTTGTCCAGAGAATCAAAAAAATTGATTGCTTTTTCTTTGGAACTATACTGGGTTATTGTGTGTAACCTGTCTTAATATAATGAGTTGATTAACCTTCTAATTTACTGCATGCTTTGAAACACAATATATAGTGTCCTAGAATCATTGCGAAAAGATTTCCCATGAAGTTTTCCACACCTAGAGCTTGTAGAAGGTAGTTTTCACCACATATGTAAACTTCAGGCTAACTTCAAGGTAATCGTGCCTTGAATCGCAGTAAAGACTGCGATTGCAAAGCCCCTCTTTCTTTATTTCTAAATATAGATGGCATTTTACTTTCTCTCTCTTTCATACCCTAATTCCATTCCCCTGCCATAGGCAGCCATTCAAATATCACTGATACATATTCTTTCATTTGTATTCGTTCTTACCCAGTTTGTAATATTACTTTCCAAACATACACTTTTACATTAAATAAATAGCTTTTGATATAGACTTTAATCTATTTCTCGTTTTCCACTCCAATCTATGTTTCTATTTTGTTTTGTTTTGTTTTTGAGACAGAATTTCACTCTTGTCACCCAGGCTGGAGTGCAATGGTGCGATCTCAGCTCGCTGCAACCTCTGCCTCCTGGGTTCAAGCAATTCTTCTGCCTCAGCCTCCTGAGTACCTGGGATTACAGGCACCTGCCACCATGCCCGGCTAATTTTTTGTATTTTTAAAATTTATCTTCTATTTCAGTGCTTACAACTATTTTGTGACCTATTATTTTTGCGTAATATTTTCCGTATGAATCCATTATGTCTTAAATTTCCCCAAGTTATGGACAACTTGATTGCCTCTAACCACCACTCCCAAAGACAATGTTCTGATGAACATAATTGTACACATCCCATCATCAAACTGTGTGAGAACTGTTCTCTATATGGTCACAGCAGCGGGACTGATGGTCACCACATCTGGGCATATTTAACTGGACCAGGGCCCCCAGGTTCTCTGCAGAATGGCTGCACCTGTCTGTATTCTTATTGGCTGCAGATTAGGTTTCCTCTATCCACAGAATTTTACTAACACTGCATTACCCAGCTGTTTTTGCCAATCTCTTATGAGTGAAATGATATCCGATTATTGTTTTAATTTGCATTCCTTTAATTACTATAATGTTTGAACAACTCTCCAAATGCTCTTTTGCTTTCTGGCTTCTTTTCTGAATCACTTTATCTGTTCATATCCTTTGCTTAGTATTTCAACTGATGTGCCTACATTTCTTCTTGTTTACTTGAGGAGTCCTTGTGTAATCTGGGTATGGATGCTTTTTGGTATTAGACTTGGCAAATAGTTCCCCACAATCTGTGATCTGTCAGTAAACTGTGTCATATTCCATATGGAACATAATTTTTTCTTTTGATATAATCACATATCAAATATAGCAATATTATACCTTGTGATTTGTGCTTTCGGCATTTAGGTTATGAAGACCATCCCTGCTTTTAGGTTACAAATGTATTTTCCTACATTGCCATCTATTCAATTTTTTTCCTTTCACATTTAGTTTTTAAGATACCTGGAACCAAATGCTTCAGATATGTTTATTAAAAGCAAAATCTATGTATTACTTCGTTTCTTTCAGACTACACTGTGTTATTATGTATAATGTCTTGAAAAAGTGAATTGATTAGTTTTCCAACTTACTGCGTTATTTGAAACAAACACATATTGCCCTAGAATAATGGCAAATAAACTACCCATAACATTGCCCACACCTAGGGCCTATGGAAGGTAATTTTCTAACGTTTTAATTAACTATATATATATCATAGTATATATATAATATATAATATATAATATATAATATATAATATATAATATATAATATATAATATATAATATGTAATATATAATATGTAATATAATATATTATATATTATATATATACATTATATATATCATAGTATATATAACATATATCATATATATAGTCTGATATATATATATCAGACTAACTTCAAGGCAATCATGAAATTGTATTTTTATATTTTTCTTTATGTAGTGACTCAGTTTTTCCAAAACCTTAAGCTAAAATGTCCCTTTGGCCATTGGTTTTTAGTACTAACTTTTCCAGATTTTATGAGCCTAAGTTTAAATATGTCATCGAGATCTCTATTGTGTCACATTAGCCTTGCAGATTCTTGTTGAGCCGGCACCTTACTGGTCTTATTTTTATAACTTTATAACTTATTTTTATAACTTTATGGTATATCACAGTATCTGATATGCTTAATCATTCTTCTTTGCTTTTTTTTAAAGAGTTAATTATTCAAAACATTCTGTATCTCATAAATTTTTGAATCAATGTATTGAGTTTCTCAAAAACTCCAGTGGGAATTTCGATGGAAATGACTTGAATCTATAGATTAATTTAGGAATAACTAACATGTTTCTATTTTTAGCTCATCGTAACCATGTGCAAGAAATATCTTTTGTTTTAGAAAACTGTCAGTCACTTTAAAAAGTTACTTTTAACGTTGATTGTGTGTTTATGTTTATTTTTTCGCTGTTTGTAATAAAGAATCCAACCCTAATTGTTTAATGTCTGACTCCGGAGACAGCTTTTTTTTTTTTTTTGAGACGGAGTGTTGCTCTGTCGCCCAGGCTGGAGTGCAGTGGCGCGATCTCGGCTCACTGCAAGCTCCGCCTCCCGGGTTCACGCCATTCTCCTGCCTCAGCCTCCCGAGTAGCTGGGACTACAGGCGCCCGCCACCACGCCCGGCTAATTTTTTGTATTTTTTAGTAGAGACGGGGTTTCACCGTGTTAGCCAGGATGGTCTCGATCTCCTGACCTCGTGATTCTCCCGCCTCGGCCTCCCAAAGTGCTGGGATTACAGGCGTGAGCCCCCGCGCCCGGCCTGAGACAGCTTTTTAAGCCTCGTTCCTTCTTCTTAGCCTTGAGCCTCATTTCTGGGCAAGCTTAGAAAAAAACCTGGTGCTCTCTCCTTTGGCACCAGTTGGGGTTTCAAGCCAGGCAACCACCTACTGATGTACGGAATTCCTCACCCAGGCGGCCTCACTCCCTATATGCAATACAAAACCCTAGCCAAGCCAGGTGCAGTGAGTGGTGTGTACCTGTTGTTCCAACTACTCAGCAGCTGAGGCAGGAGGACTGCATGAGCCCAGGAGTTCCAACCTAGCCTGGGCAACATAGTGAGACCCTGTCGGTATTAAAACAAAGCAAAACAACAACAACATCAACAAAAACAACCTAGCCAGTCTCCTCCCTTTCCCCACTCTCTCAAATCACTTTAAGTCCAGTTTGGGGAGCCTGCCACGCTGTCCCCCAAGATCTCTGCTATGCGAGTGATAAACATTTCACGCCCTCTCAGTTTGAGTGTGGCAACAGCCAAACCAGATTTTGGATGAGGGTCCATCTTCTTTCTGCAGAGCAACAGCAACAATATTTAATTATATTTTACTTTTATTATGGTCTTATATTTTGTAAAGTATTATATTTTTTAGTAGTTTTACTTTTGCAGAGAAATATTTGGTTTTGGAAATTGACCAAAATCTGACATTTTGCCAAACTCTTGTTGTTTTAATAATGTATTTGTTTATTATCTTATTTTTTTCTATTCAAATTATCATGTGATCTAACATAACAATAGATTTATCTGTTCCTTTCTAATCCTGACACCTGACAATTCTATTCTTTTCCTAGATTATTATCTAGAATCTCCAAAATGACATTAAATTAACATGGCTCTAGTGGGCATTTTCACCTTATCCTGATCTTAAAGAGAGGGCATGTAAAGGTTCTCTGTTAAGCATGTGTATGCTACAGATTTTATATGCTATATATATTTTTGGAATGTAACATCTTCCAAGATTAAGAAGTTTCCTTCTATTTCTAATTCGCTGCGTTACTTTTTAAATCTTCTTTTATGTTTAATTTTTGTGGGTACATAGTAAGTGCATGAGATGTTTTGATACAGACATGCAATGTGAAATAACCACATCATGGGGAATGGGGTATCCATCCCCTCAAGCATTTATCCTTTGTGTTACAAACAATCCAATTACATTATTTTAGTTATGTTAAGATGTACAATTAAGTTATTATTGACTATAGTCACCTGGTTGTGCTATCAAATAGCAGGTCTTGTTCATTCTTTCTATTTTGTGTACCCACTAACCATTTTTACCTCCCCCCCAACTCCCCACTCCCCTTCCCAGCTTTTGGTAACCATCTACTCTATGTCCACGAGTTCAACTGTTTTGATGTTTAGATCCCACAAGTAATTGAGAACATGTGATGTTTGTCTTTCTGTGCCTGGCTTATTTCATGCCACATTTCTTTATATACAGCAGGCTGTACAGTATTCCATTGTGTATATATGCCACATTTTCTTTATTCATTGATCTGTTGATAGACACTTAGGTTACTTCCAAACCATAGCTATTGTGAACAGAGCTGTAACAAACACGGGAGTGCAGATATCTCTTCCGTATACTCATTTCTTTTCTTTTGGGAATATACCCAGCAGTGGGATTGCTGGATCATATGGCAGCTCTATTTTTAGTTTTTTGAGGAAGCTCAAAACTGTTCTCCATAGTGGTTTAACTAATTTATATTCCCTTCAACAATGCACAAGGGTTCCCTTTTCTCCACATCCTTGCCAGCATTTGTTATTGACTGTCTTTTGGGTATAAGCCATTTTAACTGGGGTGAGATGATATCTCATTGTAGTTTTGATTTGCATTTCTCTAATGACTAGTGATGGGGAGCACCTTTTCATATACCTGTTTCCCATTTGTATGTCTTCTTTTGGGAAATGTCTATTCAAATCTTTTGCCCATTTTTTGATTGGATTATTAGTTGTTGTTCTTTTTTTTTTTTTCCTATGGAGTTGTTTGACCTTCCTGTATGTTCCGGTTATTAATCTCTTGTCAGATGGGTAGTTTGCAAATATTTTCTCCCATTCTGTGGGTTGTCTCTTCACTTTGCTGTCTGTGTTCTTTGCTGTGCAGAGGCTTTTTAACTTAATGTGATCCATTTGTCCATTTTTGCTTGGGTTACCTGTGCTTGTGGGGTATTGCTCAAGAAACTTTTGCCCAGACCAATGTCCTGGAGATTTTCCCCCAATTTTTTTGTAGTAGTTTCACAGTTTGAGGTCTTAGACTGAAGTCTTCACTCCATTTTGATTTGATTTTTGTATGTGGTGAAAGATAGTTTTCCAGTTTTATTCTTCTGCATAGGGATATCCAGTTTTCCCAGCACCAATTATTGAAGAGACTGTCTTTTCCCCAGTGTATGCTCTAGGCGCCTTTGGTGCAAATGAGTTCACTATAGGTGTGTGGATTTATTTCCGGGTTCTCTATCCTATTCCATTGGTCTGTTTGTCTGTTTTTATGCCAGTACCATGCTATTTTGGTTACTATGACTCTGTAATATAATTTGGAGTCAGGTAATGTGATTCCTCTAGTTTTGTTCTTTTTGCTTAGGATAGCTTGGCTATTCTGGGTGTTTTGTGATTTCATTTAATTTTAGGTTTGTTTTTCTATTTCTGTGAAGAATGTCATTGATATTTTAATAAGAATTGCACTGAATCTTTGCAATTGCTTTGGGTAGTATGGCCATTTAAAAAATATTGATTCTTTCAATCCATGAGCATGAAATATTTTCCATTTTCTGTTGTCTTCTTTAATTTATTTCCTTGGTATTTTATGGTTTTCATTGTAGTTTTTTTTTTCACTTCTTTGGTTAAGTTAATTCCTAGGTATTTAATTTTATTTGTGGCTATTGTAAATGAGATTACTTTTTAAATTTCTTTTCAGATTTTTTACTGTTGGCATTAGGAAAGCTACTGATTTTTGCCTGTGGATTTTGTATCCTGCAACTTTACTGAATTAGTTTATCTGTTCTAATAGTTGTTTTGCGGTGTCTTTAGCTTTTGCAATAGTTGAGTAAGTTTTTAATATCATAAAAAATTTTTGAACTTTTCAGAATCTTTCTTTGAATCTGTTCAGATAAGCGTATTTTTTTTCCTGCATTCCAACATGGTATGTTCCACTGACAGATTTTCTAATGTGAATTCTGCTTGCAGTTCTTAGTTAAATGAAATTTTGGCCTGTAGTGTATTCATTGCCATCCATTTCTAAGTATTTATAATCCTCAAAATTATTTTAAATCTAAGAATCATTTTTCCAAAATATGTAAAATTTTAGCAGGAATATATTGTATTACATTTAAAAAACAGTCTGTATGACACTGGTTCGTTGGAATTGGTGGAAGATTTTCCTTTGTGGCCTAAATAATGCATATGTTACCAGATCATTTAATGTCTCTATCCCAGGTGTAGTGTTCAGATTGGCTCAAGTTTTCATTTTAAGTGATGTTTTAATTTTAAATACAACTCTTTGTATAGTTATTTTTGTGGTTGCTCTAGGGATTACAATATATATACTGAATCTTTAAAAGTCTATTTAGAATAAAAATTGTACCTGCTTAAGTGCAGTATAGAAACCTTTATAGGTCCCTTTAAACTTTTTTTTTTTTTTTTTTTTTGGTATATTAGCCCATATATTTTCTGTGTTGTACAGACTCATTTAATCTAAAATAGTTCTTGTTGAATTCTGGGAAATTTGTTCTAATTTTATCACAGAACTTATTTCCTGGGGAGTTTTCTTTTTTTGCACTTCTGTTATTTCCTATTTTCCAGATGTTGTCACTTACATATTTTCTCTCTCTTTGCTATTCCTAACTCCTGATTCTTCGGTGCTGCTTTTGAGACTCCAGTATGATCTTCCAGGCCACTCACTTGTTCTTCAGTCATTTACATTCTATTTATTCCTCTCCACATGTTCTTTCTTAAAACAGTTTCATATTTTATAACTGATACTTTGTCATATTCTTTTTTATGTCATTTCATCCCATGCTACTAATATTCTCTTGTGTCTTTGATATATTTATTTTGCCTCTTTTACTTTATTGCTCCATCTTTGTCAGTAATTTCACTTCATGTCAAAAATGTTATCTGGTTTTTCCTTTTTAATTCTAGAAGTACTTTTTAGATGTCCAGTAATTCTGTGTGAGGCAGCAGCTGACCTGCCTGGTGACAGGTGTCGGAGGAAGGTTAAAGGCCAGGCCTCAGGACACATTGATGTGTCCTTCCACAACAATGGCACTTTTTTTTTTTTTTTTTTTTTACTATCAGTTATAGTTTTTCTGCCTTCAGTTATGGATTTGTCTTTCCCTTGTTTACTTGCCTTAGTTTTCTTATTTTAAACGACTCTTTCAGCATAAGAAATACAGTGCCTTGTACATAGTAATCAATACATAATTATGATTTCTATTGTTACCATTAACAATAAGGTTTAATTCTGCATATGAATATCCAATTGTTCCAACACCTTTTGCTGAAAAGCTTGTTCTTTGTCAAGAATGATTTACTGTATTTCTGGAGTCACTGTTTTATTCAATTGACCTATATGTCTCGCCCTTTCACCAATACTATACTGTCTAGGTTGGTTTACTGTGGATTTATAGTAATTCTAAAAATGTTAAGGGTGAATCATCATTCACCATTGTATGATGATGGTGAAGGGTGAAGATGTTGATGATTTTTTTCTCAAAACATACTTGATGCATTTATACCTTAGGAACTTTGAACTTTGTATTGCCTCTGTTTTCCCACAAATCTCATGGTTAACTTCTTCCATGCCTCGGGTTCCAACTAAAAATTTGTTCTCTATGGAAATTTTTCTTTTCTTTTTTTTTTTTTAATACAGGGTCTTACAGTGTTGCCAAGGCTAACATGCAGTGGCACAATCTTGGCTCACTGCTGCCTTGACCTTCTGGGCTCAAGCAATCCTCTCACCCCAGCCTACTGAGTAGCTGGACTACAGGCATATGCCACTATGCCCTGTTCATTTTGTTTATTTTACTTTATTCTTTTTTGAGACAGGGTCTTACTCTGTTGCCTAGGCTGGAATGCAGTGGTGCTATCTTTGCTCACTGCAGCCTCGGCCTCCTGGACTCAAGTGATCCTCCCACCTTAGTCTCCCAAGTAGGTGGAACCAGACCTGCACTACAAAACCCAGCTAATTTTTGTATTGTTTTTTAGAGACAGTGTCTCACTATGTTGCCCAGGCTGGTCTCAGACTCCTGGACTCAAGCAATTTTCCCACCTAGGCCTTTCTAAATGCTGGGATTACAGGCATGAGCCTCCGAACCTAGCCAATGAAACTTATTTTTTTGCATCCTATTTAATATGGCTTCTCTCACATGATTTTCTATTATAATATTTTATTTTAATTTTGTTACTGGATATACCACAATTGGAAATTATCTTTATTGTTTGTTTTCTGTCTCCTTCACTAAAATTTAAACAGTGGTTCAGTAACCACGTTAGCTACTATTGGAGCAGAAACCAGGGCCTAAGCTTATCTAATACGATGTGTATTACTTTTTAAAAATGTGTGTACATTTCTTTAAATATTATTTCTTGATTTTCACAAAATGCTAGTCAAGATATCTTAAATAGACAGAGTTTGGGAACATGCTTATTAAAGGACTTTTAGACCTTAGCAATAATCATGAAGATTACCTTTTATCCTTCTTTGTGTTTTTTTTTTTTTCAGGAACGCAGTCAAAGAACACAGAACATTTTATGCCATTTATGAAACCAGGTACGTCCATGATGCCTGCATTTTATCAATGAAAGGTTTTCACTTCTTACTAATGCTATGAGTATTAGTAGTGATTGTAATATAAGTCTATAACTTATTTTATGTATTTTGTTGTTGAAATGCTTGTCTAAATTATGTTAAGGAATACATAGAGAGAGACTAAAAGAATATAATGATGAAATAGTATCACCTTAACTTGTGTAATTTTGCTATAATTTTAAATGAAAGTTTTGTTGAATTCTATCAGGGCATCTGATTCTAGGACTAAGTGTATGCAAGTTTGAAATCAAGTGATTTAGCATGGGAAGGAGCTTCAGACGTCCTCATCTGCCATGTTTCGAAAGGTAGCCCACGAAGTTTAGGCTTGTCCAAGATCACACAGCTACTCAGAAGAGGAGTTAAAAAAAGAAAACATGTTCCTTACCTTTATCACCATGCTCTCACATTGCTCCACAATGACTGGCAAAAAAAAAAAAAAATGCCCATGTAATTATTTTGTGCATATAAAATCATATTCTCCAACTGATATTCTCTTAGAAAGAAACAAACTGACAACAAAATCTTGCAGTAACTGTTTAGAAGTCATATATTTAAAGAAAACTAATCATGTAATACTTTCCTTTAATCTTTAAAGATTCAGCTACACTACAATTTCACAGTTAAGACTTCTCTAGATACCAACCACTCCCAACCTCCAAACCAAATCAGCTAACATTCCAGCCAAAGTTCATTCTTCTCTGGGCCCATTATTTTTTAATGTTCAAAGCTTTTCTATGTAAAAATATAACCGCTCCTTCCTTCCTATTTTCTTTCCTTCCTTCCTTCCTTTCATATACCCAGTCTCAGTACTGTAATATAAACTATAGTAGTTGTTAAATATTATTGGTAGAATTCATAATTTATTATTAAACATAATTCTAGTTTATCATTTTTGCATATATATAATTTTATTTACTCATCCACATGTGAGCATCAAGAAATGCTCCAATGGATATCTGAAAATCAAATATATTCCTGTCTGTAACCTTCCTCCTCATAATGACGTGGGTCAACTCCCCTGACCATATGGCAACTCCAGTTTTAGCCATCAAGTTTACTGGCATGAGAAACCCAAAGTGACCAAGCAACAATAGCTTCATTGTTATTGAGGTTATTAACGTGCCCACTTGTGGGAGTGTCCCTTTTCTGAGAACCAGGACAAGTATACCCAAAATATTGATGTTTTTTATTATTCACTATTAACATTAGGGTTCACACTTTGTGTTGTAAATTCTACAGCATTTGAAAAATGTGCAATGACATATCTGTACTTGAGAACAAGTATAGTATAATAGTAACATATTCTGTGTGTATTATAGTATCATACAGAGTAGTTTCACTGCCCTAAACACCTCCTGTTCTTAATCTATTCAACCCTCCTTCCCTCCCCCTGAAGCTTTAAGAACCATTAATCTCTTCTTCCTGTCTCCATCATTTTGCCTTTCCAGAATGTCATATAGTTGAAACCCTACAGCACGTACCCTGCCAAGACTGGGTTCTTGTGCTGAGCAGTATGCATTTAAGAACATTCCATGAATTTCTGTGACTTTATAGCTTATCCCTTTTTATCTCTGAGTAATCTTTAATAATATGAATGTGCCACAGTTTGTTTAGACCCTCAATTATTGAAGGATATCTTGGCTGCTTTCAAGTTTTGACAATTATGGATAAAGCTACTATAAACTTTCGTGTGCAGATTTTTGTGTGGACATACATTTTCAACTCAAATTAATAAATACCAAGAAGCATGATTGTGGATTAAATGGTTTATTAGTCTGTTTTCATGCTGCTAATAAAGACATGCCTGAGACCAGGTCATTTATAAAGGAAAGAGATTTCATTGACTCAGTTCCACATGGCTAGGTAGGGCTCATAATCAAGGCAAAAGGCGAATAAGGAGCAAAGTCATGTCTTACATGGCAACAGGCAAGACAGCTTGTGCAGGGAAACTCCCATTTATAAAATCATCAGATCTCATGAGACTTACTCACCACAAGAATAGTATGGGGGAAACCACCCCCATGATTCAATTATCTCCACTTGGCACAACCCATGGTACATGGGGATTATTACAATTCAAGATGAGATTTGGGTGGGGACACAGCAAAACCATATCAAATGGTAAGAGTATCTTTAGTTTTATAAGAAACTGCCAAACTGTCTTTCAAAGTGGCTGGACTACTTTGCCTCCCAGCCAGCAATGAATGAGAGTTTCTGTTGCTCTATGGCTCAGTCAGCATTTGGTATTGTCAGTGTTTTCAATGTAGCCAATCTAATAGGTGTGTAGGGGCATAGCATTTATGTTTTATTTGTAATTCCCTGAGGACATGTGATGTTGAGCATCTTTTCATATGCTTATTTGCCATCCATGTTTCTTCTTTGGTGAGGTGTCTATTCAGGTCTTTTGCCCAATTTTGTTTATTTTTATTTTTGTTTTATTTTAAATTCTGGGATACATGTGTAAGATGTCCACATTTGTTACAAAGGTAAATGTTAGCCATGGTGGTTTGCTGCACCTATCAACCCATCAACTAGGTATTAAGCTTAGCATCCATTAGCTTGCTGTCCCTCCTACCCCCTCCCCCAGATAGGCCCCAGTATGTGTTGTTCCCCTCTGTGTCTATGTGTTCACATTGTTCAGCTCCCACTTACAAGTGAGAACATGCGGTGTTTGCTTTTCTTTTCCTGCATTAGTTTGCTGAGGACAGTGGCTTCTAGCTGATCTATGTCCCTGCAAAGGATGTGATCTCATTCTTTTTATGGCTGCATAGTATTCCACAGTGTATATGTATCACATTTTCTTTATCCAGTCTATAATTGATGGGCATTTGGGTTGATCTTCTGTCTTTGCTATTGTGAATAGTGCTGCAGTGAACATACATGTGAGTGTATCTTTATAATAGAATAATTTATATTCCTTTGGGTATATACACAGTAATGGGATTCTTGGGTCAAATGGTATTTCTTGTTCTAGGTCTTTGACGAATTGCCACACTGTCTTCCACAACGGTTTAACTAATTTACATTCCTATTAACAGTGTAAAAGTGTTCCTATCTCTCCACAGCCTCACCAACATCTGTTGTTTCTTGACTTTGACTTTTTAATAATTGCCATTCTGCCTGGCATGAGATGGTATCTCATTGTGGTTTTAATTTACATTTCTCTAATGCTCAGTGATGTTGAGCTTTTTTTCATATGTTTGTTGGCCACATAAATGTCTTCTTTTGAGAAGTGTCTGTTCATGTCCTTTGCCCACTTTTTAATGGTGTCATTTGTTTTTTTCCTGTAAATTTGTTTAAGCTCCTTGTAGATTCTGGATATTAGACCTGTGTCAGATGGATAGATTGCAAAAGTTTTCTCCCATTCTGTAGGTTGTCTGTTCACTCTGATGATAGTTTCTTTTGCTGTGCAGAAGCTCTTTAGTTTAATTAAATCCCATTTGTCAATTTTTGCTTATTTTTTTTGCAATTGCTTTTGACATTTTCATTATGAAATCTTTGCCCATGCCTATGTCTTGAATGGTATTGCCTAGATTTCCTCCTAGGGCTTTTATAGTTTTGGGTTTTACATTTAAGTATTTAATCCACCTTCAGTTAATTTTTGTACAAGGTGTAAGTAAGGGGTCCAGTTTCAATTCTCTGCATATGGCTAGCCAGTTCTCCCAATACCATTTATTAAATAGAAGACCCTTTCTCCATTGCTTGTTTTGTCAAGCTTGTCAAAGATCAGATGGTTGTAGGTGTGCAGTCTTATTTCTGAGCTCTCTATTCTGTTCCAGTGGTCTATGTGTCTGTTTTTGTACAAGTGCCATGCTGTTTTGCTTACTGTAACCTTGTAGTATAGTTTGAAGTTGGGTAGCATGATGCCTCCAGCTTCGGTCTTTTTGCTTGTGAATGTCTAATTCTGTGAAGAATGTCAATGGTAGTTTAATGGGAATAGCATTGAATCTATAAATTACTTTGGTTTTGTCCAATTTTTAATTGGGACATTTGTTTTTCTGTTGTTGAGTTTAAGGGTTTTTTTGTTTGTTTAATAGTTTGGAAATCAGTACTTTAACACATGTGTTTTGCAAAGATTTTCTGCCAGTCTGTGGCTTGTCTTTTCATCCTCTGAACAACGTCTTTCATGGGGCAGAAGTTTTTAATTTTAATGAAGTTTGACTTACCAATTTTTTGTCATTAATAGTGCTTTTTGTGTTGTATCTAAAAAGTCAACACCAAACCTGAGGTTGCCTAGGTTTTCTCCTACATTATCTTCTAAATGTTTTTGCATTTTACATTTAGGTGTATGATCCATTTTTAGTTAACTTTTATGAATTTTTATGAAGGTATGAGATCTCTCCCCCTCTCTCTCCATATCTATATCTATATCTATGAGGCATATGTATATATGAGGCGCATATATATATGAAGCACATATATATATGAGGCATATATATATATACACATATCTTTGCATGTGGATGTGCAATTGTTTCAGCACCATTTGTTAAAAATTCTATCCTTCGTGCATTGAATGGCCTTTGCTATTTCATCAAAGATCTGTTGACTCCACTTGTGTGAGTCTGTTTCTCAGGTCATTGTTCTGTTCCCTATATACATTTATGAATTCTTTCACCAATACCACACCCTTTTGATAATTGTAGCTTTATGGGAAGTCTTTTATTTTTAACTTTTATTTTAGGTTCAGGGATACATGTGCAGGTTTGTTATAAAGGGAAACTCATATCATGGAGTTTGTTGTACAGATTATTTCATCACCCAGGTACTAAGCCTAGTACCCAGTAATTGTTTTTCTTGGTCTTCTCCCCTCCCACCCTCCACCTTCAGGTAGGTCCCCGGTGTCTGTTGTTCCCCTCTATGTGTCCACGTGTTCTCATCATTTAGCTCCCACTTACAAGTGAGAACATGTGGTACTTGATTTTCTGTTCCTGCATTAGTTTGCTAAGGGTAATGACCTCCATCCATGTTCCTGCAAAGGACATGGTCTTATGGCTGCATAGTATTCCATGGGGTATACGTACCACATTTTTTAAATCCAAACTACCATTGAGGGGTACTTAGGTTGATTCCATGTTCTTTGTATTGTGAATAGTGCTACAGTGAATACACAAGTTCATGTGACTTTATAATAGAATGATCTATAATGCAATGGGATTACCGGGTCAAATAGTAGTTCTGTTTTTAGCTCATTGAGAAATCACCATACTGCTTTCCACAATGGTTGAACTAGTTTATACTCCCACCAACAGTGTATAAGTAACCGCTTTTCTCTGCAAACTCACCACCATTATTTTTTGACTCAGAGCCATTCTGACTAGTGTGAGACAGTATCTCACTGTAGTTTTTATTTGCATTTCTCTAGTGATCACTGACATTGAGCTTTTTATCATATGCTTGTTCACTGCATGTATGTCTTCTTCTGAAAAGTGTCTATTCATGTGCTTTGCCTACTTTTTAATGGGGTTGTTTTTTTCTTGTCAATTTGTTTTAAGTTCCTTCAGATTCTGAACATTAGACCTTTATCAGATGCATAATTTGCAAAAAAATTTTCCCATTTTCTAGGTTGTCTGTTTACTCTGTTAATAGTTACTTTTGCTGTGCAGAAGCTCTTGAGCTTAATTAGATTCCATTTGTTAAGTTTTACTTTTGTTGTGATTGCTTTTGGTGTCTTTATCATGAAATCTGCTGGTTCCTGTGCCAAGAATGATATTGCCTAGGAGCTTTTGGAATGAGACTATGGGGTTTCCTAGATATAGGATCATATCATCTGCAAACAGGGATAGTTTCACTTCCTCTCATCTTGTTTAGATGCCGCCCCTTATTTCTTTCTCTTGCCTGATGGCCATGGCCAGGACTTCCAATGCTATGTTGAATAGGAGTGGTGAGAGAGGGCTTCCTTGTCTTGGGCTGGTTTTCCAGGGGAATGCTTTATAAGAAGTCTTGAAGTTGGGTAGTGTCAGTCCTCTGACTTTGTTTTTCTCCTTCAGTCTTTTGTTGGCTATTTTGGCCCTCTTGCCTTTCCATATAAACTTTAGAATTAGTTAGTCAACATTTAGAAAACAATTTGCTGGAATTTTGATTGGTATTATGTTTAATCTATAGATCAACTTAGAAAGAACTGACATCTTGGCAGTGTTGAGTTTTCCTGTTCATGCACCTGAAATATCTCTCTATTTAGATCTTTGATTTATTTCATTGAGGTTGTAGTTTTGTAGTTTTCCTCACATAGATCTTCTACATGTTAGATTTATCCCTAAGTATTTCATTTTTATGCCAATGATCAAATAGTTTTAAGTTATATTATCCTTTTATTGTTTACCATAGATATTATAGTAGGCATTCTTTTAGTAGAGTCTCATATGAATTATAATTGTCCTACTTCATAATTATCATTAATTTTAATTCTACATACATTTTAAACCCTACAAGTTGTTATAATTAGCTTAGAAGTATGTTTTACACATTCAATATTCATTTAGATTTACTGACATATTTACTACTCGTGCAGTTCTTAATTTTTTTATACACTACCATGTTTCTCTTAGCAAGTATATTATCTATGGGAAGGACTCCTTTCAGTATCTCTTAGTGCAAGTGTACTGACAGCAATTTCTCTAAGTTTTTTGTCTGATATGTCTTTATTTTTCCTTCAAAAGTGAAGCATGTTTTCACTGAGAATAGAATTATTTGTTAGCATGTACTTTCTTTCATCACTTTAAAGATCAGATTCCAGTGCCTTCTTTGTTGTTCTTTTTCTGTTAAGAAGTCAATTACCGTCAGTCTTACTGCTGCTCTTTGAAGTTAATTTGTGCATTTTGGGGATGTGTGTACAATTTTTCTTTTATTCTGATTTCCAAAACTTTTACTACAGTGTCATTTTCTTTTTTTTTTTTTTTAGATGCTTTGGTTTCATAGTTCCTGTGAATTTGTGGCTTAATCTCGTTTTACCAATTTTAGAAATGCCTTCTTAGCCATTATCTCTTCAAATATTGCTTCCACACCATTAGATCTGTTCTCCCCTCCTGGAACTTTAATTAGAACCATGTTACACCTATTTCATCATAGTCTTAGGTATTTTATTCTCTTTTCTGTGTCTCCATACTTCATTTTTTTTTTTTTCCATACTTCTGTCTGGTTATTTCTTACTGACCTATCTTCCACGTAACCATTTCTCTCTTCATTGTATCTGATCTGCCATTTGGCCCATAGTTTGTGTTCTTAATTTGCCATTGTATTTTTTATTTTCCATTTAATTAGCTCATACAGATTTTCATTCTTGGAAGTCTTTTTCTATCTTGTCATCTATGTCAAGTATATTAATCAAAGTTTTGTTAAAGTCTGCATCTGATAACTCTAATATCTGGATCACCACGGTTACAATTTTATTGCTAGTTTTTTAGGTTCTAGGTCCTGGTATGTTTTTTAAATTTGATTTAATGCCAGAGATGTGCTTTAAAATATAAAAATCCTAGATCAATACTGTGCAATAGAACTTTCTATGGAGATGGAAATGTTCTATGTGTATGCTGTCTGATATGGTAACTATTAGCCACATGGAGCGTTTGAACGGTTGAATTATGATTAGTGTGACTGAGGAAGTAATTTTTAATTTTATTTACTTTTAGTAAATTTAAATGTAAATAGCCACATGTGGCTTGGGGCTGACATTGGTCAGCACAGTTCTAGATGAAGTTTCTTTGCTCTCTCTGGTTACCCTGCCTCTTAGTTTGTCGTTCCCCAGGGTCATGCACGAAAGCCCAGCATGAGAACCTGGGCCTCTCCACCTTGCCCAGTTCCGAATCCCAGTTTTTGTTTCCTAGAATGATGGGAACCCTGGTGGTTCTCCTCAGCCTTCCAGCCTGTCACGACCTGCCAGCTGCTCAGCTTCTCTGCCTCTTGGCCTGTGCTGCTCAGGAACTGGCAAAGGGCTTAGGAGAGTAACAGGTCAAACTCTTGAAATCACTTTTCTGCACTTCTTTTTTCCCGGATCTTGGCCTCCCAGGCCCTGGCTGTGTGGCAGCCCTGATCCTCCATTTTCATCTCATCAGGCCTGCCAGCCTAACGAAAGCTCTCCTCAGCCTCGCGCCCTCCGCAGCTGCTTTCTGTTCAGCTTCACAGCCTCTGCCCCACACAGCGAACGAATCATCAACTGGGCTGCCTTAGTGCAGACGCTGAGATAAATGTTACAGTAAAAGTCACTTATTTGGAGGCTTCAAGGGACACTGGTCATGGCATGGGGAAGTGATAGAGAGGGGAGGGCAGCTAATAAATTTATTTCATTAAGCCAGTTACCACGGGAAGCAACTGGAGCTGAGCCCTTCAAGGAAACTCTGGAAAATGGCTCAAAACACCTGTCTCACATTTGTCATACTTCATTTTTGAGGGATCTAGGGGGTTTTGTACCGACTCCCAAGGGCTGCGTTGGGAGGGAGGTGGTGTCTGTATCCCCCACCCTACCCCCACCTCATATCCAGCCTGCCACCACTTAGAAGAGCCTTCTAAACTTCCCCAAACCCCAAATTGTCACGCACTGAGATGCACACACAGACATTGGAGGTCTACTGGAGCATACCCAAAGGCTGCCAGCTGCAGCACAGCAAACGTGACACAGAAGGTCGGGTTCACCTCAATGAATTTGTTTTCCTTCCAACATTTCAGTCTCTTCAGTCCTGGCTACTTTAAGAGCTCTCAAACGCCCTCATACATACATAGTTTGTTTTTTTTTTTTTCTATTTTTATCCATTTATTTTCTTCTTGTTCTAAGTGGGAAGATTAGTCTTCCAGAAAGTTAGTCAGTCATAGCTGACAAGTGGAAAGCTAGGTTGTTATATTTTGGACACTAAAAGTATGTTAATGAATGATTTATGGGCCTGAACACCAAAATATCTTTTTATTGATTTGGAATTTGGATAACTGTTATCCAATTTGTACCAGTGAAATGAGAGTATTTTAAAGGCCATCAAGCAATTCTCAACAAACGCGGACCCACTGGAGACCGACTTCCTCATCTCAGTGACCTACTGATGTACGTCCCTTCCAATTAAACGTCTCTCCTACTGTGTTTGTTATTTTTTCATATGTGATTATCTATGAAAAATTAAAGAAACAGAGTAAAGTCTTCCAGTATCATCCTTCCACACAGTTCATGGATGGAATCACTTTGAGAACAAAATGGAAATTGCTAAGCGGGGGAGGAGTCCTCCCTGATCTGTAGTGTTCATGCTTGCAGAATTGTAATGTTCCTGGGCTTGCTTCCAGGCCACAGTCAGGCCCTGTTGCTGAGAAATCCTGGCCTCTAACTTGTTGAGAGCTCAGTTTCCCTTTTGGGTACTGACGTTGGTGTCAGTTCTCGTGCTCTCTGAAGCATCTGCCACATCTTGGCTGTGTTTTACCACTGATTGACAACTGTCAATGTACATCGTCTCTCGGCATCCCTGGAACTCCCACTTAGGTACTTCCTTGTTCCCCAGACGGGCTGCCCCCCACCTCCTGCCCCATGCTCTGTGCACAATTCTATCAGCACAGACCATGCCAAGCAGTAGGATGTGCATCAGGGGTGCAGAAGTGGAGAGTTTCTGTGGACTGTCAGAGGCCACCGGGCAACAGGCAAGCAGCCGCCTTCATAGCAAGTTCAGGGAATGTGGACTAAGGAAGGAGGAATTTGAAGGAACAGCTTCCACCAAGCATTTTTGGTCATACATACTAACAGTAAAATATAATTCAATTCTACCCATGTATACATTATGCTTTTTGTAAAACGCATTAATGCAAATGAGATTTTTTTAATGTCCAAAAAAAAAAAAAGAGCTCTCATTTTCTACCTCCAGCGGACCATTTTAATGACCTCTTGGGGAAATCATTAACGTAGACAAGAAGAAAGCCAGGTACCAGGAAACCCAAAGGCACTGCAACTGGAAAAATGCCATTGTAAAAGCAACCCAAGGTCAGTCCTTGGGGTAGAAGTGACAACAGGCTGAGAGACCAGTGTGTGCCAAGTTCCACAGGATGCAATCACTGAACTAGCTTCCCCCAGGACAGAATCCAATTTCAGAGGAGCTTAACTAAGCCCTGTAAGCAGAATGGTTAATGAGCAGCTTCGAATTGAAGTGGAATATGTAGAGAATTAGTGTCGTTTCCAGTGAGAAAAACCAAAGAGATCCTGAGCTTGCACTGAGTTAGTTTCTTTGCCTTCAAAACCTTACATTCAATGCAAGATACACTCCACTGTGCAGATATATTTGTATCTGTTTTCCAACACTGAACATCAGGGTGGATTTTCTATCTATTGGGGTGCAATTCAATCTCATTTTACTTACAGCAGAAATTAAGTGTAGCATGACTTTTATGTTCCATTGTTTAAATTGAACGAGTCAAAATCTGATATTGGCTCTTGCAGTTAATGCTGAATTGGGAAAAAAAAAAGCAATGGATGGTAGTTGTAAATGTTAGCATAGATTTGCAGGGGAACTTTGCATTTATGCTTCTCCTGTCCAGCGTTTTTCACATCATCTATATTTGGCAGCAATAGTAAAAGTGTGACTAGTACTGTGAAGGTGCCGCCAATATTTGTGTTCCTTTTGATCACCGTCAGTACCTAGTGCAGGATCCCCAGTAGGAGGAGATAGTACAAGGCTCCTTGTCAATCTTCATGCAGGTGGGAGGCACAGTGATGCATGCTGCCACCTGACCCTCCTTCTCATCAAATGGAGAGTATCAGGTGGCTTCCGACTTACGTATCTTTATTCCTGGTACTTATCTATTAACACCATACTCCAGACAAGTTGACATCACCAAGCTCCTGGAGTGAGAACACCTGCAATTATTTTCCAACCAGGGGACTGTAGCCAAGAGAAAGTGGCCTCTGCTCCATTCACAGTCGTATGTGTCTGACCCATCACGACAAGATCCGAGAGAAAATCTGGTCTAAACCTTAGGAGAGTATATTTTGTCCTAGGAGTGTCTGCTTTCCCTTTCCTTGAAAGCTTGTATGCAAATATGTTGTGAATATTAGGCAAAAAAAAAGTGATTATCATCATTTTTGTATCTGGCTTTTTTCCACTTTCTGTCCACCTATAAATTTGGCACCAATAAGTTTGAAAATAAGAGTTCTGGCAGGGTGCAGTGGCTCATGCCTGTAACTCCAGCACTTTAGGGTCCACGCAGGAGGATCAATTGAGGCCAGTAATTTGAGGCCACCCTGGGCAACCTAGTGAGACCCTCAACTGTACAAACATTTTTTTAAAAAAATTAGCCAGCTGTGGTAGTACACACCTGTGGTGATAGCTGCTGGGAAAGCTGAGGCAGGAGGATCACCTGAGCCCAGGATGCTATGAGCTATGATTGTGCCACTGCCCTCCAGCCTGGATGACAGAGCAAGACCCTGTCAAAAAAAAGAAAGAAAGAAAAAAAAAGAAAGGAAAGAAAAAAAAAGAAAGGAAAGAAAGAAAGAAAGAAAGAAAGAAGGAAGGAAGGAAGGAAGGGAAGGGAGGAGAGAAAGAAAGAAAGAGAAAAAGAAAGAAAGGAAAGAAAAAGAAAGAAAGAAACAAAGAAAGAAAGAAGAAAGAAAGAGTTCTGTTGAGTTTATATATTTGAGAGCATTAGGAAACTAGTCACAAAACCATCAGGGTTTTCGTGGGCCTACAGTCAGCCTCCTTTTATTGTCTGGCCCCTGCTGTCTCAGGAATGTGCGGTGGGACAGCTGCAGAAGCCTTTCCCACACAGAGGCAGTCAGGGCGGTGCCGAGTGGCAGCTGTCTGCACGTTCCACCCAGGGACTTTAATGGGCTCAGGGCTGTCATCCCTGTGAGAGGAGCAGCAAACGAGATAAGGCTTCTGGTCACTGAGATTTCTGCCTGGACGTAATTTCCAGAACTTGGCTGAGGAAAGGGGAATCCCAGTCCGGCAGCCTGGTTGAGCTGAGGAGCAGGAGAGGGTCCTCAGAGGCTGAGGTCATCATTACATGGTGCAAGACTCTCAGAGTGGAGGCAGATACACAGAGAAGGAGCTGCAGACACAGGCTTGGGTGCACCTGAGACTGAACATCCATCTGCACGTGAGTAGGGCAAACCTCCACGTGGCCAGGCAAAGAAAAATGTGCAGGAAAGACTAACTACTGGGAAATTAAAAGTAAAAAAGAAAAAAAATCATCAGAGATCACACAGGGCCAAGAATCATTTGAATTCCCCAAATCCAGAGTGGAGAACACTTGAATACATGAGGTTTTCTGTAGGCCCCAGAAAGATGTCCTAGTAATGAGGCGAAACTAGACCTTCAGGAATATGATATGCACCTGAATTCATCATGAAAAAAGCTTAAAAGCCAGTCTTGAAAACATCAAACTTATCCAGAACAGTCACAGGAAACTTCGTAGGCATACAGCAAAGCCCAGACTCAAAAATGTAACATTCACAATATGTGGCATTTCACTGTATGTAAATTATACCTCCATAATAGTTGACTTTAAAGAAATCAAATATTCTCATCTCAACAGACACATTAAAAAATTGGTAAAACTTAATACTAGCTCATTAAAAAGCAAAGAAACATTTAGCAATCTAGCAATAGGAGACAGCATCCTAAAGGCTATGATGGGGCATAAGGCTCTATTAACATCACAGTTAATAAGGAAGCATTAAGCACAACCCCTTTCAATCTTTAACATCTGCTATCAGCATTTGTATTTATTAGAATACTGGAGGTCCTGACCAGCAAAACAAGATAATAGAACAAAATTAAAGATAGAGGGAAATAAGATAAAGAATTAGAACTTCTTACATAGTTACTGGCTGCATATAA
Organism: Homo sapiens; assembly: GCF_000001405.40. Classification (NCBI taxonomy): domain Eukaryota; kingdom Metazoa; phylum Chordata; class Mammalia; order Primates; family Hominidae; genus Homo; species Homo sapiens. The sequence goes on along the minus strand of NC_000015.10, from coordinate 26,803,530 downwards.
AGTCATATATATAATAGCAAAACTGCTCAAACTCGGAGGGTCTAGCTCTAGAATACTTGAGTTCCCCAGCAACAACTAATTAGAAAATTGACTTTATAGTAATCAAGAACTCCAACTTTTTATAGCTGAGTTGTATATCATTCCTAAGCATATGTGAAGACCTTGTGGAGAAGATTAAAATTTTATTGAAAGGCATAGAGAAGACCTAAATAAATGCAGAAATATGTTATGTTCATGGATGGTATTATCGTAAACGTGGCATTTCTTCTCAAAGTGATAGTAAATTCAACATAATTCTAATTATTCAGCAGGGCTCTTTCTAAAACCTGACCTGGTGATACTAAAATTCAAGAGCAGATAAGACAACTGAAGAAGAGGAGAAGTAGCTAGGGACCAATTCAACCACATTTTGGGTGTTACAGCAAAGCTATGGTAAATAAAATGTGGTTCCAGGAAGGTCACTAGGTAATGGACTAGACCAGAAATCCCAAAAATAAAGCAACAGGAGCACAAGAATATGGAGTGTGATAAAGGTGGTGTCATAAATCAGAGAGGAAAATGTGGATTTACTCATTCATGACACTAGGATAACGGGCCATGCATGCAAAAGCAATAAAGCCAGGTCCGTATCTCGTCCCTTACACGGAATTGGCACCAGATGGATAAAGCCAGGTCCGTACCTCATCCCTTATACGGAATACCTCATCCCTTACACAGAATTGGCACCAGAGGGACAAAAGACAAAAAAATGAGGAAATAAATTGTAAAACTTGAATAGAACAAAACACGAGAGAGTATCTCGATGATAGTGGTGGAATAGATGCCTTTCTTGAAGTACGCACACACACACACACACACACACACACACACACAAAAGCACACATTGCAAAAGAGGAGGCTGATAAATCGACTTTGCCAAAAATTACAACTTCTGTAGGAAAAATGTGAAAATACAAGCCCAAAATTCAAATGTCTGCAACCTTCAGTAAGCCATAAATAATATCCAGAATATATATATGTGTGTGTATGTACATATATATATTATACACAAAATGGGCAGCAAATATGAATGATTAGTTCACAAATTTAAAAAAAATCCCAATAACTAATAAGCACATAAAAGTTATTACATTTAATTAATGATAAAGTAAGTGCAAATTGAATAGTAATCTATTACTAGTTCATATTCATTATATTTGTAAAAATTAATGTTTTATCATGCCAAGAGTGTTAATGATGTAGGAAAATGAAAAACCCTTATGTGGAACTGATGACAATAGGTAAGCCTATTGATAACACATTATAATGTATAACAGGTTATGATGTATAAATGGGTACAACAATTTTGGAAACCAATTTGTCAATACTAGTAAATTTAAAGATACAAGTAATAGATGATTCTATTTCTAAAGAAATTTTCATCCACTAAGATTTATGTACTAGGATAGTTATTTCAGCAGTAGGTAATAGTGAAAATAAAAAAAAAATTTAAATCCTAACCTTTTTAATGTAAGGAAATGGATAAACTAAGGAAGCAGTGATAGAAAATTAACACCTTTATCTTGTTGACTCTTCCAGTGCAGAAATAAGATGGATCATTTTATTTCCTTTCCTTTAGCTTTTCCTTTATGTAAGCTTAAGCTTTGTAATTAGGTTCATTCCAAGAAATCTTGTATCTTTTATAGTTATTGTTAATGTAAGACTGTTTGCGAATACATTTTCTAATGGTGTATAGGAAATCTTTTATTTTTCATGTTGGCTTTTTAATGTGGCTACTTTCCTTCCTTCCTTCTTCCTCATTTAGATTAATTTTATTGTTCTTTTAAAGAAAGCATTGACTTGAATATTTATTTAGTTCCCAAATTTCATTCCTTCTAACTGTACAATGAATTGATTCAAGGCAACAATTTTCACATGTGTTTTTTGGGGGAAGGTTAAAATTTATGACATTCTCTTGTTTCTAAATATATAGTTGTTTCAGTTTTCCTTTCTCCTAGTGATTTAATTTTTAGGTGAAGAGATATTTTGGCTATCCTTTAGTTGTTAATATGGAATTTTATCACATTGGTTAGAGCACATTGATTTCTGCTTTAAAAAATTTGTAGACATTTGCTTTTGCATAATGTCTTTCCTGTGACTGGTCTGTATGTGTTTGCAAAATTTCTGTTGGTTAAATATACGTACATTATCGTATTAGGTTATTTTTTTCTCCAAGCTAGTTAAACTTGTTATAAAAATCTCTTATATTCTTATTTATTCTGAAAGAGTTGTATTAATATCTCTCACTAATTTTGTGGGTTTGTCAATTTCTCCTTACATTACTATTTATCTTTATCATTTACTTTATATACATATATTAACATCATTAGAGAAATAAAAGAGGAAATAGAACCTGCATTACAAGAGTATGTTGCAGATTACTCATTTCCAAGATGTCCATATATTGCTTATGTTTTAGAAAGACCATTAGTGATCTTGGAAATAAGGCATAAAATTATCCAAATTTAAAAGTAATAAAAGTGGCTGGGCATGGTGCCTCATGCCTGCAATCCCAGCACTTTGGGAGGCCAAAGTGGGAGGATGGCTTGAGCCCAGGAGTTCAAGATCAGCCTGGGTAACATAGTGAGATCCTGTCTGTACATCTCTACAAATACTTTTAAAAATGAGCTTGGTGTGTATGGTGGCATGTGCCTGTAATCCCAGCTACTCAGGAGGCTGAGGTGAGAGGATTCCCTGAGCCCAGGAGTTTGAGGTTGCAGTGAGCTGTGATTGTGCCAGTGCACTCTGGCCTGGGCGACAGAGCAAGACCTCATCTCCAGAAAAAAAATAAAAATAAAAAAGAATAATTTGTATATCGAAAGTGTACATTGAAAAAGTCAAGAATATACACTAAAATAATAATGATATTATTTTGTGTTGGGAACAAGAGCAATCTTATATTCTTTTTTATTTTCCAAAATGATACTTATTATTTGTATAATTTTAAAAAGACTAAATAAGGGCAAGTTTGTGTAAAATGATAGGGGAACTATATGCATTGTTAATAATTAGTTTTAATGGATAATATTTTGCATTTCATTTCTTGTCTTTGAATTATAAATAAAGTGATATACATTTTAATATTTGATCATGCTTAGGGTACTGGCATGAACTACATGAAGAAGCCTACAGTAACACTAAACAGTCATACTGATGGAGAATATTTTGAACACTCATTATTTTTATCATACCCCATCACATAATACTTGTTATCAGTTAATGCCTTATATTAAAAAATTAATTTCATGAGCTCACCTGGATATTATACTCAGAAAAATGTAAGAAGGCTATTGTATATGAGTATAAGCCAATTTGTCAATTGCTTTTAATTAAACAATATATTTAAGGCTTCGGATTTCATCCTTACCACATAAAGGAACTTGGAGTAGTCACTGCTGTCCTTACAACAAGAAAAGTCCCAGCAAATTGAAAATGAGCAGCTTTTGTGGGACTATCAGAGCACTGGAGTCGCGAGGCAAATCGCCTCCCAGAAATCTGGAGACACAGGGCAATTCAGAGGGGCAGAGCAGAGAGCCGGGGGTGCAGCGGGGGCTGCTGGAGTTCACCCCAGAAAGATTCCTCATGGACAGCCTAAAATGTACTTCAATTTTTATGCAAGGGTATAAAAACAAATTTATCCTCTACTTCTAGGAATGAATTTTAAGATTCTTAAAATCAACATCCATGTGTGGGAACACGTACAGGGTCATTCTGATGACCTGATGGAGGCTGAGCACTGACGAGGCAGGGTGTGAAAATCCTGGGGGCTGCAGTCTTGGGACGTGGTCCACACTCGTGTGGATTTTACCTGCAAAAATGCCACCAGGTTCTCATGGGGAAGATCTGAGAAACAGTCCCTAGTGTTCTGGCAGGAGAAGGGGGGAATTAATTATTATTTTCTCTGCCACAAAAGCCTACACTCCAGGGAAAAGAATTGCCCTGAGTCCTATCCCAGCTGGTGAAAGATATTCTTCCCACACCAGACACCTCTAGACTACCTGCCTCGTGGTAAGGGCTTTTTTTATTTTTTATTTTTAAAGGGCATTACTACTTTGGAGAAAAAAAATGTAATCGTGAAGGTCATAGCCTTTACACAGGATGGCAAAATGCTGAGATTTAAGTATTTTATATATACTTTATATATGTATATATATTCACACACACACATATATACATATATATATAGGAAATATATATATATAGGAAATATATATATAGGAAATATATATATAAAGGAAAGGAAATAAAATGTGTGTGTGTGTGTGTGTGTGTGTGTGTGTGTGTAGCAGAATGTTCAGGAACCATGGCACAATTTTATTTGTTTGAGGCAGGGTCTTTGTCACCCAGTACACTTGTGTGATCTGGACTCACTGCAGCCTCAACTTCCTGGGCTCAATGGATCCTCCTATCTCAGCCTCCTGAGTAGCTGGGACTACAGGCACACGCTACCATGCATAGCTAATTTTTTGTTTTTGTAGAGATGGGGTCCCACTATTTTGCCAGGCTTGTCTTGAACTCCTGGGCTCCAGCTATCCTCCTGCCTCGGCATTCCAAAGCACTAAGATTACAGGCATGAGCCTCTATGCCCAGCCTTAATCAAAACATTATAAACTATTCTCCTTTCCCATACCTGGCCACTACACCAGCAGAGCTTCTGTAGAATAACAAGGAATTGCAGTGGAAAAATATGAAAAGCACAGAGTCTGTCTACGAAAGAGTAATTTGGGAGCCCAAAATCAAGAGGGGAGACAAAAACAAGAACACTGGAGGAATTGGAAACCCCTGGCAACTAAAGCCACTGCACACATTCAGTAAAGGCCAACTCCCGTCCAGGTTCACACAAACACTCACACTAAAGGCCTCTTTACCACAGCCCCCATTACATGATACGAGTTTGACTTTCAACAATAACTACAAATAATGCCAAAAGGCAAGAATAACAGAATAGTCTGAAGTAAACAACAAAACTAGCTGCAGATAGGACACAGATGTTGGCATTACCAGAGAGGGACTTTAAATAACTGTGATTAATGTGTTTCCATTAGAGCCCTCATGGGAAAGGTAGAAACATGCCTGGACAGATGGATCATGTAAGCAGAGAGATGGAAACTCTAAGAAAAATGCAAAAGGAAATGCTAGAACTCAAAACTCAAGAACAGAATTGAAAATTCAACAAAATCGAGAATGCTTTCGATGGGCTTCTCAGGACCCTGGGCACGGGCAGGGAAGAGTCAGCAGATGGAGGGCACAGAAGCTTCTCAAGCTGAAATGCAAAGAGAACGAAAATCAGCAGAACGTTCAGGAACTATGGCGCAATTGTATTATTTCTTTATTATTTGTTAAGAGGCAAGGTCTCACTCTGTTGCCCAGGCTGGAGTGCAGTGGCACAGTCACACCTCACTGCAGCCTCTGACTCCTGGGCTCAGGTGATTCTGCTGCCTTAGCCTCCAGGCTAGCTGGGACTACAGACTCACACCATCATGCCCAGCTAATTTTAAAAAAAATTTTGTCAAGATCCTGTCTCACTGTGTTGCTCAGGCTGGCCTCCAACTCCTGGCCTCAAATGATCCTCCTGCCTCAGACTCCCAAAGTGCTGCAGTTAGTCATGAGCCACCGTGCCTGGCCACTGGGACAATTTTAAAAGGTGTACATTTTCATAACTGGCATACCAGAAACAGAAGAAAGAGAAAGCAGAGGCAAGAGAAATATTTGAACTGAGAATGTCTGAGAATTTCCCGAAATTAATGACAAACACCAAACAATAGATGCAAGAAGTTCAGAGAACACCAAGAAGAATGAATACCAAAACTAAAAACCAACAACAACATAACTAACAGACTACACCTAGGCATATCTTATTTAAACTTCAGCAGACAAAAAACAAAGAGAAACTAGAAAGAAGCTGGCAGTGTGGAGCTGGGGAGAGCTTCACCTCTAGAGAAGCAAGGATAAGAGTTAGAGTGTACTGCTGTTCAGAAACCATGCAAGCAAAAGGAGTGAAATAAAATATTTACCATATTGAACAAACAAACAAAAACCAACCCACGATTCTATATCCACTGAAATTGTCCTTCCAATGTGAAGCAGAGATCAATTCTTTTAAGACAAACAAAAACAGGGAATTCAAAATCAGTAGACCTGACTTGCAAGAAATATGAAAAGACTTTCTTCACTGAGGAGAAAAATTGTATAGGTCAGATTTGGAGTGACAGGAAGAGATCAGAGAAGTTAGAATGTAGATTAAACTAATCTAAAATGTAACTATTTCTTTAAAGTAGGTGTCGTCACCATGTATTGAGTGATTATAGCACATAGATCATTGAAATGAATGACAGCAGTGTCATAAGGGAACTGGAAATAGTTTTAAGGTCCCTGCGTTATGTGTAATGAAGTATATTGTTGTTTTAAGGTGAATTTGGATTTATTAAAATATATAGTAAACTCTAGGGAAACCCTTAAGAACATTAAAAAATAAATAACTTATTACATTTATAATAATAAAAAATAATGTGTTAATAAAGGCAACAAATCAAACCACATAAAATGCTCAATTAAAGCACAAAAGAGAGAAGAAAAAAACAAAGAACAAATACAATGAACAGAAAACAGTTACCAAGATGATGGAGATTAATTTAACTACTGTATATTAATAATTACTTTAAATGGAAATGGAAATGGTGTAAGTGCAACAATTAAAACACAGAGAACAAGACTAGATCGAAAACCCATACCCAAATAAATGTTTTCTAAAAGAAACCCACGATAAAGATAAAAATCGTAGATTGGCTGGGCGCGGTGGCTCAAGCCTGTGATCCCAGCACTTTGGGAGGCCGAGACGGGCAGATCACGAGGTCAGGAGATCGAGACCATCCTGGCTAACACGGTGAAACCCCGTCTCTACTAAAAATACAAAAAAACTAGCCGGGAGTGTTGGCTGGCACCTGTAGTCCCAGCTACTTGGGAGGCTGAGGCAGGAGAATGGAGTGAACCCGGGAGGCGGAGCTTGCAGTGAGCCAACATTGTGCCACTGCACTCCAGCCTGGGCGACAGAGTGAGACTCCGTCTCAAAAAAAAAAAAAAATCATAGGTTAAAAAAATAAGAATATGAGACCAAGTGTGGTGGCATACACCTGAAATTCCAGCTACTCAAGAGGCTGATGCGGGAGGATTGCTTGAGCCCAGGAATTCGAGGCCCCAGTAAGCTTAGATTAGGTCACTGCACTGCAGCCTGGGCAACACAGTGAGACCCCATCTCTTAAAATAAAAAAAGGTGGGAAAAAACGTAGCAATGCTGTGCTGGGTGGAATAGTGTTCAGTGTCCTCCCTAAATCATGTCCGCACGGAACCTCAGAACCAGAACCTCAGAACATGACCTTGCTTTGAAATGGGGTCTTTGCAGATGGAATTAGTCAAGATGGATTCGAATGGCTCTAAATCGAAAGACTGGCATCCTTATGAGAAAGAACGTGGATGCACAGGACACAGAGACACACAGGAAGAACAGCATGTGACGATGAAGGCAGAGGCTGAAGTCACACAGCTGACAGTCAAGAAGTGCCACGGATTCCAGCCACCACCAGAAGCCAGGGAGAGGCAAGGAAGGATTCTTCCCGAGAGCCTTCAGAGGGAGCATGGCCCTGCCTGCGTGTTGATTTCAGACTTCTGGCCCCAAAACCATGAAAGCACCCACTTCTGTTGATTTTAGCAACCCAGGTTTATGACCACAGCCCCGGAAAGCCCTGTGTTGACACTACGAAAGCAAAGCTAGCATCGCCACAGTCGTTTCAGACACAGTAGACTTTACAAGAAAGAAGATTATCAGGGTAAAGAGGGAAACTGTGGCTGGGCATGGTGACTCCCACCTGTGATCCCAGCACTTTGGGAGGCCAAGGCAGGCGGATCATGAGGTCAGGAGTTCAAGACCAGATCAACATGGTGAAACCCCATCTCTACTAAAAATACAAAAATTAGCTGGGCAGGGTGGTGGGTGCCTGTAATCCCAGCTACTTGGGAGGCTGAGGCAGGAGAATCGCTTGAAACTAGAAGGCGGTGGTTGCCATGAGCCGAGATCGTGCCACTGCACTCCAGCCTGGGTGACAAGAGCGAAACTCCAAAAAAAGAAAAGGAGACTGCATGATGATAAAGGGGTCAACTTTCCAAGAAGGCATAACAATTCTCACTATTAAGAGTAGCCTAAGAAGACACGACTACTAAAAAAAACAGGGGATCCTGAGTAGTATCCTGGAACAGAAAAAGGACATTAGATAAAAGGAAGAAAACCTAGATAAAGGATAAACTTTATTTATGTAATGTATCAATATTGGTTAATTAATTGTAACAAATATGCCTGTTATGTCAGGTGTTAATAACAGGGGAAACTGAGTGTGGTTTATACGTTAACTTTCTGTACCTATTCTGCAACTTCTCTGTAAATCTAAAACTGCTTTAAAATCAATTGTGTGTGTGTATCTGTGTGTATCCCCTTAGAGAAATGCATGATTACACAATTTAAGAAAAAGTAAAAATGTCTCATTTAAAACATTTTACCTTAATAATAAAAGTGCTGTACTAAAAAAACCCTTGAGTTGCTATTTTTCACTCATCATCAAATGCTCACAGATTAGAAGATGAAACTAACATCTAGGTGGGTATTCTGAATTAATGAGTGTCATACTCCTCACGTGACTTCAACTTATAAACTTTGGAAAACATAATTGAAAATATTACAATAGCCTTTTTATAAGGTCCACACCATTTGACTAAATCATTCATTTCTTGAAATGTTCTAGAAGGCAAGTGTCAAAATGGAAGCAAAGGTTTTGGCCCCAAGACACTGACTTATAATATTGCATATTAAATAGAATGTGTCTTGTATAATGTCTAGATACAGCTAACAGTTTCCTAGGAGAAGGCCACTTTGTTCTTCGTATTCTGTTTTTATAAAATGTATGTCAAGAGCTGAGCTGGAAAGCTGAGCTGCCAGTTGTTGGAAGTCATTGATTAAGACAAGCCAAAATGAAGGTAATGGCCAAGCCTTGGGTCACCAACTGTGAGAGTATAAGCAAGAGGCTACTCAGGACAAAGTGTCAGTCCTAACCGCCACTCACCAGCCCATTTTCCCCACAGAACAGTGTAAGGTGTGGGGCAGGTGGATCAGCTCAGAGGTGGGGATCATAGCTCTTCTCCAAAGAAAGGCTGCTTACATTTATGAACCTGGGGGCTACGAGGATGGGTCAGGGCAAGGGCTAGGAGTGGAAAAGTACTAAACCCTGAGTCACAGTGGAGAACGTGCCTTCAAAGTCATCTATGCCTGATAAGAAGGGTCCCCAGTCAACAGGCCTGGGAGATAGGAATAGAGAGATGCCTAACAGCATGGCTGGCCAGGGCCTGGTAGTTGCAGCCGCTCCCATCAGAGACTGCAGTGCACTGACTGTGCACCAGGTCTGGTGTGGGGAGGGCAGCTTACCCCATGAGACTGCCAGGTAAAGCATCTGTAATTGTCTGTAGTTGGCCTGAAAAATCACACACAAGACTTTGGCCAGGAGCTAGATTCAACATGCTCATCTGTTGAAAGAATGCTTTTCTGTTGCTGTTTGCATAAGGGGAAATAGACGCATGTTTCCAAGAGCTGTATATTTTTAAATGAAACGATGTGTGGTAAAATTCTTAAGTGATATTCCTGTTACAATAGACAGAATGCTAGAATCATACACAGATGTTTTGAAAGAGTGTCAGGAATAAAAAACATGCCAGGCACAGTGGTACCCATCTGAATAGTTCCAGTTTATCAGGAGGCTGAGATGGGAGGATGGTTTGAGCCCAAAAGTTCAAGTCCAGGCTGGACAGCACAGCAAGACCCACATCTCTTAAATAAATAAATACATTTTTAAAAGTATTATTTAAAAAAGAAAAAAGGGAGTATCAGAGAGATATCATGTTGCTGAGTGCAAAGTAGCTGTTAGTTAAAAACCATACTTCTTGTTTGGTGCTCAGGAAGTGATGTGATAAAAATTCTACAGCTTGGAAAAAAATTAATGATAATGTGATAGCAATAAAAACGTTTAACAAATGTTTCTCCTATCTTTGTAAAACAAGGTGGCAAAAATAAAGATTTCTAAAACATATATCTGAATCATATAATCAATGGCTTTTTGCCTAAACTTACCAACTTCGATAATAGAGAAGCACTACAAACTCCTCTCTAAATGCTTATGAAGCACTTATAACAATTGTTTATATATTGCAACACACCAATAAACTAAAAATAACAGAAAAATATTGATCAATGTTCTGATTACACTGCAAAAATCTGGAAATCATCACATCATATTTTTAAAAATTAAAACAAAAAATAAAGTAAAAACCTTATTACTTGGAAATTTTTAAAAGTATTTTGGGTCAAAGATGAAATAAAATTGGCAATCATGGAGTATCATTGTATACTGAAATCCACTAATGTAGCCAAAGCTGATTCAGAAGAAAATTTATAGCCTTAAACAAACAAACAAACAACGCAAGAAATAAAAAATTTCATGATTTTAACATTTAAGTCAGGAAGGGAGATGAAATGTAATAACAAATACAGAAGAAATTAATGAAAATATATATCAGTAATTTAGAAAGCAAATAAAGAATAGAAATGATGTATGAATCCAATATCTCTTTTTGGGAAAAAGAGTAAAAGGCAATGACAAATATTCTAATTTTAAGAAAAGAAAAGGCAAAAATACATGAAATTGCATATAGAAACACTGCCAATGTGGTTTTTAGGCAGAAATCTGTAAATTCATAAATCAGTGAAGATATATAATATGTATACAATCTAAAAAATATAATTCAAGATTCGTTATCAGAGACTTAAAAAGAAAGAAAATTCATAGTGATGAGTAGACTAATACTCCTTCGTATGTTAAAAAAATACCCATTTTTACTTATGATATCTAATCTTAATATGAAGAATAATATATTTTACGTGTCAAATTTTATTGTGAACAAGTAATCATCAAGGAACTATTAAAGTGAGATGACAAGAATATCTACAATAATCAATGTTTAACATTGTTTTGTACATCAGAGGCAATGCAATAATGGCTAAATTAATGTGATATTAGCAATTGACAAGAGAACACACATTTGTCTTATTTCAGATGTTATAAATATTCACCTAAAATACCAGGAAAATAAAGTTTTAAAGTATTTAGAACCAAAAGAAAAATATTCAGTAAGTCTTGCACCTCAGAATTAGCATAAAGTTAATAATTTTCCTGCATGCTTTTTTTTTTTTTTTTTTTTTTTGAGACGAAGTCTCGCTCTGTCGCCCAGGCTGGTGTGCAGTGGCGCTATCTCGGCTCACTGCAAGCGCCGCCTCCCGGGTTCACGCCATTCTCCTGCCTCAGCCTCATGTAGCTGGGACTACAGGCGCCCGCTACAACTCCCGGTTAATTTTTTTGTATTTTTAGTAGAGACGGGATTTCACTGTGTTAGCCAGGATGGTCTCGGTATGTTTCTAATAGTCATTAAAAAATACGATGAGGAGCTGGGAGCGGTGGCTCACGCCTGTAATCCCACAACTTCGGGAGGCCCAGGTGGGTGGATCACTTGAGCCCAGGAGTTCGAGACCAGCCTGGGCAACAGGTGAAACCTGTCTCTACAAAAAAAAAAAAAAAAAAAAAAAAAATCAGCCAGGCATGGTGGCGTGTGCCTGTTGTTCCAGTTGAGGTGAGGTGAGGGAGGCTGAGGTGGGAAGATTACCTGAGCCTGGGATGCAGAGGTTTCAGTGAGCCATGACGGTGTCACTGCACTCCAGCCTGGGCAACAGAGCGAGACCCTCTTTCAAAAATAATAAATAAATAAAATAAGATAAAAATAGCTTAAAAATACAATGAGAAGCTTTGGGCTGAGGAAGGTTGGTGTGGGAGCAGCGGGTAGTGAGGCTGGGTTTGATTGCTAATGTTTACAGGGCTTCTTTTAGATGGATGAAAATGTTATAAACAGAGATCGTGGTGTTGGTTGCAAAACCCTGTGAATAAACAAAATTCAAAGGAGAATAAAAGCAGAATAACACAGGAAAAAGGGGAGGTTGACATTCTCAGCATGTGAAGCACTTGTACCAAAAATTAGCATGTGACAATCCATAACCTATGATTCAGTAAGAAAAATAAAGTTTGTCTTTGTCTGAAGGTACAAGCAAATATAAACGGTCAGAAAATCTGAAAAGATTTCTAAAGTTACAAATAAACAGGGAACTGCAAATTATCACCGCACTACTATTTCATTATAGAACAAATTGACAAAAATGTAATTCTTGGTATTACAGAGAATTATTGAATATATAGACCAAAGAGAAGTTTCAAGCTCTGCTATTATAACTGTAAATTGATACAGTCCATTTGGAAAAGAATTTTTGTCAATATTTAGTAAATACAAAGATGTATATATTCTTTGATAAGACATATTTATATGTGTGTGCAAATTTACTGGAGCCACATTTATTAATAGGGAGAAATCTAAAAATCATAATCTTAAGGAATAAAAGCTAGTTACACAAGAGTAGGAAGTCTAATGATCTGCACAAGCATTTGGGTATCTGGGGGCCATCCATACACATTATTATTACCTCAGTAGAAGTTCTTTGCACGAGGAGAGTAGAGTCTTCCCTCCTCCACTTCCCTCCCTCTTCGTGGTGTTATCATTTAACTAGTACATTGCACTTGTCTTCAGCTGATAACTGAAGCTACTATTTAACAAGTGTACTTTTGTGGCTCTATGAACGTCTCCAAATGATAGTCAAAGAACACAATTGTAGTATGGATGGCTGAAATGCTTGCTATTCTAGCACTCTGCAGGCTAAAGTCAGCTGATCTGGTGGAATAAAGTTTGTATCTTCTTCTTCTGTCACCACTCCATGACTTTTCTTAGCAGGTAAGCAACTGACTTTAGTAATGAGAGGTGAAGCTGACTGCGCTTCTGGGTTGGGTGGGGACCTGAAAAACTTTTCTGTCTAGCTAAAGGATTGTAAACACACCAATCAGTGCTCTGTGTCTAGCTAAAGGTGTGTAAAAGCACCAATCAGCACGCTGTAAAAACAGACCAATCGGCACTCTGCAAAATGGACCAATCAGTGCTCAGTAAAATGGACCAATCAGCACTCTGTAAAATGGACCAATCAGCAGGATGTGGGCGGGGCCAACTAAGGGAATAAATGCTGGCCCCGCGGAGCATCTGTGGCAATGTGCTTGGGTCTGTGGAATGTTTGTTATTTGGCTATTTACAGTAGATCTTGCTGCTGCTCACTTTTTGGGACGGCTCTCTATTTATGAGCTGTGATACTCGCTGCAGAGGTCTGTGGGTTTACTTCTGAAGTCGGCTAGAGTAACCAGCCCACGAACCCACCGGGAGGAACGAAAAACTCGGGATACGCTACCTTTAAGAGCTGTAACGCTCGCTGCAAAGGTCTGCAGCTTCACATAGATAATGAACTCAGAGTACCAACCCACCAGAAGAAAAAAAAAAAAACTCTGGACCCGTCTTAACAGCTGGAGGAAGGAACTCCAGGTACTGCATCCTTAAGAGCTGTAACACTCCCTGCGAGAATTTGCGGCTTCGTTTTTGAAGTTCGTGAGACCAATAACCTGCTGCTCAGTGTAAGTTCTGGATCCAATAGTAGGTAGGGGCGTCTTGAAGTTCTATTTGTTCCGTCTGGTTAAGTCCTCTTTTTGTTTACCTTGGTAGGGTTCTTATGTTAATGCTTGGCTGCAGCGGCTCCCATTTTTTTCTTAGTGAAGCTTTACAGTGTGCTGTTGTCTTCCTTCTTAAATCTCATGGAAAGAAATGGATAATCTCTTTGAGTTCTTACATAGGCTTTTAAATTCCACTATCACAAGCTGCTAAAAGGCAAGAAGTGTGTTGCATTTATATTTTTGTTCGATAAATTTGTTAGCCAAATGGCTAGGATAAGGTAGATTTCAAAAACGGTGTAATTTAAATGGATGCTTAACTATAAAGAGACAGAAACCTGAAAGCATTTTCAGACTGGCTTCTAAACGTTTTAGATAACAACCTTATTTGCTTAAATTATGTATCACGTATTTCAACATGCTATATACTATTATATAATGGAGTAATTGTGAAGCTTAAATATTAATATGTTACAGTACATGTGTTGAAGACGTGGACTGTAGAGTACATTATTTTAAGTTTCACAATTTATTGCTGTATAATATAGAATGTTAAAATCCATGGTTTATGATTTAGACTATATTATATACTTAAATGTAACGTATAATGAAATATAATTTAACACATTAACATGTTAAATGCTACAGTGTATTTTCTAAAAACTTATTATGAAATTATTTCAAACTTACTGGAAAGTTGCAAAAATCATACAGAACAACCATGCACGTTACTCAGATGTAGCAGTTTAAAATATTGTTCCACATTGTTTTTTCATCTGACTCTACAAATATAAACACACACAAATTATTTTTGCCAATATATTTCGATATAGCTTGCATACATCATGTCTTTTTACCTCTGATAATTCAGTGTGTATTTCGTAAAAGAAAGGGCTAGGGTGTTTCTTCTCAAGCTAAAGAGACTACTCAAAAATTCCGATGTATTGAAATGGTGCAAGATTTTTTCGTCTTTTTACTTGTGTTTTGATTTACACTTTTCATTAAGATGCAGCCCTATGGTGGAGTTAGGCTTTCAAGCTTGTGTCAGTTTCCTATTTGTATGATCTTAAAACACAAAACAGTTCTTTATTTTTTCTGTGTCTCTCGTTGCACCCAGCTTATACTTGTGAGTATTAGGCCATCTTTTCACTATTTGTGATCATCATTGATATTTAGTCAAGTTAGGAAGGAGACCCACACAAAGAATGACTCAGGAGAAGAAGAAAAAGGGAACCATGGCATGAATCTTAAAAGAAATTAATGTTTTGGAAATCACTGATTGACTGATAGACTTCTAAGTCCATTGTTACTGAATATGTTAAAATCTGGGTAATATGTCGGAAATGCACACTGTATCATCATTGGATTAAGCTCTTGTGGTGGTTGTGGTGTAAGTAGAGTATTTTTGGAAACCTTGGATGGTAAAATGTTCCAGAGGCGGAAGACGACAACAAACTATATGATTTATTATTGAAAAATATTTTACGTTATCACCAGTAATCATGTTCTTCAGGGCAATTCTTGTCTTCTATTTCTTTGATTAGTTAAAAATTAGCCACGCAGGTCACGTCTTTCCCCTCTCCCTATTGGCATTTCAGCAACTATTCCAGAGACAAGGGTTTTAATTAGTTTTTCTGATTAGGATTTTGCCATAGGTGTAAATATACTTAACAGGATATATAAACATACTTCGCTAGTAAAGTTATGAATTTAATGAGATACTGAGATAAGAACCTTTGCTGCTTTTAGTTCAGTGTTATGAGAACAATGACAATTACTCTCAGTAATTGCTCTTAGTAACATCAATAGTCATTTCTCTGTAATCAAAATCAGCTTGAGTTCTCCTTCCAGCTATAATGAAGTAAATGTGACTAGACTTGCTTTTGTATCATAAGTCACTAGAAAAGCTGAAGAAAACCTATGAAACAACTGTACGTAGTCATTAAACAATAGGTAGTTCGGTACTGTGATCCCTTAGAGAAAGGAAACAAGAACCCTACAATTGACTTGGCTTTTTGCATAGAGACCTTTATGGACTACAGTGTGGTGAAAAGAATCTTAAGCAGGACATGGCAGATCACTAGATTGAGAGGACAGAGATCAGCGTTCTGAGAAAATGCAGCAACTTAAATTTTCCGAATTATAGAATGAGGAGGATGCTTTGCAGAAAGAGAGCTCAAGACATCTGGGTTCTCTTGCATTTGTTGATGAGTATTAAGCTGTACATGCATAGAGTGAGTCTCCACAGAGCTGAATAGACAATAAGCCGGGACCTACAACCTATATGATTTTCGGAGTTTACACAAGACTAGATGACTTTCTAATTCTAATCAGCAAGAATGGAGGATCTTTATTAAACATATAAAGACCATTAAATAGGACCATTAAATGGGCATATTAAGTAGGTATCCCAGAAGGGTAATGCTTTAGTAGTAGGACTAAAATAGCTTTAGGTTAAAGGCCACCTTAGACCTTCCCTTTGAAGAACTTTAAAACTACTCTCGAAAAGATCAAACTGATCCATTACATAACAACTGCTGGAATAAAGACAAACACCCTTTAAAAGAAGATGGCAAAATACAGCACAGAACAACATAAAATTCACAATGTGCAGAGTCTGAAAAGAATTATTAGCATACCAAAATTCAGGAAAATGTAACCATAAGCCGAAAAAAAAAACACTCATTATAATAACAGCGCAAGAAATGATTGAATAACCAGACAAGAAAATGATAAAACTACTGTTGATGAGCTTAATGGTTTAAATAAAAAATGAACACAATGAAGGCAATAATGGAATATATAAGAAGAACCAAATGAAATTTTTAGAGCTCAAATACAATTTCTGAAAAGATTGTGTCACCGGACAAGATTCAAAGCAAATTGCATAATGCATAAGACAAGAGAAGTTGGGATTCCCACTGTCCCCACTGTTACTCAACATAGTACTTGAAATCCTAGCTAGAGCAGTCAGACAAGAGAAAGAAAGGGCATCCAAATTGGAAAGGAAGAAGTCAAATTGTCCTTGTTTGCAGATGATGCAATATTATATTTGGAAAAACCTAGCGATTTCACAAAGAATATATATTAGGTTGGTGCAAATTGTGGTTTTTCTCTCTCATATAATTACACATGTTAGAAAATTATACAATTACATAACTGCATAATTCTAACAAAATATAGTTACAATGCATAAGATGTATTTGATAGCACAATAGGATGACTACAATCAATAATTTATTGTACATTTAAAAATAACAAAATATAACTGGAATGTTTGTGACACAAATGATAAATGCTTGAGGAGATGAATACCCCATTTACCTTGATGTAATCAGTATGCGTTGTATGCGTGTACCAAAATATGTACCACATAAATACATATACCTACTGTGTAAACATAAAAATATAAAGGTTTTAAAAAGACAACTTGAAAACATAATAATATGGCTATCTGAACTAAAGCACAGTGGAAAAACACACTGAAAAAAATAAAGTATTCAGAGGCCTGTGAGACTATATCGAAGTGTCACACATATGTGTAATTGGAGTTTCCCAAGAAGGGAGGAAAAATGTTTTTGAAAATGTTAGCTGGAAATTATCCAAATGAGATGAAAGCTATAAACACACAGACCTGAGAAGCTCGATGAATTCCAAGAAGGATCAACAAAAAAGCACATCTAGGAACATCAAGATAAAATTGGTGATAAGTATTGATAGACGGAAAAACTTAAAGCCAACTCAGGTGGTGTATATTAAGATGTTAAGGGCTAGGTGCAGTGGCTCATGTCTATAATCCCAGCACTTTGGGAGGATCACTTGAAGCCAGGAGGTTGAAAGCAGCTTGAGCAACAAACTGATACCCTGTCTCTCCAAAAAAAAAAAAAAAAAATTTAAAAGTAAAAAATAACTTAGCTGGTCTCAGTGGCGTGCACCTCTAAGTCCCAGCTACTAGGGAAGCTGAGCCAGGAGGATCGTTTGAGCCCAGGAGTTTGAGACTGCGGTGAGCTATGATTGCACCACTGTACTCCATCCTGGGCGACAGAGCATGACCCTGTCTCTGAAAAAAAAATGTACATGAGGACAGAGATAATGTATTTTTATTAATTTATTGAAATACACAAGTTGTTATTAATTTTTATGAAATAAGGGACTACTATTTTTAAAGTGCTAAAAGAGAGCTTGTCAACTTTGACTTTTACATCTAGCAAAATAATCTCATGAAAATGTAGGCAAACAAGATTTTCAGTCAAGAAAAGCTAGAATTGTCACTAGCAGATGTGCTGTAGAATAAATGTTACAGTAAGTTCTTTGGACAAAATGATGTCAGATGAAAACTTGTATAACTACAAAGTAATAAAGAGTGCTATAAACAGCAAATATGTAGAAAATTATTTTTTAAAATATTTCTTGAAAGGTATATAGCATTATCAATGTGTTATGGTATTTTAACATATATAGAATATAAGAAAATAGCACACAATTTGGGGGTAATACAATTGCACTGTGGTAAGGTTCTTGCATTAAACTTTTAAATAGAATTATAGTATTTGACACTAGCCTGTATTTAAACGTTGTAAACCTTAAACACCAGAAAAAAGGCATAGTTTATAACCCCACAGTAAATATGGAACTGAATGCTAAAAAAAAAAACGATTTGAGGGGTTTGTTTCTTTGTTTGAGATGGAGTCCCACTCTGTCATCAGGCTGGAAGTGCAGTGGCGTGATCTCGGCTCACTGCAACCTCTGCCTGCCAGGTTGAAGTGATTCTCCTGCCTCAGCCTCACGTGTAGCTGGGACTACAGGCATGTGCCACCACGCCCAGCTAATTTTTGTATTTTTAGTAGAGACGGGGTTCACCAAGTTGGCCAGGATGGTCTTGACCTCTTGACCTCGTGATCCGCCTGCCTCAGCCTCCGAAAGTGCTGGGATTAAAGGTGTGAGCCACTGCACCAAGCCGAACTGAATTTTTTAAAAGGCAAGAAAAGGTGGGAAAGGGCAATGAACACATGAGACAAACAGAAAACAAAACAAAAGAAAGTAATGATGCTTGGCTTAAACTTTACCACTTCAATAATGACATTAAATACAGGTAGTTTAGGTTTGCATTGTGCAAAATGGTAGCTAATAGCCACTTGTGACTATTGAGCACCTGAAATGGACCTACCCCAAATTAAGATGCACTGCAAGTGTCAAAAACACACCAGATTTTGAATACTTACTATGACACTTTTTTTCATTACATCGATTAAAGGTTGAAATATATTTTGGATATATTGGGTTAAATAAAATGTTACTAAAATTAATGCCACTTATTTCCTCTTTTTAATATGGCTACAGAATGTTTTTGAAAATTTCAGTGTGTGGCTTACATTACATTTCTATTAAATAGATCTGAACTGGACAGTCCAGCTAAAAGGAAGGAATTATCAGACATGATTAAAGAAGCTTGGCCTGACTAAATGAAGCCCGCAAAAAAGATTTTAACTCTAAGCAAATAGGTTGAAATAAAAGGAAAAATTGTAAAAGAGTTGGAGTACTTACTAAGATAAGACAAAGCTGGCTCCAGGCAAAGAATACTACCAGCAACAAAGAGGAACATTTCAGATAATAAAAGAGACAATTCATTGGGTGGATCACAAGCTCAGGAGTTCGAGACCAGCCTGGCCAAGATGGTGAAACCCCATCTCTACTAAAAATACAAAAAACTAGCCAGGTGTGTGGTAGTGCGCACCTGTAGTCCCAGCTACTCAGGAGTCTGAGGCAGGAGAATCGCTTGAACCCTGGACGCAGAGGTTGCAGTGAGCCAAGATCATGCCACTGCACTTGGCCTGGGCAACAGAGCAAGAATCCATCTTAAAAAAAAAAAAAAATCGTACAACTCCTGCATGCCTATGCACCAAATAACAGTTTGAAAAGACAAGTAGGCAAGTAGCAGAAACTCAAAGAATTGAAAGAAGTAATAGACAAATAATAATAATATTTAAAGACATCAACATTCCCCTCTCAGTAATTGACTAAACAAGTACACAGAAAATCAGTAAGGATATATAAAACCCAAACATCACTGTCAGCCAACTTAACCTAATTGACATTTATACAATACTCCAAAGAACAGAATGCACTATCTGCTCAAGTGTGCATGGTATAATCACCAACCTAAACCATGCACAGGTCAGAAATTTTATCACAGCAAATTTAGAAGAGCTGAATCTATAGGAAATATGTTCTCTGATTATAACAAAATTAAACATAACAATAGAATCTAGCATCTTTTAATGGTTTGAAATTAGAGAACATACTTCTAAATACCTATGGCTAATAAAAATCAAAATAAATGAGAAAATAGTGAAGTAAATTAAAATTAAAATATAGCATACTAAATGTTTTGGAATACTACTGCAGCTTAGAAATACATAGCTTTAAATGCCCGTATTAGAAAAGTCCTAAAAATCATTAAGCTTCAATCCTAAGAAACTAGAAAAGGAAAAAGCAAAGTAAGCCCAAAGAAAGTAGAAGAAAGGAAATAGTAAAAACAAAAGCAGAAATCAATGATACAAAACAGACAATAGAGCAAAGTGGTGCAACCAAAAACAGATCATTTGAAAAGATGAATGAAAGTAAGCAACTTTTAGCTAGACTTATCAATATAAAAAAGAGGACACAACCTACTAATATCAGAAAAGAAAGTGGGAGCATAACTACATGCACTACAAACTTTAAAAATTATAAGGGAATGTTATAAATATTTTTTATTAATAAGTTCAGAAATAAGTTAGAAATCTAAATAGCCTATGTCTGCTGAAGATAATGTATTTATTATTTAGAAATTAAAATGTTCAAACTTCATTGGCTTCATTGGCAAATTCTAGGAAATATTTAAGAAAGATGTAATGACAATCCTACAGAAAAATCTTTCAAAAATTACAGGAGAAAGGAACACACATGGAACCTTGCTTTCTGAGGTCAGCATCGCACTAATACAAAAACTAGGCGAGAAAAGGCAAACATACACCAAAACACTCATGACCTTAGGCACACACATTTTTAATAATAATATTGGGCAATCAAATGCAGTAACAGGTAAAAAGTATAAGCAAAATGACCAAGCAGTGTTTATCCTAGGAATACAAATATTGCTTAACATTTGAAAAATCAATGTCATTTATCATGTTAAAAGAGTAAAGGAGAAAATTAATGATTATCTCATAGATACAAAAAAAAGCATCTGATGAAATTGCATACCTTTCTTGATAAAGACTCTCCATTAAACTAGGAATAGTAGGCAATTTCCTTAATCTGATAAAGAGGATCTGCAGAACTTCCTTACACTTTTTTTTTTTTAGTTTGAAGTCATAACATTGCAGAAAACTTTTCTCACATATCTTAGTGTGGTTTCATACATACAAAGAGCCTTTCAGTGTTATTACAATCCAACCATCAAAATATCAGGAAATAGATACTGTTAAATTATTGCCATTCAATCTTTACACCCCATTTAAGATCAATCAATTGCCTCATTAAAATATTTTACAGCAAAATGATGGAGTCCAGAACTATGCATGCATTAAGAATTCCTGTCTCTGGTTTACTTTCGTTTGGAGTAGTTTATCAGTCTTTTCTGGTGAGAGGTGACAGCGTGCTGGCAGCACTCACAGCCCTCGCTCGCTCTCGGGACCTCTTTGGCCTTGGCGCCCACTCTGGCCACGCTTGAGGAGCCCTTCAGCCCGCAGCTGCACTGTGGGAGCCCCTTTCTGGGCTGGCCAAGGCTGGAGCTGGCTCCCTGAGCTTGTCGGGAGGTGTGGAGGGAGAGGCGCGGGCGGAACCGGGGCTGCCTGCGAGGCTTGCTGGCCAGCGTGAGTCCTGGGTGGGCGTGGGCTCAGCGAGCCCCACACTCGGAGTGGCCAACCGGCCCCGCGGGCTCCAGGCAGTGAGGGGTTTAGCACCTGGGCCAGCAGATGCTGTGCTCGACTTCTCGCCGGGCCTTAGCTGCTTCCCCGTGGGGCAGGGCTCAGGACCTGCAGCCTGCCATGCCTGAGCCTCCCCACCTTTGCCTTGGGCTCCTGCACAGCCGGAGCCTAGCAGATGAGCGCTGCCCGCTGCTCCATGGTGTCCAGTCCCATTCAGCACCCAGGGGCTGAGGAGTGCGGGTGCATTGCATGGGACTGGCAGGCAGCTCCACCTGCACCCCCGTGCGGGATCCACTGGGTGAAGCCAGCTGGGCTTCTGAGTCTGGTGGGGACTTGGAGAACCTTTATGTCTGGCTAAGGAATTGTAAATACACCAATTGGCACTCTGTATCTAGCTCAAGGTTTGTAAACACACCAGTCAGCACCCTGTGTCTAGCTCAGGGTTTGTGAATGCACCAATTGACACTCTGTATCTAGCTACTCTGGTGGGGACTTGGAGAAGCTTTGTGTGGACACTGTATCTAGCTAATGTAGTGGGGAGGTGGAGAACTTTTGTGTCTAGCTCAGGGATTGTAAATGCACCAATCAGCACCCTGTCAAAATGGACCAATCAGCTCTCTGTAAAACAGACCAATTGGCTCTCTGTAAAGTGGACCAATCAGCAGGACGTGGGTGGGGCCAGGTAAGAGAATAAAAGCAGGCTGCCCTAGCTGGCAGTAGCAACCCGCTTGCATCCTTTTCTGTAGTGTGGAGGTTTTGTTCTTTTGCTGTTTGCAATAAATCTTGCTGCTCCTCACTCTTTGGGTTCATCCTGGCTTTATGAGCTGTAACACTCAGTGTGAAGGTCTGCAGCTTCACTCCTGAAGCCAGTGAGACCACGAACCCACGAGAAGGAAGAAACTCTGAATACATCTCATCATCAGAAGGAACAAACTCTGGACACGTTGCCGTTAAGAACTGTAACACTCACCACGAGGGTCTGTGGCTTCATTCTTGAAGTTAGTGAGACCAAAAACCCACCAATTCTGGACACAATGGAATTTGCACTTTTGGATTATTATAGGGTTATTATGTTGTAGGAACTCTCTTAATTTGGGTTTGTCTGATGTTTTCTTGTGATTGGATTTAGCTTGTATATTTTTGTGAAAATGACAAACTGATATAATCTTCTCACTGCATTATATCATGAGATGCATAATTTTGAGATACCTCATTTTTTAAATTTGTTCATATAGATCTGTTGATTAAGGTAGTATTGGCCCAGCTGAATTATAAATATACTATTTTTAAATTATAATTAATTTTATAGTTAATTTTATAATTTTGTGAAACACATACTTAAATGCTATGTAATATATTACCGTTAATGATCAAAATATATCATTCATGATCAAACACAATGTGTATGAACTCTAATTTTCCAATTTTTTCCTTTGGGTTGTAATTCATTATTTTAGGGTTGTAATTCATTTTTTTTAAATTTTTACTCAAATCATCCCAGAATTAGGCAGTATAAAAACATTCAAGCTGGATTTTGTGTCTTTTTGACATGTTCTCATCATTCTTTGAACACCTCCTTGCTCTGCCACAAGTGTTCCAATCCTATCTTACACTTTCCCTGTCTGTCTCTGGAAGTATCCATTTTCCCAAGTAGCTCTGGTTCCTTTCAGTAGAAAATAGTATGGAGAAGCCAAGATCTGGGTGCAGAGGGTGTTCATTGCTATTGTGCTGTCACTGTTCCCAGGCCTCTTGGTGGGTAGAAGCAGAGAATATATATACACACACAAACACACACACGTGTGTATATGTAGGTATACAGTAAGTACATATATACATGTTTATATATGTATATAGTTGTATTTATAGATATACTTTGAAAATCAGTAGTTCACACTAATACATTCAATTGCAATCATACCACAGGGATTATTTCTCCTTTTTTTTTGTACTCGTAATTCCCATCTCCAACAGAGAGAAACTCGGGTTCCATTACTCTTGGTATATGTATTTATTGGATTAAGTTCCCACTATGTCTCCCATTGCTGCCACTGCTTCCATTCCCTGCTGGCATTCTCCTCTTCCTGTTCAGGTTCTGACTCCCCATTTTGGGCCATCCCAGTACATGGATGCCTTCCTGACCTTGCTTGGGCTGTTTTTCCACAACAGGTCACCTTATCAAGTGAATGCCCCCCTCATCTTCACCTTGTGTATGCCTTCCTGTGGGGGAACCCTCCTAGCACTGTGTGAGCTCGAACTTTGTATGCCAGGCTCGCCCACCCAGTGCTTGCCCTCCTCCTCCTGCGTGAGCTTATTCCCTCATGCAGGGCAGGCTTCGTGCATAGACACTCTCCTCACCCTCTGAAACAGACTGCCAAACCAGACCAGGCCTCAATGGGGATGTTCTCTTAGCTTTGCTTTGGCTGTAATTTCAAATACAGGCTACTTTGCCCACATTCCATGATCTGAGAACTATGGCTGGCTCTCCCTCTCCAGGCCTTCCCTACTTCGCTTTGGCTGTGATTTTCAAACTAAGCCTTCCATGTGAAATGGTGCTTTTCTCAGTTTCTCAAGCTATGAAGCTTCGGTGCCGTCTTCACACTGCCTGGACTCTGGCCTGAGAGCTCCCTACTCCTTACCAGGTGCACACCATGTACTTCTCTACTCTTAGGACTAAACTTTTCCAGGAGATGAAAGAAAAGGAAGAGAGGGGAGGGGAAGGAGAACAGAAGAAAAATAAGAAGATGTCAACACCATACTTAATGGTAAACAAACGAACAAAAAACAAAAATCCCGAACAACAGCAACGACAAAATCTGAATATTTTCCCCTAATATTGGAACAAGGCAAGGGTGTCCACTCTTACCACTTCCTTTCCACATTGTACTGGAAACCCCAGCCAGTACTGTAAGGCAAGAAAAAGAAATTTAAAATATCTACATATAGGAGAAGAAGAAATAAACTGTCTATATTCACAGATGACGTAATTATCTCTTGGATATAATCCTAAGGAATCTACAAAAAAGTCTATTAAAATAATAAGTACATTGAGTAAGGTTGTAGAATGTAATGATAATATAGAAAAGTTAATCATATTTATATGTACTAGCAGTATGCAATTGGCAATTAGATATTTTAAAATCACTTATAATAGCATAAAATATGAAATATGTTAAGATGTCAATTTTCCCTAGATTCATCTACACAGTTTATGTAATACAAATTAAAACTCCCATCAGGCTTCTTTATAGAAATTGAAAAGATCATTCTAAAATATTTATGAAAATGCAAAGACATCACATAGTTAAAATAATTTTGGAGAACAAAATTGGATGGAATATGCTACATTATTTCAATATTAACTTTATAGCTACATTAATCAAAACAGTATGGATTAGTATAAAGATATATAGATACATTAATGGAAAAGGGTAAATAGAGTAAAAAAAAACAGCCACACATATAAGATCAATTGATTCTCAACAAAAATATAAAGGTAACCAGATTGAAGGAAAGAATATTTCCAACAAATCGTGGTTCATGATATGGTTTGAATCTATGTCCCTGCCTAAATCTCATGTTAAATTATAATCCCCAGTGTTGGAGGTGGGGCCTGGTGGGAGGTGATTGGATCATGGAGGAGGTTTCTCCTGGTTTAACACCATCCCCCTTGGTGGTGTTGTGACAATAGTGAGTGAGTTATCGTGAGATCTGATTGTTTAAAAGTGTGTAGCACCTCCCCTCCTCTCTCTCTTCCTCCTGCTCTGGCCATGTGACATGTCTGCTTCCCCTTTGCCTTCCGCCGTGATTATGTTTCCTGAGGCCTCCCCAGAAACAGAAGCCGCTATGCTTTCCACACAGTCCGCAGAACTGTGAACCAATTAACCATTTTTTCTTTACAAATTACCCAGTCTCAGGTATTTCTTTATAGCAGTGTGAGAACTAATACACTTCATTTGGAAGAACCTTGATCCTTACATCATCCACAAAAATTAACAAGTAACAAGTCTAAATATTAATGCTAACTTTTAGATAACATGCAGAAAATCTTAACTTTTAATTAGGCAATGATTTCTAAAGTAGAATATCAAAAGTGTGAACCTTAAAAGAAAAAAATGGATAAATTGCATTTCATCTAAATTAAATTCTTCTTTTCTTTGAAAGATACTAGTAAAGAAATAAAACAGCAAGGCCGCAGACTGGGAGAAAACATTACATTACATATATCTGACAAAGGATTCATATCCAGAATATATAAAGAACTCTAGCTGGGCATGGTGGCTCACGCCTGTAATCCCAGCACTTTGGGAGGCCAAGGCAGGCGGATCACAAGTTCAGGAGTTCAAGACCAGCCTGGCCAGCATAGTGAAACCCCGTCTCTACTAAAAATATGAAAAATTAGCCAGGCTTGGTGGTGGGTGCCTGTAATCCTAGCTACTTGGGAGGCTGAGGCAGGAGAATCACTTGAACCCAGGAGGTGGAAGTTGCAGGGAGCTGAGATCGAGCCACTGCTCCCCACCCAGGGTGACAGTGTGAGACTCCATCTCAAAAAAAAACAAACAAACAAAAAAAAAACCCTCTCAAATCGCCATAAAAAAGATGGAGAATGCAATTAAAATGGGCAGAAATCTTGTATCTTCGCAAAGAAAATGTGAGTGGCCAATATGTAAATGAAATAGGCTTACTTACATATCACCAGGCAAATGCAAATTAAGACCACAATGCGTTGCCACTATACACCCAACAAGATGAACCGAGAGGATGTGGAGCAGCTGCATTTCTCTTGCATTGCGGGTGAGATGCAAAATCCTCCAAGTGCTTTGGAATATTTTGGCAGTTCCTTATAAAACTAAACATACACTCATCACATGATTTAGCCATTTTACTCCTAGGTATTTGTCCAAGAGAAATGAAACCTCATGTCCATATAAAGACCTGTATATGAATCTTTATTCATAATCACTAAAATTAGAAAGACCCATCAACAGGTGAATGGAATACTATTTGGCAATACAAAGGAACAAACTATGGATCTGCAACAACATGAATAGATCTCAGAAACATTACACCCAGTGAAAGACGCCAGACATGAAACAACGTATAGTACATCATTCTACTTTTATAGAATGCCTAGAACAGGCAAGAAAAAAAAAGTAACAAGTGTAATGACACAATCTATGTGGGTCAGAGCTTGTCTGGAACCCTCAGTTGCAGATGGGTCAAAGGGTCACAAGAGAACTTTGGGAATGATGAAAATGTGCTGGGCGCGGTGGCTCACGCCTGTAATCCCAGCACTTTGGGAGGCCGAGGCGGGCGGATCACGAGGTCAGGAGATCGAGACCATCCCGGCTAAAACGGTGAAACCCCGTCTCTACTAAAAATACAAAAAATTAGCCGGGCGTAGTGGCGGGCGCCTGTAGTCCCAGCTACTCGGGAGGCTGAGGCAGGAGAATGGCGTGAACCCGGGAGGCGGAGCTTGCAGTGAGCCGAGATCCCGCCACTGCACTCCAGCCTGGGCGACAGAGCGAGACTCCGTCTCAAAAAAAAAAAAAAAAAAAAGAAAATGTACACTAGTTTATACATTTGTTGAGACTCAGTATCTATACATGCAACATTTTATTTCATGTGCTATGAGTTGTTTTTTTGAAGAGCATTAAAATGTAGTGCCAGAAAATTTTGATACTGTTTAAAAAAACAAGTTTTCTAAAAGAAGAGTGACTGAACAAAATAGTTCGGGTAAAAGGCATTTGGGTCAATGAAAATGCACAAACATGGATAAGGTAACGTGATCACCTGATGCCTCCCAGCTATCTGCTTCCCTTCCTTCTTTTTACCTTGAGAGTCTCCAAATATTCTTCTAGACCATTTAAAACCACCTTCCTATGAACAAAATGCCATTCATCTCCTTTTCCTTCTGCCATGAAAAATTACCCTCTGTGGGACTCCTGGAGCCTTTTTTTCTTCCAGTCTAAAATGAATGCAAGTAAGAACTGAATTAATAATTTTCTGCTGATTTGGCTAATACATAATTACTATCTAAGCAAGAGAGCGCAAGGATGTGGGTGCTGGTGTTCAGTGCTTCTCCACCCCTCCCAGATGGCTGCCTATGTTGGAGGGAGCTGAGAAAGGAGGAAGGGCGGCAGGCTGCATGTCCACCCTTTGTTGCGGATGTAGGTGCAAGTCGGGCAGCGACTGTGATGTGCAGTAGTGTGTGGGTGTGTAAGGACCTTATAGCCCATGCATCCTGATCACACCTTTGCAGTCTTTCTCTCTGATTTTGCCTTTTGAAAGAGACTGTGTTTTTAGGTGACACTTCTAGTGACTTGCCGACTAATTTACAACTCAGCCTAGGTTCCCCAGAAAACATATCCTGAGGCAAAATTTAGGTGGTGATATGTTACTAGGATGTTTGATTCCAATGAAAACAGGAGCAAAGGAAAAGGGAATTGTGGCATGGAAAGAGAGGGAGCAGATAGGAGGGTTCATTACCAGGCAGACCACCCACTGCTGAGTATGAAGTACAAAAGATGGATCCATCTCACAGGATCATCTTTGAGAGGCCAACAGCGACTGCATCTCAGGACATTTCTTAGGAGGCAATAAAGGGAGACTCTTTGATCCATGGATATGTGTCCATTAGACAAAAGTCTGCCTCATAGACTTCTAACTTGCCTGAAATTTCAGATTGCATATATGTGAGTACTGAGCAAATCCCGTGGCATCTCAGACCTTGCGGATATGAGGTGATCATATCCCATGTGGGCTTGTTCCCATGTAAAGCTGATCAGACCTCTTGCAGAACTGGGTGCTGAGGCAGCAGCTGGGGTGATAAAGCCAAAAGCTCCAGAGAAGGTGAAGCCAAGAAGGTCTGATGTGATGCACGGTTGGATAATAATGTTTGTAATGTGGCTTTGCAAGTCTTAGAACATATAAACTGGTAGTAAGGGGGCTAATTCTTGCTATGTTGTTGGTTTTATTAAAACAACTTCTTTTCATTGTTTACTTTTTATAGCCACGATCCCCAGCAGGGCATTTCTCCAAAAGAACTGCATGCAAATAGGAGAAATAAACTGAAATATGAATGTGTGTGTGATGCAACAGATATAATTTTCCAGATAATTCCATTGTGCATTAACAGAACATTGAATGCAAAGCAGTGGTGAATAGACTTTTCCAGAAAATAATTAGGATGCTATATTTATCTCTGAATCTTTCAGGTACTGCGGTCACATTTTCTGTTCCAAAAATAAAATAGCTGATTTTTTAAAAAGGCAGTATATTTAAAATTAATGCACAGAAACATGCCAACGTGAGATTTAGGATCTAGATTTAGGTATTTACTAATATAAAGTCTCAACGATGTTAAAAGCTTAAGCTTCATGGGAAAAAAAATGAGTCAATACAGGAAAGTAGTTATCTATTATTAACCATTCATTAAGTCCTGGAATAATCTGAAGAAGTCTACAGAACACAAAAACGAGCTTGATGTGTAGATTTTGTTAGTTGGCTACAAGTAGGATTGTGTAACCATCTTCTTCAATATTAGAAGTCCGAGGTACAGATAAACTTTATTGGGGATCACTCACTAAAATATAAAACCTGTGGCCGTAGGTGAGTGGCCCCTCAGGTGTGCGGTGGTGGTCCAGAGGGTGGGGTGCATCCGGTGTGCACTGGTACACCAGGGTCCTTGCACCAGTGCGCCAGTAGCCTTCTAATGACAGCCGAAGGAGGCCTGCTGCAGGGAAGCAAGGACCCTTGCCTTATATTAAGGACCACGGATAGCTCTGGGCGGCACCAAAAAAGGCACGTATTTTACCTGGAATGACAATCCAGTCTCCAAGTCTGGCTGGGATTCCAGTTTGCTGATAACAAAACACATATTCAGTCCTCACTTAACCATCCATTACATTTGTATATATGTGAGCAGAAAGGGCTCAGTGCTCCCAAGAAATGTTCAGGAGTGAGGGTAAGAGGTGCAGTTTAAGGAGCAGCTGTTAAAAAAAAAAGGTCCAATTGTATAAATGAAAAATAGGGCCGCCACGGCAGGGGCTGGAAGACGGGTCAGGCGGGAAAGCCTGGGGGTGGGGGTGGGGGTAGGGGCGGGGATCCCTGCGTCGCCGTTTGGCTGCTCGGAGAGTAGGGGGGAGAGCGGATCCCAGCAGGTTAGGCCGGAGGAACAGCGCCATGTGCTCCGGGCTCCTGGAGCTCCTGCTGCCCATCTGGCTCTCCTGGACCCTGGGGACCCGAGGCTCTGAGCCCCGCAGGTGAGGCGGGGGCTTCCCGGCGTTCTGCAGGCACCGTCGGGAGGCGGCGGCCCGCAGTCCGGCGGGCAGAGGCGCGGCACCCGGGGGCTCTCGGGCTGCGCTGCAGCGGGCGGTGGTCGTCGTGCGGGGCCAACTTCGGCGGCCGGGGTAGGCGGGCAGCGTTTCCGCCGCCGCTTATGCCGGCGCCGAGGCTGCCGACAGTCCCCGCACTCGCCCGGCCGCCGAGAGCCCAGAGGAGCCGGCTCAGGGGACGACCCCCCGCCCCTCCCGACTCCGCGCAGCCGCGGCTCCGCTCGCAGCGTCCGGCCCAGGTCGCCCCCGCACTCCGCGGTCCCAGAGGTCCGAGTCCCGTGCGGCGGCCGCCGAGGCGGGAGGGGAGCGCCCAGGGCCCCGGCCTCGGGCCGAGGCGAGCGTGGGGGAGGGCAGGGTGCGCGGCGCGGCGGCTCCGCCTCCGACTCTCCGGCCTCCTCCCCCGCCCCGCGCCCGCGCGCGCTCCTCCCTCCCCGCTCCTCCTTCCTCTCC
The DNA here is from genome assembly GCF_000001405.40 of Homo sapiens. Classification (NCBI taxonomy): domain Eukaryota; kingdom Metazoa; phylum Chordata; class Mammalia; order Primates; family Hominidae; genus Homo; species Homo sapiens. The sequence continues at coordinate 26,773,122 of NC_000015.10, read as the reverse complement.
CAGCGCCCGCTCCTCCCCCTCCTCCCCTCCCCCTCCGCCCTCCTCCGCTCCGGGCCAGCGCGGCGGCGGCGGCGGCGGCGGCAGCAGCAGGAGCAGCCCCGGCTGCGGGTCGCGACGGCGGCGGGGCGCCCCCTCCCCCGTGCCGGGGCGCGGCGGAGGGATGTGGGGCCTTGCGGGAGGAAGGCTTTTCGGCATCTTCTCGGCCCCGGTGCTGGTGGCTGTGGTGTGCTGCGCCCAGAGGTAGGGTCGCGGGTGGGCCGGCGGGCGGCGGGCAGGGCGCGGGGTGCGCGGGGCGCTGGCGGCTGAGCCGCCCCTGACCCCGCTCTTTGTGCTCCCCGTCCCTCCCCCAGTGTGAACGATCCCGGGAACATGTCCTTTGTGAAGGAGACGGTGGACAAGCTGTTGAAAGGCTACGACATTCGCCTAAGACCCGACTTCGGGGGTAAGTGGGCTGCGCGCGGCCGTTGCGGGAAGCGCGACCCACGGCGGCGGCGGCCTGGGCGGAGGGAGGCGGGGGCCGCATCCGCGGAGCAGCGGCGGGTGGGAGTGGGGGCCCTTCGCCCGCGCCCCTCCTGGGATAGCCCCCAGTCCTCAGAGCCGCCCGCGCCCCGCGCCGGAGCTGGGCTGATCGCCGTGTCCTGTGCTTCCCGCAGGTCCCCCGGTCTGCGTGGGGATGAACATCGACATCGCCAGCATCGACATGGTTTCCGAAGTCAACATGGTGAGTGCCCGCCCTCCCAGGGCGGTCCCTGAGCCCCCGGCCCGCTGTCTGGGATCACAGGCGTCCACAGTGCTGGGCCGGAGGCCTCTTCGGCCGGGGCCGAGTTTCCCCGGTCCGCAGAGGGAGCCGCGCTCCCAGGCGCCGGCCCCTCGCTTGCCCGGCTCCCTGCACCCGCCCCGGGCGCTCGGGGGCCTGGCTGGCGTCGGAGCCGCGAGGGCGCACCCTTCCTGCGGGGGAGTCCTGGCCGGCCTAGTGCTCCCATCTGCCGCTGCCCGTGGGCTCCCAGCTCCTCCAGCGCTCTGTCGCCTGGTCCCGAGGTTTCCCGAGCGCTGTCTCGCCTCCTTAGCAACAGGCGCTGGGGAACCGGGAGAGGCGAGATGTGGGGGTGGCTCCTATATTCTAGGTAAGAGGTACTTAAGGTTTCCTTTGTTGTCGTTTGGAAAGAGATTCTGGCTGCAGGAAAGGGGAACGAAGACAGTGGTCTGTGCGTTCCAGGGGTGTCTCTGCGGTTTTTCCAAGGCTGCCTCCTGGACTGGGAGACCCGGGCCCGGCACCGCCAGTCTCTGTCCGAGGTGCTGACAGGCTTCCGCTGCTTCAGAGAGCGGGAGGCCGCGCCTAGGCGGGCTCTCAGAGGAGCCGCTCTACCGGGAGAGTCGGAGGCTGGTGACACAGTGTCACTTAGGTCTTCTGTGAATGCAGACTGGATTCAATATTCTGACCTGTGGGAAGCGGAGGTCAGTACCCCGAGGTGCGAAGCGGGCTTTTGCCAGGAGTGCTTTAGGACGCCAGGGAATCAGGAGAAGGATGGCCCTTTCATTTGTTAATTGAGCTGAAACGCCGTGGGATTTGAAAACTAGTTTAGTTTTCTGCGGAGGGACACTCTGGAAGGAGCATTTGTAAACAATATTTGTTTTTTGGAAGAAATTGTTTGGCAACTTTTCTTTCGGACATACAACATTGAGAATACAGTGAGACATGGTTTTAGATCCACTCTGTAGGCTTCTTAACTCTCGTGTACGTCGGAATCACGTGGGCAAACTTGCTTTAAATGCGTGCCTGCTAGTTCCTCACTCCAAGGGATTCTGATCAAGATAGGCTGGAGTCTTGGGGTCCCTGCATTTAAAACTACTTCTTCAAATATTTTGAAGCGGGTATTTTGTGGACAATATTTTGAGAAACTTTGCAGTAAGTCACAGATATATGAATATATACAAATAAAGTAAAACTATTTTTAAAAATAGACGTTAGTGAGATACTTTTAAAATACCTACCACTAAGGATCTTATAGGAAGAAACTTTTGACCACGCCAAGCTGTTCTCATTAATTTTTCACTGTTAATCTAAAGCTTTTAAATTTACAATCCCATGTATTTAAAAATGTACTTTTTTCCAAAGTATATCACTTAGGACATTTGTAAGTCAAATATTGTATCAGTAAAAGTGTTAGCAAGGAACACAGAAGGAATGTGACTGCATAAATTACCTTACAGTAAAAATTAACATGTCTATTTTACTTTTTATGTAATACTATAAAAATAATTTTACTCAAAATGTTTGTTTTATGTTTATAAGGAAACAAGTTAATACATTTAAGATCCACACTGTGTGATCTGTGATTTTCTCAACTGGGGACTTCACATTCTCTAGAGAAGACAATTTAGTACAGAAGTTAATTGATTATTTAGTGGATTATTATGTCAAAAATAATTATGTCAGAGGATGGCAGGTGGAAGAGAAAATGTATTGATTTGGCCCTTTAAGAACTCTACACAATAGTAAAATAATTCGGGGAGTGAGGAGAGTGTGCTGTTGCACACCATCACATATTTGTTTGAATTATTTTTTAAACTTAGTTTTCCAGTTGTTCTGGCATCATGCTGATAGTTGGTACGTTTAAAAACTTCATCAGTGTTTGCCTAATTTGTAGTCTATGATTTGAAGTGTCTCAATTTTCTCTGAACCCAGTAAGAGAAAGACAAATGGAAGATACAGGCCATTGTATTGAACAATCTTTAAGTGTATATTCCATAGCCAACAGGTATGCATAGCATGCCAAAATATACTTGTACGCATTTTTTTTGCATTCTTATGACAGTAATTTTTCTGGCTCTGTAAACACACACCTATTATAAACAAATATTGAGGATCCCAGTAGGATTGGAGACTGAAGGCTATTGGGCAGATGTGAATGTCAGCCATTTAAAATGTCTTCCTCCCACAAGCAGATTGGTCACGTCATGTTTTAGAAAAATCTGATTTTCCTTAAAATATTTGTGCATGATAATAGCTATGGTATTTCACCTGTTCCTAAAGGAGCCTCAAATAGAGCAATGGTTAAATATTTAGGGACTCACGTTTTAGAGGGGAAGAACAGAAAATATATAAGCATAGGATTAGAGCTGCCACTCAGTCAATGTTTGAGAACAGTAAAATCTATTCATGAGCTTTATTAATCACCTTACTGGTCACACAAAACTAAGTGTGGTAAGTTATGAAATTCAATAATAAATGGTCTCACTTTAAGTGTGTTGTAACTCTTAGAGCAGATATGACAAACGGTTGTTCACAGGTAGGATGTGGCAAGTCCCATTAGAGGAACAAGTGACAGAGGCACACAGAACAGAGAGGGAGGGAGGAGGAGGGACGAGAGAAGCTGGCTGGGAGGAAGGAGGTATTTGATGTGGAAACTTTCATGAAATAAATTATATTTAAATTGTGTGAGGGGTATGAATAGAATTCTGACTGGCTTACTTGAAAGAGGATATTCTGGGTTAGGAAAGAAAATGGCAGAGTTACGAATGGGTGGATGAGCAGGATCAGAGATTTAGAAGGGGAGATTCCAGAGACGAAGTTGGAAAAGCAAGACAAACCCCTGTGCACCTAGGCCGTTCTGCAGGAGGCCAAGGGCTTCACATGATAATTTCAGGAAATAAGGAGCCTATAAATGGTAAAGGTTTTAAAGCAGGTAATTGACATGATTTGAGATGTGGCGTAAGATGACTATTTTGGCCAAAAAGTTAATTTAGATAGAGGATTAGCGATGGTGAGGTAGAATGAATGAGGGATAACTGATCTTGGAAGATTCTTTCTTGAAATTTTCTCCTCAGGTTTTGATAGATGCATTTTTGAAAACGTGTATGTAGTGAAATAAATACAAATTCACCAAAGTTCAAAACAAGGACTTTGAAAAACACACGTATCTCAAAATGGGGAGAGATGTGTATGCATTTGTTCAAGAGTTTTTTTAGTGTGATTGCAGAGAACAGTAACAGATAATACACAACAATGATGCTGTTGTTGCTTTTTGCTTTAAACAATTGTAGACTCCAGTCCTTATCTACTGGTAGCCTGTGTAGATGATGCCTCCAAAAAATGTCTCTGATCTCAAATAAACACATATATAGATCAGTTAAGCATGTAAATGCATATCTCATCATTCATTTTGGTGTTTTGTGGAAACAATCTAGGAAGGGATTTGAATGTTTTAATATTTAGCATTGGTTTTGCCATAGCTTGCTTCATGGATAGTGGAGTTATGCATTTCCAATTTTTTTCTAAATCTTTTAATGTTTCTTTTCGTACATTCTTTTTTTTTAAAAATTAGTTGACCTGATACTTGTCAAAGAAAATTTTGTTTTGTGTAACTTCCCTCTTGTTTCTCTTAGCCCCTGTTTAAAATTTTAGATAATCTATAAAAATTATACACGGCTAGATAATTATTGAGATTTAGTTTGTATATTTCTATAAGTGAGATTGCGTATGTCCAATAACACTGTCTGCTGAAAATTACTGTGTGTGTTATAATTTTGGTGCTTACCAGTGGTTCTAGGGAACAATAAATGTGTTGAGTAGATAGATGAAGAGATCAACACATGGGAAAAACTTTGCAAGTATAGGAAACATAAAATATTGAAAAACAAAACAATTAGGGATTTTTAATTTAAAAACAGTATTTTAAAATATGAGTTTTAAAAAATTTATTAAAATGAGCCATTGTTTGATCTGTTAATTTGGAGAAGTTACATGTACTTACTTTTTACTTCATTAACTATCTGGTATTAGGGACATAAAACTAGATTCAGACTCTAGTGATAGTAATGATAATTCCTGTGATTTAACTTGCACTTCGCTATTACTTCATACTTAATTAATCCATTAAAATTAACTCAATCCTAATGAAAGTGTAACTACAGGACTTTTTTTTTCTCATTTCATGTGTATAAATAATAAATTATTGTTTTTTGTTTTTAAAAATTAGAGTTCCTTTTGGGTAACATACAATGTGTATTTTTAGTTATCATGAGACATACTCATCCATTATGCTAGCTGTTTTGTGTGCACTTCTCACTTGTTGCATTTTCTTATAAAATCCATTTTTTTAATGTGTAGGTGTGAAATAAGTGTGCATATGAACATAATTTTAGCACATTTCAAGAAGCAGCTTTGTAGCTGTATCACTACTAAATGGATACAGTCATACCCATGTACAAAAATCACACACACACACATTTGCACTATTATTTTATGTTTTTCTTCTTTTTAGAAGAGGGGCAAAGAGGAGAGGCAGATTCAGGCTAGAGTGAGCTAGGGTTAGAGGTTTGGAAAATGCAGCTTTTAGACATCTTTTGACTAAATTTATGTTAATTAGTCCTCCTTCCCCCTACTTCAGGGTCTAGAAGCTGCTTTGCCTTCAGTGAGTGCTGAATGAACACAGTGCATCTAGTCCCTGGCCAGGTTCTCAGGCAGGAGGAGCTGAATCCCAGGGGTCCATGTAGTGTGTTTAAAAAAAGCCTTACAGCATTGGGAGCTATGGGTTCTGTTTCCAAGTCCCTGGGAACGTCTAGCCTCAGGCAAGTCACTTAATCCTCAGGAATTCAGTCGGAGGTTTCCAGATGCCCATTGTGTGGGGACACAATTGATACCAAAGTGATATCATAAGAGGCTGAGCTCTACAGAGAAAATCTCAGTGAGGACACCCACACTATCACATGTTAGCAGGCTGTCCTTTACTGATTGCTTCTGGAGAGCCCTGGGCCATATTCAGAGTTTGCATATGAATTGCTATTAGCAGTTTAAAGGTAGGAAATGCGCTAATGCTCTTATTACAAAGCACGCTGGGGGATGACTCAGCAGAAAGGAAGCGTTTCCCTGACCCAGTTGGGGTTGGAAAACTGCTTACATGGAAGGCACTTCAGGGGTAAGGTCCAGGGTGTGTGTCTGTGCTTGGCTCTAGGTTGCTCCATTTGGGAGGTAAGGGTGTTTATTGAGCACATTACTTTTCACTGACAGTATGTTTCATGCATAAGTTATGATCATACATCAATGCTGGGGCACTGATAAGAAAGCATATAATGAACTTCAGAGATGGAAGACAATAATACCTTATATAATACGCTCTTTAGTAAGAGAGGCTTGTGTTTAATATTAGAACGTACGGTATAGAGAGCAAAATGAGAATGCTTTTTGCCTTTCCCCTCAGGAAGGTTGTAAAGCTTATGTTACATCTCTTAAAAAAATGGATCTTACATGCATGGTCCTGTTGTGGATGGCCTCTTGCTTGAGCCCGTGCTGGGCTCTAGGATCTTATGGTATGTTGTCTTTAGTTTGACATGATGGGGCAAATCTGCTTATTTACATGTAGTTAAAAGAATTAACTACATGTAAATAAGTTAAATCTGGTAGGTTGCAGTTGGAGTTGCAGTTGACAAATTAGGACTGGTGTCTGTCTTTGACTCCAACATTTGGTTTTTCCAAAGATAAAATATTCTGTTTATATTTCCTTGGATAATGGTAAATAAAATGAGTTCCAAAAGATAGCTGTTGCTTCTTGGACTACTTGCCAAATGAAAGTATCTTGTAGATTTGGTCTTCATTTAAATGAAGAATGGAGTAGATGTTAATGAGGAGGGTAGTGTTCTTTTAATGAAATGCATGCAGGAACAAAAGAAATTGAGAAGTGTCAATAGCAGGTGTAGAGTTCTCCTAGGGTGTCACATCTCTTGGAAAGAAAGGCTCATGTTTGGGACTGCAGACTTCTTGATTTTCACAAGTAATACCATCTGAATTCATCAACTGACTTTTCAGAATCTAATATGGGTGACAGCTCTTCTTTTTCGTCTATGAGTAACTGAACCTTTCTTTCTCATAGGGGTCTGTGTCTTATGCATGCTGATCATTGCATTTTGATGACTACCAAACATTTGGAATAAATAAATGAAGCCTATCAGACATTTGAAATCTTTTGTCATTCATAATGAGGTGTGACCTAGGGAGTTGGTAACTAACAGTTTTACACCATTCTGCGGTTTATAAAATGCTTCAGGTATTATGTCACATTTGATTATCAAACTTGACCCATCAGCTGGTGAGGTAGGTAATAGAGGTGTTAACCTCATCTCCATTTTTTTAGATGAGGAAATAGGCTCAGAAATAGCACCGACTTTCTTACTCTTACTGCAGGACAAAGCTGGGAACTGGTTCTGCTTCTTTGATCTTTCTACCTCATCAAGCTACAGGACAACAAAAGATGCTCCATTAAGGGCTCACAGGACTTTATCTTCTTCCATGACCTTCACTGCTATCTAAATTAGACATTTCCCATTCTGCATTTCTGTGAAAACTTATTCTTTCCTGCAACACTTATTATAGTGTTAAATGTTCTTTGGGTGTGGTTGTTTGCTTAGTCTTTCTTCTCCATCTCTCTCCATTAGAGCATACACTCCGTGAGGCAGGGCTGTTTCTATGAGCCGTTCTTTGCATAGGATCCAATATTCAATAGATACGAATATTTGTGGAAAGGAATATATGAATGAAGAATAAACAAATGAATAAATATATAAGTGCATGAAGAAAGTGATATGTAAATTTCCAATGAAATGCTTTAATGTCTCGGAATTTGGGCTCAGGACAAAGAAGAATCTTACAGGCTAAATGTGATGTATACAGTGTTTACTTTAGAGGACATAATTCAACCATAATTTGTGTGATTGTACCCAATTATAATACCACCAACCAAAGATCACAAAGTCTGTAAAGTATTCTGTAGCTGGTACCCCTTTCACTGGGGAACTTTTATGCTAATTTCAAAGCAGAAAGAAGAGTAAAGGATTGCAGTTTCTCTCAAAATTTAGCATATGTAAGCGCTGGTGAGGATATTCTAAGCACCAATCACTGGTACCTTTGTACACCGAAAGTTTTGTGTCTCCTTAGAAAGTATATGAGGGTGGAGCTTTCGTATATTATAGGGAAGTTTTGACTTTTTTTTTTTTTTTTGAGTCGGAGTCTCGCTCTGTCACCCCGGCTGGAGTGCAGTGGCGTGATGTCGGCTCACTGCAAGCTCTGCCTCCCGGGTTCACGCCATTCTCCTGCCTCAGCCTCCCAAGTAGCTGGGACTACAGGTGCCCGCCACCACACCCAGCTAACTTTTTGTGGTTTTAGTAGAGACGGGTTTTCACCGTGTTAGCCAGGATGGTCTCGATCTTCTGACCTCGTGATCCACCTGCCTCGGCCTCCCAAAGTGCTGGGATTACAGGCGTGAGCCACCGTGCCTGGCCTTGACATTCTTTTTATACAGGGATTCTTTGGGCTATGTCTTCCCTTCCGCCTGCCCACTCAGCAGTGCCGTGGAGCAGAGGTGGTTTTCATTTGTTTGCAAGTTTCTGGTGCAACTTACTTCTGGGCCATTTATGCCAGCCATTAAGAGGATTGTCTAGCTGCAAAATTTGGAAGAAGAGGACTAAGATAGGTCTCTTGGCGATTTGCTCAGTGCCATTCAATCAAGATAGAGTGAGTCTCTTGATCTCTGTAGCTGGAAATGTAGATTGCCCCTCATTCCTTTGTAGTCAGGAGACCACATCCAGAATTAGAAGCCATGTGTAAACGTTAACTAATGTATCTCTTTTTGCATTTTTCCACTGAACTTAAACATCTCACAGAAGCATTTACTACAGATATCAAAAACTTTGGCATGTGCGGTACTAACATTTCACATGAATAAGAATAAGATTAAGATCTGAGAACATCACAGTTCTTTAAGTGTCCTAATTTGTTTTTAAAAGAGGATATGAATTCTATTGATTACATCATCATCATGTTTTACCCCAGTTCTACAATAAAAGAATTCCTTTTATGTAACTGCTGAATCCACATGCCATGATTCATGACACTATATATATATATATATATATATATATATATATATATATATATATATATATATATATTTTTTTTTTTTTTTTTTTTTTTTTTTTTTTGAGACCGAGTCTCTCACTGTTGCCCAGGCTGGAGTGCAATGGTGCGATCTCAGCTCACTGCAACCGCCGCCTCCCGGGTTCAAGCAATTCTCTTGCCTCAGCCTCTCCAGTAGCTGGGATTACAGGCTCATGCCACCGTGGCTGGCTAATTTTTAAATTTATTTTTAGTAGAGACGGGGTTTCACCATGTTGGCCAGGCTGGTCTTGAACTCCTAACCTCAGGTGATCCACCCGCCTCGGCCTCCCAAAGTGCTGGAATGACAGGTGTGAGCCACCATGCCCGGTCCATTTGTTTTATTTTATTTTGTATTAACTTTAAAGATTACAAAATCTGCTAGCTTAAAATGATATAACCCTGACTGTGTTTGCCATATATGTATAAAATATTTGTCAGTTAGCTCAACATCACATCACTGTTCTTTTAAATTTTATTTTTTTGAATAAGACTTTACAATAATTAGTTTTAATGAGTAGAAGGAACAAGTTTTCTGGGTCATCCATTATTCCATGGTGTGTGTGTGTGTGTGTGTGTGTGTGTGTGTATCTATGCAGACCAAAAATGGTTGTGAAAGAACAAAACCAATTCGGATAATTTATTGTAATATTGTTAATTTTTGCCAATTATGCTGACTGTAATTCTCTATGTGAGAGATAAATCCATATATCAGGCCAAAAGTATACTAGAATGGCCACAGAGCACAGTTCTTGCCATGTAGGATATGCTTGGTAAATATTTGTCGAGTGAATTCTTGGAGTCAATGGCCCTTGCAGTAAAGGTGTATCTTTGAACTGTTTTATTGCAGAGATTCTCTTTTTTGGGTGTTTAGCCCATAAAAATTAACCGTAACTTTAAACATGAAGATCCCTGTGAACTTGTCCCAGAAAAAATATCTGAGTTTTGGAAAACAGTGCCATCCCTATGACCCAGACCAGTGGTTCCAAAGCTATAGGCCAAGAACCCTTGGGAGGCGTTGGAGTTACTGCCAGGTGCCCTCCAAGAATAATTTCTCACCACTGATACACACTGAAGGCTCAGAGTCCACAATTAGGGCAGAGCCTGCAAAATGCCTTGCCTTTCCAAGGCAGTATGCATCCTAGAAAGGGGGCGGGGATACCTGTCTGAGGACCTGGATTGATTGTGCGATATTCTTTGTTGAGGCTCTTAAGCATTCTGCAGTTAACTCATTGGTATGAGGGTATATTGGACTGTGCCATTGAATGAGTTTTCATTTCTGAATCTTTCTTTTGATTTGGCCCTGGGCACCAAAATTCCCTGTGAGGTGTCATTCCTTGTGGCATGGACTAAAACAATGGTTGCTTGGAGAACACCGTCCTATAGAATGTTAATGTGTGTCCTGTAATCATTCCTTGTGAGATGTCATTCCTTGTGGCATGGACTAAAACAATGTTGCTTAGAGAACACCGTCCTATAGAACGTTAATGTGTGTCCTGTAATCTAAGTGTTTCTGCTCAAATAATATTGGAAATTATGGCCAACACATAAAATAGGTTTCTTTGCTGCAGGAATTGTCAGGTTCTTTAATACATTAATGATTTTGCAAATCTTCATGAGGGGGTGAAGAATTCAACGTTTTCCAGATATATTTGACTGGAAATTTTTTTTTCTTTGTGAAGGGGTGAGGGGCCCTTAATTAGCACTTCTTCACAGAGGTTTTGGTAGAATACAGTTTAAGAAATATGGGGCTAAAGGATTGAATCAGAATGGTCTTCCATATTAATGACAATAGCAGAGAAGAGTACTGTATTAGCAAAGCCACTTTGACTGACAGTGCCCACATCGTTGAAGGCAAAATTTTGACAAATAATCTACTGGTTTACAAGGAGATGAGTGATATTTTGCAGAAATGAAGATTAAAGCACTTGTTATAATTAATTGATTTTAAAAAATAAGATATTTTTTGTTTTACAGTAACAGTCTCTGTGACATTGAGGGGAGGTTTGTATGTATTAAGCCTTCTTATGTTCTTGTACCTATTATAAGAATAAATGATAAAGAGGGCTGGGTGTGGGGTTTTATGCCCGTAATCCCAGCACTTTGGGAGGCCAAGGTGGGCGGATCACCTGAACTCAGAAGTTCATACCAGCCTGGCCAACATGGCAAAACCCCATTTCTGCTAAAAATACAAAAATTAGCCGGGCGTGATTGCACTCTCCTGTAATCCCAGCTGCTCGGGAGGCTGAGTCACAAGAATCTTGAACCCGGGAGGCAGAGGCTGCAGTGAACTGAGATCGCGCCACTGCACTCCAGCCTGGGCGACAGAGAGAAACCCTGTCTCTAAATAAATAAATAAATAAATAAGAGGGATAGAGGTGTGTGTTGAAGAGGAGAAAGTGCAAGAGGCGTCAACAATAGTAGCTTAATTTGGAGAACAAAATACGGCTCCCTGAAGCTACTGGGCGTGGCCGTGGTTGGTAGCCTTGGATACCTGGAGATTCCTCCTGGGGGCTGTGGCAGCAGAGGAAACAGGCAGTGCTCAGACACTGCATCCCACTAGGGAGAGTCCCATTCCATCTTTGAATATATTCTATTATATACACAGGTATGGTGACATGTAATTTATATTATATACAATGAGAATATATAGTATAGTATATAATTTTTATATCAGATATATTTACATATAAAATGAAATTCTGTTTGGATGAAAGATTCTAGTGATGAAAGTATTTGGCCTCCTCTGGAGGAAGTCATCCCTAAAATTTCTCTTATGACTAATATTGTATTTTTTTTTTTGAGATGGAGTCTTGCTGTGTCACCCAGGCTGGAGTGCAATGCCATGGTCTTGACTCACTGCAACCTCAGACTCCCGGGTTCAAGTGATTCTCCTGCCTCAGTCTCCCAAGTAGCTGGGTCTACAGGCGCATGTCACCACACCTGGCTAATTTTTTTGTATTTTTAGTAGAGACGGGGTTTCACTATGTTGGCCAGGCTGGTCTCGAACTTCTGACCTGGTGATCCGCCTGCCTTGGCCTCCCAAAGTGCTAAGATTATAGGCGTGAGCCACCGCGCCTGGCCTAATTTTGTATAATTCTATGAAGAGTGTATACCTGTTCAGGAATAGTCACTAATAGTAGCTCGGGGGCAGATGTATTTTCTGGACTGTTCTGTAAAGCACAGTACTCTCATAAGAGGACAATATTGATTAACCACCTCTGCAGAGGCCTCTCTGGGACCTGGCCTGTACTTGGCTCAGAGATTGTAAAAGGCTGGTGATCATGGGTGAGTAAATGAAAGCAGATCCGGAAATTCAAAGAGATTCAAAAATATTAATTAATTGTGGTGGGTTTTTGTTTGTTTGCTTGTGTGTGTGTGTGTGTGCGTGCGCGTGTGTGTGTGTTGGCATTTAGAAGCAGAGAAAACCAGTTTTTAAAAGAAGCATTCTTATTTTCGAAATACAGTGCTTATCTATGTGTATCTATATCTGTATCTATATCAATCAATCAATCAATTATCCATTTATCTTTCTTTTTCTCCTTATGCCTGGAGAACCACTTTTCAATCATAAAATAAAGATAAAGTTTGAAGCAATACTAAATATGCTAAATAAAACATGGTTCTCCAGGCTTAAGATTTTACTCTATTATCATAAACTGTTTGGAATGTTAATTATCTAGGCAATTTCCTCCATACTTCAGGGTATTTTGCCTTTAGAGAACATAGAGGGTTTAGCTTTCAAGCTCACCCTCTGCAGTAGAAAATCTGAGGTGTAAGAGCGTTTAGATCCCAAGGAAGGGTTTGTGTGAACTCTGGCAAGTCGTTCAGACTCAGTTTGATCATCTTTCTAATGAGGGTGCTGGAATGGATGCTCTCTGAGTTGCCTTGCAGCTCTGATTTCCATGTTTCTTAGAGTCCGTAAGCTGTTTGAAACATAAGGAGACCTTCTATTTGCTTTACACAGACCACAGCTTCTTGTCATTTGATACTGCATGTGGTTTAATTGGTTGTCCACATGGTGGTCAGTGGCACGGAGCCCATCTCCTCTGGCAGCTTGCAATTGTGTTGTCAAAGCATGGTGGGTGTAGAACCCGAAAACTCTTTCTTCAGGTTCCCTTTGCTGTATGCTATGAGCCTCAGCTACTTTGTACATAAACAGCTGGGATTTAACATCCGAATCCATGCTCAGTAATTTTCAGGTCTCAAACATAGTTGCATCAGTTTTTTTGGTCTGAATTTAGAATTATTAGTTTGTGAATAAAACCTTCAGTGAGCTATTCAAATGTTTCTCTTGTATCCAAAGCATAACATTTCCCTTATTACCTAAGAAGAACCATCCAGTAGAGAAGTACCTTAGTTTTTGTTGTTGGGTTCCAAATTGTCCATATTCAGGTTTTTTAGAACATTTTACATACATTTAATTCATGCACCATTTTTTAATCTTTTGTGGTATTTCTGTAACAATCTTAACATTCTTTGAGTTCATAATCCAGATCAAAAGGAAGAGGACAGGGGTGTGGTCAGTATCGTCTGCAGTGCTGCACTCGGCCAGTGTGGGGCGAGGAGCCAGCATTTAATGCAGATAATTTTAAGCTTGGATGTCAATTATGGCATCTCTACAAAAAATAATGTTTTGGCTGGGCACGGTGGCTCATGCCTGTAATCCCAGCACTTTGGGAGGCCGAGGCGGGTGGATCACGAGGTCAGGAGTTCAAGACCAGTCTGGCCAACATGGTGAAACCCCGTCTCTACTAAAAATACAAAAATTAGCTGGGCATGGTGGCGTGTGCCTGTAATCCCAGCTACTCAGGGGGCTGAGGCAGGAGAATTGCTTGAACTGGCACCCGGGAGGCGGAGGTTGCCGTGAGCCAAGATTGCGCCACTGCACTCCAGCCTGGGCTACAGAGCGAGACTCCATCTCAAAAAAAATTTTTTTTTGCTATATTCTATTTTTTTTTATTCCTAGTCTTATTAATGAAAAAATTTTATATACATAAAGTCCGAGCAAGTAAACCGCTGCAGGTGTAGAGATGAAGACTTTGGTCTGCCTGCACCAGAGATGTGCAGAGAGACCAGGAAAATTGCTTGATTTTATTATGTCATAGGAAAAAGGTGGATGTGCAAATTATTAAGTTTTAGGAAACTACCCAGTCAGGATTAGGATTATATAGATCCAAATGTGGAGTGTGTACCAAACTTGGAAGTAGCCAGTGACCCCCACAAACAATTTCCAACTGTTTAACTTAGGTTTTTCCGCTGTAGATGGAATCCTGTTGGTAATGGATTTAGTGTTTGTGTGGAAGAAATTACAATGTAAAGAGAGTAAATAAGTCATTTGCGCTAATTTACCACCTTGACATAATTTGTCTACAATGGTGGTGTCACATATGTTACTTAAGGTTGTTTTTTTTTCTTTTTTTCTTTTTCTCTTTCAGAAGTATGGCTGCTTCTTTCAAAGTTCAGATGCTTACAAGGGGAATGCACTTTGTTCCCAATGTAACCAAATTAGCACACCTGGGGTAGAATCAACTCTGAGAATTGGTGGGTGGGTATAGATCGTGGGCATTGGTTGGTTTGTTGAGATTAAGAAGAAAAGGTCAATTAATGGGGCAGATTGTCCTGCACTGGTTCTCAGCTGCCTGCTTGAATGACATTTACCTCTCCTTAGGAGATAAGCAGTGATGGCTTTATCTGCTGGTTTCTGTCTCCAAGTTTGGATACCTCATGAGTCTGTTTGGCTCAGTATTTTTTCTCTTTTTATCGCATCTCTGAGTTTCTAAAATAATTAAGGAAAATTCTCTTCTCCAACATCCTTCAGAGGAAAGCAGATGGAATTTGTTAAACAAAGGCTGACAGGAAAGCAAGCCTCTGTTAATTGACATCTAATTTCCTGATATGGCAACCTTTGCCCAAGACTATATTTGATTATGCAATAATGTGCAAACAGAAAAATCAGAACCTGCTCATGCTGCCATATTAATAGGAACCGTCAGTCAGCCAGAGAGGGACTCACATATCAGACTTACATATTACTAAACTATTTTCTGTGTATTATCACAAAAGCGTGAATGTTTCTAGGTTGCACCTCTACGGTTTTTTTTTTTTCTGTATGGCTACTTGCATTATAAAGGAAACTGTGAAAACAACAACAATCAGAACAAAACCCTGAAATGTAAAACAAAACATGTTAGAATTCCATTATACTGATAGTGGAGCCCGTTGAGATGGTAGAGAAGAGGGCTTGTAAGGGACTGGTTTTGTGAATATGTATGGCAAAACACTAGTTTTGATGCTTCACAGTGAAGTGCTGTTAACTAATTTACACTTACTCTAACAGGTTAGTGCAAAGTGAGCTATATAGAGAGAGATTTTTAAAATTCTAGGCTTATCAAAGCACTTTGCATTTTGTAGGTTGACAGTGGGAGCTAACTGGAAGGAGGCAAAACAGTGAACTTTGCCATTTTTGATTTTCAAAATACATAATGTCACTGAATAATTACCTCTGGTATTCTCTGCTATGACTTGATTTTTAGTTCAATTGCTCCGTGTTGATTAGTGTATTCTTGTACTGTCTCTTTCCTTCTAAATACTTAAGCTTTAAGAGGCAGCTTAACTCTATTATAACTGCTCTTGTAACTAAATGAAATGTCCAGTGACATAAATCCAAGTGATGATAGTTTGGGATTTTCCACTTTTTTAGTGCCCCCGTTCAAGCTTTGCAAGTTTGACTTGTGACACTCATAAGTCCTCAAGGCCACATTAAAGTTACTGAAGAAACTCATGAAGAGAATGTTTGGTTTGAGCCCAGGAGCGAGTGAGCAATGGAGCGCGCCAGGCAAGGAATGTGTGAAGAATGAATAATTACAGCTCCTAGGGACGCTGTTGGGCCGTGGTTGCAGGGCAGGAGTGAAGAAAGGGATGAGTTTCTGGGCACTTGGCCTGGGGAGCTGACACTTAGTCCACAGCAGACTAGAAGGCATGGAAAGACCCAAGGGAACCACGGTGGGATACGAATAGCAAAAAATGGTAAAATTGGTATAAGAAACAGGAATTTTCTTTCTTTAAATACTTGGGAGACTGGGATATCTTGCTATGTTTCATCAGAAGGTAGATATATACCAGTTGCTACTGTGCCCAAAATTAAATTCTATTTAGTTTAGCTCTTAGTATGTTTATCCCTGATACAAGTGAAACCACTGGGGGTTTTGACTACCTGAAATGTTTCTACCATCATCCTTCTGGTGGCAGCCATGTTGGGTACATAGTTTCTAAGAGGGTTACAACCTGCAAGGAGCTGGTGCAGAAGAATCTCCAGGGGTTTTCAGAGCTGCAAACTTATGGGGTGCTTAGACACCTGCTCTGTTCAGATGTGATGAAAGGGAGGAAAGCAGGTAGGAGAATGGTTAAGTGGAAAGAAGTGAGGCAGACATTCTCCTTCACTTAGCTGTGAACTCTATACATGATCTGTACACCCCATGGGTTTTTATACATAGCACATATGTGACTTTATACATAACACATATGTGATATTACATTTTTATATTTTTTTAACATTGTGTCAGGTGCAGGAACTTTTTGCCTGTGTGGAGTGTTCTGTACTTTAAAAATTTTTTTTTGAGACAGGATCTTGCTCTGTCGCCCAGACTGGAGTGCAGTGGTGTGATCTTGGCTCACTGCAACCTCTGCCTCCTGCGCTCAAGTGACCCTCCCACCTCAGGCTCCCGAGTCACTGGGACTACACGTGTGCACCACCACACCTGGCTAATTTTTCTATTTTTTTTTTTTTTTAGTAGAGAGGGGGTTTCACCATGTTGCCTGGGGTGGTCTCAAACTCCTGGGCTCGTGATCCACCCGCCTCGGTTTCCCCAAGTGCTGGGATTACAGGTGTGAGCCACCATGCCCAGCCTGTTCTGTATATTTAAATTGTGAAATGAAGACCCATCTGGAGTCGATAAGATCATTATTTAGGAAATTTGATACTCATTACTCTTTGACTGCTTCTACAAAATAATATCTATTATTTTCCAAAATTAAAAAAAGTTGTCATGAAGAAAATTTTATAATATGTGAATACATTTGGATGTATTTCTTTTAGTTTTTCATGCACATTTAATATGTATGCACTATTATTTACACACTGTACATACAAGTTACTATCATACTTTTACATGTAACTTTATATTATAGATACTCTTGTGCTATTAAATATGTTTTACATTTATTGTAAGGGCTGTATAATATTCCCTTGACTGGCCAAATAATGTATTTTACTTAGTAGTTTTCTATTGTTGGACATTTAGATTACTTGCTCTGATTTGGTTGACTAAATAATGTTTTGATGAATATCTTTGTGCCTAAGTTACTGTATGTGTTATGGATTATTTCTTTGAGATATATTTCATTAAATAAGATTACTGAGTCAAATGGTATGAATATTGTTTTCAGGTTTTTTATCCATGTAACCAAGTAGCTTTCAAGAAAAGATCTTTCACTTTGGGCTCCCATTGGAATGTCCAAGAATGTTCTATATCTATACTTCTAGAATCAATTTCTATTAGTAAATGGGAAGACAACTGTAGCCCAAAAAACATTAGAATGCAAAGTAAAATTGAGTTAAATCCCCAGATATTCTGAATATTGCCATTATTCCAACATCATCTCATATAATAGTAAAAAATAGCATATACTTTCATTTTACATTAAAATTGACTTTAATTTAATTATATATTTGATATTCTGATAGGTGAGCAATAGAATACACATGTTCAAGTCATTGTTTTGGTTTAGTCATTCAGACTAATTCTAATTTCCGCAGTAAATCTTACACAAGAAAAGAAAATGTTTCTCAGAAGTCAGGCCTAAGAAGTTGGGAAAAAAATTGTTAGGGGTGGCCGGGTGCGGTGGCTCACACCTGTAATCCCAGCACTTTGGGAGGCTGAGGCAGGCAGATCACAAGGTCAGGAGATCGAGACCATCCTGGCCAACATGGTGAAACCCCATCTCTACTAAAAATACAAAAAAAATTAGCCGGGCATGGTGACCTGCACCTGTAATCCCAGGTACTTGGGAGGCTGAGGCAGGAGAATCGCTTGAACCAAGGAGTTGGAGGTTGCAGTGAGCTGAGATTGCACCACTGCACTCCAGCCTGGTGACAGAGCGAGACTCCGTCTCAAAAAAAAAAAAAAAAAGTTGTTAGAGGCTCTAACCATTTTTATCTGGAGTTCCATATGGTCAGATTCTACCAAGGGATTTAAATCTCCGTTTAATCCTGTGTTTTATCTCCACGGCTGAGCCGAGCCTCGACCCCTCGGGTGTTTGAGTGCATGACACAGTGGTGAAATAAAGTGTGGGGAAACTGAGGTCTCAGGCTTGGCACTGAGAGGAACCCATCATCACTGCACACACCTCTGGGGTAAGGGGTCCTCCTTTGTGTCGTTGCCTTGATCTTTGTTGGAGTGCAATGAGGGTGTGCCAAGTGAGCACCGATTCATTGGAGGTGTTGTTTAGTGAACCATTAGTTTACTTTGCCTACATGGGTAACATTTTCGGAGACTGTTTTCCATGTAGTTAATGAGAAAAAAAAAGTCAGACATCATTTAATATGATTCAAAGTTTGGTCTACTGATGCAGAGACAAAATGTTAAGTGGCTATTAACATGTAATTGGGAAGGGCATTTGGACTAATTTGGATTTTTCCACATTGATTGTGAAATGAATCAGTAACTGTTTTTCCTCCCTACCCTAATTCTTACTCCTTCCAGCATGCCCAGAAAAGCAGCACCTTGGTGAAATCTGCTCAGAAGGGACTTCACATTTCTCCAAGTTTCTCAACTACTTCTGATCTCTCTCTGTCTCTGTCTCTGTCTCTCTCTTTTCTTGTTTTACATTGTCAGGCATTTGAGCAAAGGTGCTCTTCTGCTTTCGAGAACCCTTGTTGCTGGTCGTCTTCTCTCCCTCTCTCCCATTCTTACTCTTCCTTCTGCTCTTTCAGAAATTTTAGTTCGACTCGTGCTTAATTGCCTGATTCTGCCTCCCATCTTAGGCAGCAAAGAAATCTGTTTCAAGTCCCTCTATCTCCTTTAAATCATGGGTTTATGTTGCTTTTTTCCAGCCTTCCAAAAGTTGCTGGGGAAAACATCTGAAGCAAGCCCACACACTGGAGAAAATGGTCTCTGATGACAAAATGTCTCCTAGTAAATACATTTATTATTTTATCTTCATCGTCTTCACCACCCAGAACATTCTCTGTCCTCAAGGCCTTCATCCTAACATCCCATCTTTGCTGATAGTTATGGAACTCAAGTTCTGTTTCCATCAGAAGACCAACAGCATTGGTTTACCTGTAGCCTGCCCTCGCCCCAGACCAGTGTATTTCTCACAGAGATGCTGCTCCCCATGGAATTCACCTCTCTACCCACCCTGTATATTCGGCTTTTCCTGTACCCACATTCACTGTCTCCTTTCTAAAATGATAGCTTCTTCTCCATCAGGTTCTTTCCTTTAATCTTCATATAGGAAATAGAAAGTATCTGTATTTAAAAGAGACTGGCCAATCCCTTTGCTTGGCTGCACTGCCTCTAACGGTTGAGTTCTTTTTTACAACCACCTCCCACCATGTATTTCTGGACAGTTTCTGGGACCAAAGTCAATAACCAGGTCTCCTGAATTGTGCTTCACTTGTCACTCAGTCCCAAAGATCATCTTCTTCTCTTTCTTCTTTCTCCAATATGTAATTATTCACCCAGTCTTGCCTAGTAATTTTGGTAATATAGTGAAGACCGCTCCTTTTTTCCCAGTGCCTCAGCGTGGAGCCCTCAACTGCAGTGGTCTCTGATCTGTCTTTCACCTGTGAATCTCCTGTGGTCTGGTTCCTCTTACACAGTATTATCAGTCGATTCTTCTTGCCACACCCAGCGTAGGTAGCCCTCACGGCTCTACAGTGCCCGCTTGATGTGTGTCGTGAAGGGGTAACTGGAGCCAGTGTCTGCGGTGACGGGACACTAAGAATAAGGACCAGCTCCACCATCTGGGGAAAGTGCCTGTGGACATCCGGGCAGCCCTCAGTGCCTGGGGCAGCTCAGAAGTTAGCTCAGAAGTTAGGGAGTTCTGAGGTTCTCAAGAGGTATCAGAGCCTGCAGCACCATTTGGTCAGTACAAGAAACAAGATTTAGCTTTCTTTCTGAGAAAATGCCAGAACAATAGAAGAACAATAGACACCTCAAGCACGTGTACTGGTAGTGATGCTATTTTGATTGAGGTGACCAGAGGCAGAAGAGGACCTAATCTTCAAGGAAAGCATTGCCCAGAGAAAGAGTGCAGTGGGGCAGACAGAGCCAGATGTTGTCCTGGCGTGTAGCGTCCCTCGGAAGGAGGATGCTCTGGAGAGCTACTGTACAGCGTGCCAACTGTAGTTAATAATAATGGACATGTGAAAATTGCCAAGAGGGGATTTTAAATATTCTCACCACAAAAAATGCTAAGGATGTGAGGTGATGGATATATTCATTCGCTTGATTATACCATTCCACAACGTGTAGACACATCAAGGCCTGATGTGGTACATCATAAATATGTACAGTTTTTATTCATAAATTAAGAATACACATGAAAAAACACTTATTAAAGGAGAGGGGCCGGGCGCGGTGGCTCATGCCTGTAATCCCAGCACTTTGGGAGGCTAAGGCGAGTGGATCATGAGGTCAGGAGATCGAGACCATCCTGGCTAACACGGTGAAACCCCATCTCTACTAAATAAACAAAAAATTAGCTGGGTGTGGTGGTGAGCACCTGTAGTCCCAGCTACTCGGGAGGCTGAGGCAGGAGAATCTCTTGAACCCAGGAGGTTGAGGTTGCAGTCAGCTGAGATTGCATCATTGTACTCCAGCCTGGGTGACACAGTGAGACTCCCTCTCAAAATAAATAAATAAATAAATAAATAAATAAATAAATAAATAAATAAATAAAATAAAGAGAGCAAGCGATCAATTCTGAAATTTTGAGAGTCTGCAGGAAGTCTCTCCATGTCTGCTAGTTGCTGATCACCCTTCCCTTAGGTACTGTGGTTACAGGGAGAACCAGAAAGGAAAGACAGAAAGAAGGTGTGCATGAGGAGGCTCTTGGTGTGCTAGTTAAATAACACTAGGTTGTTGACTTTTAAAAAATGTTTTAAAGCATGCTGTTTTTTATATAGAACAATTTATTTCTTGGGAGAGGCAGACATGCCACCTCAGATACATTTATATTTTTCGTTTATTAGCCCATGTTTCCTCCTTGCCAAGCACCCATTGAAAGCCATGTTACATAGTTTGCCTGAAAATCAGCAATGCATGTAAGGTTTCTACTTTACTAGTGTGGTGCAAGAACATGGCTTTTTTTCCTAAAAAATAAAAATCTGAAATTAGCTAGGAAAGGAACAAATTTGACAGTATGAAATCTAGAGAAATGAAGGCATGATTTATGCTTGGACCAAAATTTATTTACTGGAATGCTGAATCAACAGTAACATAAAGGACCCCCTTATGAGGGGTCCCCCAACATAAGGGACCCCTCATTACCAAAAATACTAATGAGTTAGACATACTATTGATTTTTTTAAGGGTGCTTTGGAAATAATAGGCTATAATGAAAATTAGGAGTGTAACATCAAATTCTGAATCAGGAGGAGGCAGTGGAGGTGGTTACTTTCAGATTCTTTATCTCATGATCTTCTGTGTCTAGAGAGCCCTTTTTTAACGAAGGAAATCTGATCACTGCACTGTTATTACTGCTGGGCTGTGTTTCAGGAGTCGGAAATTGTAGCCTTTGGAACAATGCAGCTTTCCCTCTGCAATTGTTCTGGACACATTCCTGAGCATCTCTGGTTTGAATTTCTACAATGTAATTGTTGCCAGTTGATGTTTAAAAGGTTATTATTTTAAATATTTGATTAACATGGATAGTAAAACGTGCTTTGTTAAAGAAAGAAAGGAATCCTGTGAATTCTAGATAGCCTTATCATCAGAAACCATTTTTTCCCCAAGTTGACTAACATGGAAAATACAAAAGCTCAGATTTTGAAGAACTTTTGTAAAAACGCATCACATAGTTTCAGCATTAGCAGTTCTTCAATCTTTTGTTATCTGGAAAGATTATAAAAATCTAGAGATTTCACTATTCTTAAGTGTGAATTGTATTTTATAATACATAATTTTAGAGGAAAAAAAGGGCCAAATACTGACTTGTTACTTGAGGGACTTAAGAATAAACACATCTGATTATATCATAATGAAATCTGAAAATAAATGTTTGGCAAAATGTCTGTAATTCATGATAGAAACTGAGTTTCATTAAGTAATTAGCAAAAAAATGTACTTTTTCTTATTCATTCAATATAACAGCATTGCCTTGACTTCTTCACTTTCTAGCCTGCATCACAGGTTTTTTTACAGGCTTTCATATCTCTGGCAGTTTTCTACTATTTATGAGTTGAGCATTTTATGAAATTCTATTTGTTTCAATTTAATAATAAAGCCATTTTACTCTAAAGCAGCTTCTTGCATTAACTTTTCTCTTCATAATCAGCTTAAATTTAATGTAAACACACATTTTAGTTAATCTTAATTCACTTGTCTCTGAGTATTCTGCCCGATTCTTATTATTTAACTGAGCATGCCTCGAAGATAGGTACCATGTCAGCTGGTCCCTTTGCTTGACACACAGCAAAGAAAATTTTTAAAGCATAATTTATGCTTTCCTAACAAAAAAATTGACATTTCCATTATATCATACAGTTTCTCAGTTTGAGTGGGGAATACCCTATTCTCTGAGCAGTTCATCTAAAAAGCAACGGAAGGGCAGTATCTTGGTAGTGAATGGGGTCTAAGCCTTAGTATTCCACTACTGCTAATTGAGGGCTTGGGTTGAATGGATAATTAACACCCACAGTTTATTGGAAACCTCATTTTAGTAAGTAGTTTTAACTTCTTCCTTCACTGAACCTCTCCTAGAGTTGCTAATGTATAGCAACATGGACTGATTTGAATTCCAACTCCTTTAATTTCGCAGCCTTCTTTCTGTTGGAGGTGCTTAGAAGCAGGAATACAATCAAAAGGCGTGAAGACACAGGGGAAGAAGAAATCGAAGAGAGAATAGAAACAGTTAAAAATTTTTTCTAAACAGATTTCCAATTCTGGCCAAGATGGAATAGTGCCATTCCTCCCAGGTCCTTCCTCCTGGAACACAAAACTCTGGCCATAACACAACAAATAAACACAGGAAGAATCTGAAGGTTGAAAGAGAAAGGCAGCTTGCCTGAGAACCTCAGGACTTGAGGAATGATGCTGCGTTGAGTTCCTTAGGTTTTCTTTTTGCCTTTCATGTATCCCAGATACTGCTCTGGGAAGTCTGCAACCTGACACTGCTGACAAGCAGACAGACACACAAACAAACAAACACCAACAAAAAAGCCCCCGCGAAAGGACCAGGAAAAAGATGGTCTAAGAGCACAAAAAACTTTTTGATAATGCCTACCCTACTCCAGCCAAACACCATCCAAAAGCTGCATGCACTTCCTCCTCGTTTCAGCAGTCAAGCTGGGAGCTAATCTTTCACCCACCACTGAGTAGAAACAGGAGGATGTGCTCCCAACATACAGAAGAACCAAACGACACCATCAGTCAACAGGATTTGATTGACACTTATAGAACATTTTACACAACAAAAGCAGAATAAACATTCTTTTCATCTGCCCAGAGAGCATTTCAGAAGATAAACCATACCATGAGTCTTAAACAAACTCTAGTACATTTAAAATATTAGTATTATACAGTTTATGTTTTCTAAGCATAGTGAAATCAAACTAGAAATCAGTGACAGAAAGATAACACTAAATCACTAAACACTTGGAAGTTAAACAGTAAACTTTTAAGTAATCCATAAGTCTAAGAGAAAGTCTCAAAGAAAATAAAATGATACATAGTACTGAATGAAAATGAAAATGCAGCATATCAAAATTTGGAGTGCACAGTTAAACCAGTGCTGATGGTGAAATTGTAGCACTGAACGATTAAAAAAAAGAAAGAAAAAAAAACTCTCAAATTTAAGTCCTCAAAAACTAGTAAAGGTAGATCAAAACAAACCCAAACCAAGCAGATGATTTTGTCTTATTTTTATTTGTTTATTTATTTATTTTGAGATGGAGTCTCATTCTATTGCCCAGGCTGGAGTGCAGTAATGCTGTCTCCGCTCATTCACCCTCCACCATTTGGGTTCAAGTGATTCTCCTGCCTCAGCCTCCCAACTAGCTGGGACTCCAGGTGCACACCACCACGCCTGGCTAAATTTTGTATTTTTAGCAGAGACCGGGTTTCACCACGTTGGCAAGGCTGGTCTCAAACTCCTGGTCTCAAGTGATCTGCCCACCTTGGCCTCCCAAAGTACTGGGATTACAGGCATGAGCCCCTGTGCCCAGCCCAAACCAAGCAGATGTAAGAACATTATAAAGATAAAAGAAGAAATAAATGAAATTGAAAACAAAAACCAATAGAGAAAGTTAATCAAATAAAAATTTTTATCTTGCCCCCCAAAATCAATTAATTTGATAAACCTTGGACAAAAATAAAAAGAGAAAGACATCAATGTCAGGAATGAAACAGAAGCTATCACACATCCCACATACGCTTAAAAGAAAATAAGGGAATACCACGAACAATTTTATACATATAAATTCAACACTTCAGAAAAAATAGACCAATTCCTTAAAAAACAAAAGTTACTAAAATGTACCCAAGATGAAGTAGAGAATCTTAGTAGTCCATTAATGACTAAAGAAATTGAATTTGTAATTAGAAGTTCCCAAAAAAGAAATCTCTGGGCCCAGATAATTTCGCTGGAGAATTCTATGGTACATTTAAAGAAGAATTATTACTAGCTGTATGCAGTCTCCTCTAGAAAATAGAAGAGGAGGGAACCATTCCCAACTAATTTTACGAAACCAGTATTACACTGATACCAGGAAGAAAGACAGTGTACTAAAGGAAATCATGGAACAAAATCTCTCAAGAACAATGGCACAAAAATTCTGAACAAAATATGGGCAAATCAAAGCCAGCAATATCTTAGAGGAATTATATGCCATGACCAAGTGTGATTTATTCCAGGTGTGCAAGGCTGTTTGAAGAGTTGAAAATCAACCAGTGTATCCACAGTATTGACAGGCTAAAGAAAAAAATTGTAGGCAAAAAAAAAAAAAAAAAAAAAAAAAAGCATTTGAAAAATACAATACCCATTCATGATAAAAATTGTAAATAAAAAAATAAATTATCAAGACTTTTACAGAAAAAAAAAGAATAGGGGAGAATTTCCTTAATTTATAAAGAGAATCTACAAAAATCCTACAGCTGTCATTATAGTTAAAGGTGAATGACTGGATTTTTTCCCCCGATTGTGAACAAGGCAAAGATATCCACTTTCACCTATCTTATTTTAGCTACTTTAGTAAAGCACAGGTGATAAATAGAAAACATACAGATTGGGAAGGAAGAAATACAACAGTCTCTGATTGACGTGGTTATCCACATAATAAATCCCAAAGAATTTATATAAAAACTTCTGGAACTGATAAGTGAATTAAACAAGATTACTGGATACAGGATCAACACAAAAATCAATCACATCTATATGCTAACAACAAATATGTGGGAACTGAGATTAAAATAAAGACATAACATTCAGAATCACTCTAAGAAAATGAAGTACTTAGGTATAAACTTAATAAAACAAGTGTAGAAACTGTATGCTGAAAAAATGCTGTTAAAAGAAATGAAAGAAGACCTAACTAAATGGAGAAACTTCCCGTTTTCATGAATTGGAAGACTTACCATAGCAAAATGTCAATTCTCCACAAATCAATCTATAGTTTTATGCAGTCCCTATCAAAGTCCCAGCAAGGATTTTTGTACACACAGACAAACATACTCTAAAATTTATATTGAAGTCTGGGAGAAGGGGATTTATACTGAAGTCTGAAGACAGGGATTGCATAAAAGCTATAGACTGATTTGAGGAGAATCCCAGTCTGGGAGGACACTGTGGGGGAACATTCTGCACAATGGTTACGCTTGCTATATTACCACAGTAGTCAATGGAATAGAATAGTCAATTCAGAAATAGACCCACACAAATATGCCCAACTGATTATTTGTTTGTTTGTTTGTTTGTTTATTTATTTTGAGATGGAGTCTTGCTCTGTCGCCCAGGCTGGAGTGCAGTAGTGCGATCTCTGCTCACTGCAAGTTCCGCCTCCCGGGTTCATGCCATTCTCCTGCCTCAGCCTCCTGAGTTAGCTGGACTACAGGTGCCCGCCACCACGCCCGGCTAATTTTTTGTATTTTTAGTAGAGATGGGGTTTCACCGTGTTAGCCAGGATGGTCTCGATCTCCTGACCTCGTGATCTGCCCCTCTCGGCCTCCCAAAGTGCTGGGATTACAGGTGTGAGCCACCGTGCCTGGCCACCCAGCTGATTTTTAACAAAGGTTCCAAAGCAATTCAGTGGAGTGCCTTTATAACAGTGGTGATGGGCAAATGACTTTGACCTAAACCTCAGACTTACACAAACTCCAAAAAAAAAAAAAAACAAAAAACGGACTTAAATGTAAAATGTAAAACTTCGGAAAAAAACATAAAAACATCTTTAGGACATAGGGCTAGAAGAAGAATTCTTAAATTTAACACCAAAAGCATGATTCATAAAAGGAAAAATTGGTAGACTGAACCTCATCAAATTAAAACATTTGTTCTGCAAAAGACTCTAAAGACTCCGTACACTTAGAAAAAATATCTCCAAACCATGCATTTGACAAAGAACTTGGAGTATATAAAGAATTCTCAAAATTCAGCAGTAACAAACAATCCAGTCAGAAAATGGGCAAAACATATGCACTGACATTTCAGGAAAGAGTATATACAGATGGCCAATAAGCACATGCAAAAATGTCCAACATAATTAGCCATTAGCAAAATGCAAAAAAAAAGCCACAGTGAGATATTCCTAAACACCTATCAGAATGTCTGTAAGAATAATAAAAAAAAAGTGACACTGTTTAATACTGGGTAGAACGTAGAGAAGCTGGATTGATCACTCCTACGTTGCTGGTGGAAATTAGAAAATCATACAGCCACTCTGGAAAATAAGTTGGCAGTTTCTTATAAAATTAAATCTGCAGTTACCTTACAACCCAGCAATTGCACTCTGTGGCATTTATCTCAGAGGAATGAAAACCAGTAGTCACACAAAAACCTATAAACGAATGTTCACAGCATCTTTATTTTTAATAGCCTGAAACTGGAAACAAACTAAAATTGTGAATCGTTAAACAAGCTATGGCGCATTCAAACCATGGAATTCTATTCAGCAACAGAAAGAAACTATTGCTACAGGCACCAAATTGGATGGCGCTCATGGAATTATGCTTATTAAGCGTAAAGGTTACACTATATTTTATTTACATAATTATTATGAAATAATAAAATTACAGAGAAAGAGGACACATTAGTGGTTGCCAGTGATAGATGGCGGAGGCCAGTGGAGGAGGGGTGTGGGTAAAGAAGGTGACACCCGGAGCCTTGTGATGTGAGAAAAAAACTGAGCCCAGGAGGTCGAGGCTGCAGGGAATCTACGCCTATGATAAAATTGCATAGACCTATAGCTGTTCCTGCCCACATATGAATACACACCCACGAGTGCATGAAATCCTGGTGAAATCTGAATGAGGTCGTGGATTGTACCATATCACTTTCCTGGTTTTGATATTGTACTATAGTTACACAAGATGTAAACACTGAGAAAACTGGGTATGGAACCTCCCAGTACAATTTTTTTTACAACTTCTTAAGAATTTATTTTTCTTTCAAAATTAAAAAAATGTTAAACTTTCTGAAAACCTATTGAAATAGTTTGAATATATGTTTCTGCCTAATCTCACGTTGAACTGTAATCCCCAGTGTTAAGGTGGGGCCTGGTGGGAGGCGTTTGGGTCATGGGGACGAATTCCCTCATGGCTTGGTGCTGTCCTCATGGCTGTTAGTGAGTGAGTTCTCACGAGATCTGGTTGTTTACATGAAGCGTGTGGCACCTCCCCCTGCCAATCACTCTCTTGCTCCTGTTCTCGCCAAGGGATGTGCTGCTCCCACTTCACCATCCACCATGAGTAAAAGTTCCCCGAGGCCTCTCTAGCACCATGCTTCTTGCATAGACTGTGGAACTGTGAGCCAATTAAGCTTCTTTTCCTTATAAATTACCAAGTTTTAGGTATTTCTTTATAGCAATGCAAAAATGGTTTAATACACAAACACACACACGTATACACTTATATAAATAAATGTCAATAAGTAAAAATTTTCTTGAGGATATAACTTGAAAATTGAAAATATGATTTTTGATGTCGTGAGTTTGATACTGATTATTCAAGTTTTAATGAAAGTTTCTGTTATTGGTTGGGCACAGTGGCTCACACCTGTAATCCCAGCACTTTGGGAGGCCGAGGTGGGCAGATCACCTGAGGTCAGGAGTTAGAGACCAGCCTGGCCAACATGGTGAAACCTCGTCTCTACTAAAAATACAAAAATTAGCCAGGCATGGTGGCAGGCATCTGTAATCCCAGGTACTCGGGAAGCTGAAGCAGGAGAATTGCTTGAACCCAGGAGGCAGAGGTTGCAGTGAGCTGAGATGGCACCATTGCACCTCAGCCTGGGCAACAGAGCAAGACTCTGTCTCAAAAAAAAAAAGTTTTCTGTTATTGTTGATGAGTTAAGTTGAAAACGATTTCCACTGTAGTTATTAACTCTTTATTTCAATAAGGAAGCATAGTTTAAATTTTTAAAAATTACAAAACCAAAAGGCATGGGAGTTACAAAATTAGTTAAATGTTTATACAGCCTATCTAATTTTTTAAGTGAAATATCTGAGAATTTTCATGCTTGATTTTAATATCAAATTCAAATACTCAACCGCTGTGTCCTGAACCATGCCCAATTGCATGGATAAGAGCATGTAGATTGTGCTATTTTTATATGCGTCACTCAGAAAACCTCGCCCCGTGTAAAATTCCTTCTCTTTAGTTTGTGTGAAGCTTGGCTGGTGTTTTAGTGGGAGACACGATGTTGGTCACACTGGGAGGGGAATTAAGTACATAAGACTTTGTTTTGGGGTGAGTGGTCTCATTCTTTTTCCCTAGTTTCCTTCCCCATCAGTAAATGCATTCTCTTTCCTACTTAGCGGGGAGAGTTGAGAAAGAAGTTTGTTTTAGAGAAATCTGAAATGAGTTTCTTAGAGACGAGTGCTCAAAGCATACAAATTGCTGTTGATATTTGTGTGCATCTGCATTCATCTCTGGTGACCAATCTAATCACAGCTTGGAGTCAGTTGCTTGGTAGGAATGCAACTGGTGCAAGGTAAGTGTTCATAAAGAGAGGTGATCAGCAGATGGGGAAGACAGTCACTATAATGACAGAAAATGGCCTTTTCCTATTAAGGCTGTCGGATTACATTTTGCTGAGTAACAAAACATACAGAAAAACTAATGATGTTCACCTTCCCCACAATGTTGGATTTTCTTCACTCTGGCATAGACTGTCCATTGATCTAATGAAACCTTTATGTGAACACTTAGCTATACTCTGGCATTATTCTGACTTGAGAAATATTTACAATAATATATACCAGTAGCCAAAAGCCTACAATTTAGGGCAAGTTAAAGATTGTATGGTTAAATAACAACAGCCATCAGTCACAGTAGAACACTCAAAGAGACTAAGTAAATTGCTCCAAGGCATGTAGCCTTCGTGGAACTGGGATTCAACTCCTACCTGAAATCTTTCTCCTGCAGAGCTGAGGGGTGTGTTAGGGGCTGTGGGAAGAGTAGAGATGGGAGGCAGAAGAAAAGAGTATTGTCTATTTCATGTGTGCCATTTTCAAGGAGAAAACAAACTCCAGCTGGGCGCGGTGGCTCACACCTGTAATCCCAGCGCTTTGGGAGGCCGAGGCAGGTGGATCACGAGGTCAGGAGTTTGAGACCAGCCTGACCAACATGGTGAAACACCATCTCTACTAAAAATACAAAAATTGGCCTGGCGTGTTGGTGCGTGCCTGTAATCCCAGCTACTCAGGAGGCTGAGGCAGGAGAATCACTTGAACCCGGGAGGCGGAGGTTGCAGTGTGCTGAGATCCTACAACTGCACTCCCGCCTGGGCGCCATAGCGAGACTCTGTCTCAAAAAAAAAAAAAAAAAAAAAAAGAATCTCTAATGGCTAATGATAAGGTGAGGAGGCTTGTATAGATACTAGTCATTCCCAAATTAACATGTAAGATAAAATTCCAATTGGAATTATAACTTTTGGCAAGAACTTGATAAATTGATAAAGTTCATGTGACAGAATACATGGGTGAGAATAACAAAGTTTGGGAGAAAAAGATGAATTACAGGACTTTCCTTAAGCATTTAAAAAGCAGTTGGAAACGAGGGCAGGTCAGTCACAGCAAGATGATGTAGTGAATCAGTGGAAGAGAAAAGACAGTTCTGTAGCAGACACATTCATACATGGGGATTTAGACAGGTAATAAAGATGGTGCGTCAAGCCTTGGCAAAGGGATAGTCTACTTAAGGTGTTGGGTGAAAACATTAGACACAGTTTTCTATCTCATGCCACGTATGAAATATCTGATGGAGCAAAAGCTTGCGCATTTTAAAAGGACTTGGGAGAAAACATAAAGGAATATTTGGACCACATCTTGAATATAAGTTATAATCCTAGAGTAGGAGAGGCTTTTTTTTTTTTCAATACATCATAGACCAGAAACTAAAGAAGAACAGAGTTTAAACTAAAAATTGGGTAAAGAATGGATGGGACAATATTCACGCCAAAGGGTAAAGATCCAGTGCAGTAAAAGGACTCCCGGGCTTCAAAGACATCAGAGAGCCAGTCCTGGGAAGGACCCAAGAGGCAAACTCTAAGAGATACATGGATAGTGGTAATTGGGAGGCAGTCAGTATCAATGATATGCTTAGAGAGACATAAGGATAAGTCACTTTTCACCCAGCATTACTAAGGATATGGGAAAATGTGCTTCTGAAAAATGTCGTGTAGGAGTGCATAAGGGGCCAGTATAAAAAAAACCGCGTACTTTTAACCCAGAAATTGCATTGTGAGGATTTTCCTCCGAAAATATTTACATGATTGTTACAGAGATTCTAATTGCATCCTTTAGAACTGCAAATACTCATAGTAGGAAAGGCTGGTTAAATTAGCATAAATACTGTCAGACAATTGGGTAAAACTCTCCAAAGAGTGAGGAGGGCCAAGGCAGGAGCATCTCTTGAGACCAGGAGTTTGAGACCAGCCAGGGCAACATAGCGAGACCCCCATCTCTACAAAAAATTAAAAAGATTAGCAGACATAGTGGTGCATGCCTGTAGGCTCACCTACTCGGGAGGCTGAGGCAGGAGGATCCCTTGAGCCCAGGAGTTTGAGACTGCAGTGAGCTAGGATCCTGCCAGGGCACTCCAGCCTGGGGGACGGAGTGAGACCCTATCTCCAAAAAACAGACAAACGAAAATGAGGTGTATATACTCACATGATGCTGCAGTCATAAATATTTGCAAAACCAGCATACGTAGGATGGACATGAATTTAGAAATAAATGTATATAAACCGGAAGTGACCAAGAAGGGTGATGTGTTTAGTTCTTTTAGGAGGTGTCAGGGAGATGAAGTCATAGGTTGCTTACATGTATATGTGTATAAGATTGTCTTTTTAATGGAGATGGAGATACTGGACAGCAGACTGTGATGACTGTGATGGGTCTCGTCTGTCAGTGTCTGGTAATGGCACTGTGCCCATTGGAAAGGCTACCATGTTTATTTTCCTTTTTTTCTTCTCTGAAGAATATGTAGAAATCACTGAAAGCAACTATTCATCATATGATGGGGAACTCAATTCATATAAGGCTTCTGCATTTTCCACTCTGACCCTAAGCTTGGTACTTCAAGGGATGAAAGATTAAAAAGAAAAGGAAGTAACACCAGATAAAGTCCATATAGGAATTTTTTTGCTATGTGCTTGTATAAAGTACTGGTGTACACACACACACACACACACACACACACACACACACACTTATTCCTCCCTCGCCCATCCTGCCATTCTACAGGTGAGGAAATCGAGGCATTCTGTGAGTTCTCCTGGCCCATCTGAAATTCTGACTCAGAGTCGGCTCCGTGCTGCTCCCGCCATCTCCCCCTCCAAGTACTTCCAGCAGTGCTTGTGTGTGTTGGGGAACCTGGGAGGTGTCTTATGGCACATTGTGCACACCAGCAGACTCTGAGAGTGAATGAGTACATTCTTAGTACTCTGCTGGGACAAGCAGGAGTGGCCAAGGCTGTCCTGGACAACGTGGGGCCACCAAAACTGACCATCACGTTAGATGTGGCTCCTATTGCCTGATACTGTGAATGTGCTTCACAGCACAGATTAGGAAAAGTCCTGTGAGGATTCCAAGGAGGGAGAGCCAAGCCTCAGCTGTGGAGACAGGGAGGCTTCCTGGGGTGCCCACGGGACAGAGGGAGGTTGTCCTGGTCCCTTGGGTGCTCCAGAGGAGGAGGAGAGAAGACAGACCCAGTGAGTGGACCAGGTGCTTTCGGGCTGCAGTGGACCTCAGATGCAGGTGCTCCTTCAGCCATTTCTCCTGCCAGGAACACAGCCCAGTCCCCAGGTCCTCACTGCAGCGTCCTTGTCATCTGCTTGGCGGTATCCTTTGATCCTTGAAGAGCCAGCCTGTCTTCCCCCTCATAGTGAACCCCCTCTCCTATTCAGCCAGGGTGAATTGATCACTACTTCTACCCCATTGGGCCCCTGAGCCCTGCATTCACTTCAGCTGCACTTTTCACATTATCCTGAGTGTTGGCTCATTGGAGTGTGTCCCCTGTGGGCTTCCCGTTCCTACAGAACAGAGACACCAGCCTAGCTCCCCTACCTGCTCGCCAAGCCTAGCACCTGGCACACTGTGAGGATGGGGATGGTGGGGGGATCTCAAGTCACTTGGTCAGCCCTGGGAAGCTGCCGATTGTTGTTTCAGCAAGAGAGTGATGATACCCACACTGGCTTAGAGGAAGATCATTTTGTTGACACGTTGTTTAAAAGCAAGGGAGTCTTGGAGGCAGAGACAAATGAGCGGCTCGTGCAGGTGTCACGGCAGGAAGTGGAAAGGTCTCTGTTAAGAGGCTTGCTCTAGCAAATCTCTTGTGTGCAGCCCCTTTTGTTTTCTGAAGATAAGAATGGATTTTATCTTAACCCCATTATCCTGTTTTCTGTTTTATAAATTCTTTTCCTAGCATAAAGGAAAGATAAACGATGGATAGTCCAATTAAGAAAAGTGATGGATATTCCAATTATCCTGATTTGATTTGTACACATTATGTGAACATAACAAAATATCACATATATCCCCCCAAATATACACATCTATTATGTATCAATAAAAATCTTTTTCTAATAAATTTTCAAACTTCATTTTTCCAAATTTATAGTCTAGACACCTAGTATTTGCTATTTAGAAATACCTGGTCAATGAGAAAAGGAACGCTCACCCTGCCTGCCAAACCGGCCCCTCCTTGCATTGTGAATATTTGGTGTAGAAAGGTGAATTAATTAATGCATTAATTCACTCAGCAAATATTTACTGAACACCTGCTGATCCCTTCATAGATTTCTGTTTCCCAGCAACAGTATCGGACCAACCATTGGCTATAAACAAGTAGTTTTTGTCAACAAGGATAAAGCTGTCTGGATTTTTAGGGAAGTTAACTATTCCTTCTACTCGGCACTTCTGAAACAAGCAGAGACGAGAATAAGCTGCACACAGTGGTGTCTACTTGGCCAAGCGTCGCTGTTGTTTGAGAACAAGCTGGTGTGGGTTTCTGTAGACACTGACCTTACTGAGTGTGATGTAGGACGGCCAAGTGGAGCAGACAGGGCTGGGCTGGGCGAGGCTGGACAGAGGTGCCCTATCCGCCTCCCAGTGTCAGCTGTGCTAGGACTCCATGGAGCATCAGCACCAGGCAGTGATGAGCTGGGTCACTGCGGGCCACGGTGTCCCTTCTCTAAGCCCATATTTGAGCTCCTATCTTTGCAATTTATCTATCAGGGTTGTTGTTGGAATTAAATTAGACATATTGTTAGGAAAGAAAACTGCACGTGCTGAATACATCCTAGGTCTTTCTTCCCCTTTTTTTCTGTTTACCTCATCAAATGTGAAAAACCCACTTTCTCTTCCTCTGTTATGTAATTGTTTCTGTTTTATTAAGATATATGGCTAATTTCTCATGGATAAATGCATCTAACCCTCAGGCTGAGATAGCTCAGGGAGCCAGGGAATGTGGACAGAGAGTAAGCCCTGGTCCTCCTGGAAAGTGAGACTGAGCCTCTCTCCTGATTGCAGCAAAGTTACACGTTGTCTGGGACGGAATTCCAAGGTAGGATGGGAGGTGGTAACAACAGGTGCAGTTACAGAGGGAAGATAAGTACAAAGAAGGGGGTGAACAGGCAAGGGCGCCGTGAGAGTCAGTCCTTGCGGTTTGCAGTCTCAGTGTGTGAGAGTATTCACCACAAGCTTAGCTTTCCCTGCCAATGTATTGTATTGTTTATTGAGGTCCCTTTAAATAGTTTCAGCCAAAAAAAGGAATTATAATTCTCATAGAAGACAAGGAGACAGGGACAAAGGTTCTCTCAGGTGCAGCTGGTAGAAAGAGAAATCCGTCCTTTTTGTCAGTAAGCCCAAGACTGGACGGGTGCTGTGGCTCATGCCTGTAATCCCAGCATTTTGGGGGGCGGAGGCGGGTGGATCAACTGAGGTCAGGAGTTCTAGACCAGCCTGGCCAACATTGTGAAACCCCGTCTCTACTAAAAATACAAATATTAGCCAGGCATGGTGGCCGGTGCCTGTAGTCCCAGCTACGTGGGAGGCTGAGGCAGGAGAATTGCTGGAACTGGGGAGGTGGAGGTTGCAGTGAGCCGAGGTCACACCATTGCACTCCAGCCCAGGCGACAACTCCATCTCAAAAAACAAAACAACAACACGAAGAAGAACAACGACAACAAAAAAAACAAAACATAAGCCGAAGACTCTTCAAAAAGTCGATAAATTTTGCCTAGTAATTTCTCTTCCAGCAATCAACCACACAGAAACATTCAGGAACTTAGACAAGGACTCGTGCCCCATTGTAGTTTTAGTAGCAAGAAAGGAGAAACAAACTCAGTGTCCAGTGAGTAATTGTATATTGAAACGATAGAATATTACACAGCAATAAAAATTCATGTCTTCAGAACTATTTCCTTATGGGAGAATGTTTATATAACATTAAGTAAAAAAGTATGATATGAAAGTGTATGAACAGAATGATCCCCTAGTGTGTGTATATATAAGAACTGGGCTGGACAGTGGTACCCTGTCCACATCCCAGGGTCAGCTCTTGTATATATAAAAGAGTTGATTTTATTTTAACCCCATTATCCCCTTTTGTACACACGCACACACACACACACACACATTGTAGTAAATTAAAATATTGACTTTCCACCTGGATAGATTACAGGAAGTTCTTTTGGTTTATTCTGTGTACTTCTTTATTATTTTTCAAATGTTCTATCTTCTACCCTCTGTTTTTCCCGCCCCTGTCCTAAAGACATTCATTGAGCACATACACATAGCAGGGGCC
Organism: Homo sapiens; assembly: GCF_000001405.40. Lineage (NCBI taxonomy): Eukaryota > Metazoa > Chordata > Mammalia > Primates > Hominidae > Homo > Homo sapiens. The sequence continues at coordinate 26,737,449 of NC_000015.10, read as the reverse complement.
TGAGGACTGACAGGAAGAGTCTCTTTCCATTGTCCTGCAACATTCATCTTTAGTTTCAGTTTTTATCTTGGTGAAAATGTTTTCATTTATATAGTCAAAGAAACAAAACGCACCTGATTTCAAATCACTTTGGTGGTTGACTGTGCAGTCCTCTTGTTTTCCATGCTCAGTCTTGTTTTGTACAGTGAGTTCTTCCTTCCCTGGGCTATCGAGTCATCACTGCTTTTGAGGTCCCAGCCTTTTGAAGCATGCACCAGAATCACACAGACAGGGACCACTTTTCCAGTCAGATATCTCACTAGCAAATCACAGAGGGGGCAAGCTCCAGTGGCCTCAGCCGTGTTCTCTGGAACAGACCTAGAGAGTTTCTCTCATTGCGACAGCACTTTAGAGGGCGGTGGTGTCCCTGGAGGCCTGGTGGTGCCACAGGAGGCTAAGAGGGAAAATCAAGGACGTTAAACCCAAAAGGACAAGGCTGTGCTTTGCCAGCTGCCCTCCTTAGTGGAAAATGCACTCTTTGCAGACCTAACCTGGGAAGTGCCGGTGACTTTTGCATCAAAGTCAAAGGATGTTCTCATTCACCCAGCAGCTTCAGACCCCTTTGGCCCTCTCCCTGTCCAGGCCTGTGGCCATTGAGTTATGGGTTCATTCAGTCAGTGTTCCCTGAGGATTTGCTACCTGCCTATCCTCACAAGAACCCACATTGTGTGATGTGCAAATGGAACACATTCTAGCGAATTCCTTTCTTAGGTCACAAAGCTACCCTATGCTCCAGATCCACTGTCCTGCAGCACCCCACCCTATGGAAGTTGGAATGCTGGCCTCTCCTGCGGGAGCTGGGCCTCCTCCCTGCTGCCCCGGCTCACTGCCGAGGGGCAGCTCACAGAGTGACATTGCAATATGCTTTCCTCAAACTCCGGATTGAAGTTGCCTGATACAAACATTTAGCAAACAATTTCAGAAGGAGTACTTCTCAAGACAGCAATTTCTGTCATGTTTTATTATTTCCTTCCCTGTAAACTGTTAACCATTTACCTCAGGTTAAAATGAAGCACAAGTTATGCCTTATAATTTTATCATGTTATTGAATAGTGTATTTCTTGTCTGCTTTATACTAATGGGAAAGTAACTGTATGTGATTCTGCCAATGATAGTGCCTTATGTAAGTAGCTTATTTAAAAAATTATTTATTTATTTTTATTGAGGTAAAATACATAAAATTTACCATCTTGACCATTTTAAAGTGCACAGGTTAGTTGCATTAAATGCATTTGCACTTTTGTGCAATAATTGCCACTATCCTTCTCCATAATGCTTTTCAGCTTGTAAAACTGAAACTGTGTACATTAAATAGTAACTCTGCACACCTCTCCCCTCAGTCCCTAGCAGCCATCACCTTACTTTCTGTCTCTGTGATTTTTACTGTCTAGGATCTCATATAAATGGAATTATATAGGATATGTGTTTTTAGAACTGGCTTTTTTTTTTTTTTTTGAAGACAAGGTCTCTCTCTGTTGCCCAGGCTGGAGTGCAGTGATACGGTCATAGCTCACTGCAGCCTCAACCTCCTGGGCTCAAGTGATCCTCCTGCTTCAGCCTCTGAAGTAGCTGGGACCACAGTCATGTGCCACCATCCCCCACTAATTTTTTATTTTTACTTTTTTGTGGAAATGGGGTCTCCCTATATTGCCCAGGCTGGTCTCAAACTTTTGGGCTCAAGCGATCCTTTTGCCTTGACCTCCCAAAGTGCTGGGGTTACAGACATGAGCCACTGGGCCTAGCATGACTGGCTTCTTTCACTTAGAATAATGGCCTCAAGGTTTATCCACATTGTAGCTTGTGCCAGAATTTCCTTCCAGCTTAAGGCTGACTAATATTCCCTTCTATAGATATACCACAATTTGTTTATCCACTCATCTGTGGATGGATTCCTGGGTCACTTCTACATTTTAGCTATTGTAAATAATGCTGCTATGAACATGGGTGTACAACTATCTTTTTGCAAACTTGCTTCCGATTCTTTTGGGTGGGATTCCCAGAAGTGGAGTTGCTGCAGTTTTATCCAGAAGTGGAACTGCTACCTCATATGGTAATTCTATTTTTAATTTCTTTATAAAGGCCACACTGTTTTCCATATTGGCTATACCATTTTACATTCCCATCAACAGTGCATAAGCATTCCAATTTCTTCACATCCCGATCAACACTTGTTATTTTCTCTTTGTTTGTTAGTAGCCATTCTGTTGGGTATGAGGTAGTATTTCATTGTGGTTTTGATTTGTAGTCCCCTAATGATGAATGAAATTGAGCATCTTTTCATGTGCTTATTCGCCATTTGTGTATCTTCTTTGGAAAAATGCTTGTTTATGTCTGTTGTTCATTTTTGAAATGGGTTGTTTTTTGTTGTTGAGTTGTAGGAGTTTTCTATATATTCTGGATATCAATCCTTTATCAGATATATGACTTGCAAACATTTTCTCCCATTTTGTGGGTTGCCTGTTTACTCTACTGATAGGGTTTTGTTTTGTTTTGTTTTGACTGGTTCTTGCTGTGTCGTACAGGCTGGAGTGCAGTGGCACAATCACAGCTCACTGCAGCCTCAACTTCCCAGGCTCAAGCCATCCTCCCATGTAGTTGGGACCACAGGTACACACCACCACTCCAAGATAAATTTTTTAGAGATGGGGTCTTGCTGTGTTGCCCAGGCTGGTTTTGAACTCCTGGATTTAAGCAATCCTCCTCCCTTGGCTTCCCAAAGTGTTGGGATTACTGGTATGAGCCACTACACCAGGCTTTTTTTTTTTTTTTTTTGAGACTCACCCTGTTGCCCAGGCTGGAGTGCAGTGGTGTGACCATTGTTCATTGTATCCTTAAACTCCTAGGCTCAAGTAGTCCTCCAGCCCCAGTCTCCCAAAGTCCTGAGATTGCAGGCATGAGCCACCTCACCCAGCCAGATAGTGTTTTCTGACATGCAATGTTTTAAAATTTTGATTACATTCAGTTTGTCTGTTTTTTTCTTTTGTTGCCTGTGCCTTTGATGTCATATCCAGGAAGTCACTGCTAAATACAATGTTGTGAAGATTTTGCCCTGTGTTTTCTTCTAAGAGTCCTATAGTTTTGTCCAGGTATGGTGGCTCATGCCTGTAATCCCAGGACTTTGGGAGGCCGAGGCAGGCGGATCACCTGAGGTCGGGAGTTCAAGACCAGCCTGACCAACGTGAAGAAACCCCATCTGTACTAAAAACACAAAAAATTAGCTGGGTGTGATGGTGCATGCCTGTAATCCCAGCTACTCGAGATACTGAGGTAGGAGAATTGCTTGAACCCAGGAGGCGGAGGTTGTGTTGAGGCGAGATCATGCCATTGCACTCCAGCCTGGGCAACAAGAGCAAAACTCTGCCTCAAAAAAAAAAAAAAAAAAAAAAAGCCCTATAGTTTTAGGGCTTACATTTAGGTTTTTTACCTATTTTGAGTTAATTTTTGTATATGGTGTTAGATAAAGGTCCACCTTCATTCTTTTGCATGTGGATATCTGGCTTATCCAGTAACATTTGTTCAAAAGACTGTCCTTTCCCTATTGAACAGTCTTGACTCCCTTGTCAAAAGTCATTTGTTCATATATTCCAGCATTTATTTCTGAGGCCTCTATTCTATTCCACTGGTCTGATCTGTGTGTCTGTGTTTACATCAATGCCATATTGTTTTGATTACTGTTGCTTTGTAGTAAGTTTTGAAATCAGGAAGTGTGAGTGCTCAAGCTTTGTTCTTTTTCAAAATTGTTTTGGCTATTAGGGATTCCATATGAATTTTATGATGGGCCTTTCTTTTTCTGCATAAAACATCAATGGGTTTTAGAATTGTATTTAATCTGTAGATCACTTTGTAGTATTGTCATCTTAATGTTAAGTCTTCAAAATCATGGACTTTGTTTTCATTTATTTATGTCTTTATAGTCTTTTAGCAGTATTTCATAGTTTTTATTGTACATGTCTTTCACCTCCTTGGTTAATGCCTAAGTATTATTATTTTTTATTGTATCATGAATAAAATTATTTCTGTAACTTTCTTTTCAGGTTGCTCATTGTTACAATATAGAAATACAGGTAATTTTTGTGTGTTGACTTTGTATCCTGCTACTTGGCTTAATTTATATCTATTAGCTATAACAATTTGTGTGTGTGTATGTGTGTGTAGTATGTATTTTCTACATAAAATATCATATCATCCATAAAGGGAGAGAATTTTACTTTTTTCTTTCCAATTTGAATGCCCTTTATTTATTTTTCTTGTCTAATTGCTGTGGCTAGAACTTCCAGTACTATGTTGAATAGAAGAGGAAACAGCAGGCCTTCTTGCCTCGTTCCTGATCTTAGAAGAAAAATTCAGTTTTTCAGCATTGAGTGTGATGTTCACTGTGAGTTTTTCATATATGGCTTTTTTTTTTTTCTATTAGAGACAAGGTCTTACTCTGTCACTCAGGCTGGAGTGCAGTGGCACAATCATAGCTCACTGAAGCCTCAAACTCCCGGGCTCAAGGAATCCTCCTATCTTAGCCTCCAGAGTAGCTGGGATGACAGGCACATACCACCACTCCCGGCTAATTAAAAAAAAGAATTGTATTTTAGTAGAGATGGGGTTTCATCATTTTGGCCAGGATGGTCTTGATCTCCTGACCTCGCGATCCACCTGCCTCGGCCTCCCAAAGTCCTGGGATTACAGCTGGCCACGGTAGCGCGTGCCTGTTATCCCAGCTACTCAGCGGGCTGAGGCAGGGGAATTGCTTGTACCTGGGAGGTGGAGGTTGCAGTGAGTCGAGATAGTGCCACTGCACTCCAGCCTGGCAACAGAGCAAGACTCCATCTCAAAAAAAAAAAAAAATTTTTTTGGGAGAAAGGGGTCTCACTATGTTGCTCAGGCTGGTCTTGAAATCCTGGTCTCAAACAATTTTCCCATCTCTGCCTCCCAAAATGTTGTTCCCTGTTTTTTAAGAATCTTTAAACATGATGGAAGTTTTTGTGTTAATGGATAATCATACTGGAAATTGGACTGTAAGAAGAAGTGTGATTCATAGATGTGCTGTTTATTTATCTCTCTATCTACTCATCTGTCCGTCCATCCATCCATCCATCCATCCATCCATCCATCCATCCATCCATCTATCCATCCATCTATTCATCCATCCATCCATCCATCTATTCATCCATCCATCCATCTGTCCACCCATCCATCCATTCATCCATCCATCCACCCATCCATCTATACATTCATCCACCCATCCATTGATCCATCCATCCATCCTTCCATCCATCCATCCATCTGTCCATCTGTCTGTCCATCCATCTATCCATCATCTATCCATCCATCCACCCATGCACCCTTCCACTCATCCGTCCACCTGTCCATCCATCCATCCGCCCATCCATCCATCCAACCATCTGTCCATCTGTCCACGCGTCCATCTGTCCATCCATCTGGCTATCATCAATTCACCTATCTGTGAGAAGCTGGTCTTATCTAATCAAATTTTATACTGACTTTGTTACCAGGAAATAAACATCAGTACCCAGATATCATTAAATCTTCATTTTAGCCACATTTACCTTGTTGAAGAGGTAAAGGTTGTTTTGTTATCTTTTTAAAAACACCGCTAAATGGTATGCAGGATCTGCTTTTTCGTGTTCACAACTCTGCTGTGCATGTCTGCTATGTTTGTTTGTTTACTGAATTTTGGCATAAACCATTTGCAGTTAGTATCAGTGTGTGCAACATTACATGCAGAAATAAAAATGCAGAGTGTGAGAATATGAATATGGCAGGGAGGGAAGGCCATTATCTTATAAACTCTAATCTCCTGGTTGAGCTGAATTTCAAAGGAGGGAGCAAAAATAGGTCTCCTGCTGGCCTGCATCCCCCACTGGCATATCTGTGTGGGTGTATGTCTACTCTACTTTCCATGTGGGTACCAGAAAGAACCACTGAGGTGCAACCTCCTCTGTATGGACTCCAAAGTGAGGTCCATGGAGCTGGCAAAGCCTCAAAAAGGTTTTATTCAACTCAAGAATTCAACAAGGATATGATTCTGGCAAGAACTGTATACAATGAAAAGTAACTGCCTCCCTGGTGGGAAGCAGTCTTTTGAAAACCTCAGTTAAAATGCTCATTGTAGTAAGTATGTATGTCTGCTGGTTTTCTTCATGATGTTTATTTTTGTTATACTGTTGTTTGGTGATTTCTTTCATTATTTTATTTAATAGGTCACAGGTGTTCTATAAAGTGATCTCATTTTTAAAACAGAACTGTGAGATCAATGTCAATTATAATCTTTGTATGAAAATAGTCATTGATTTGTTGAAAATATTAATAGAGAGAGAGAGAGAGAGCGAGAGCGAGTGAGAGAGCCTGCATCATTAATACTGGTGTTGCTGAAAATAAGACTTCGCAGCAGTGGCTGAAAAGATCACACCTGTAAGGTTAAATGTTGAACCCAAATTATATTCATTATTGCTTGATAAAAGTAATCTGTTAGCTTCTATTATAAGTGCTGCATATGTGTGAGTTCATTTGCTGCTTACAATGCTCCTATGAGAAAAGTATTTCACTCTTAACCCTGTTTTACATATGAGGAAACTGAAGTGTATTTGGATTGAGCAATTCGTGCGATATGGCATAACCAGCAAAAAACAGATGGAGGATTTAAGCTTGGACATCTGGCACTGACTTTCGTTCCTATCTTCTCTATTATACTACTTTTCATTAGGTCATTCATTAATATAGATACCAAACCTAGAAAAAAGTCCAAAATGGTAAAATGACTTTAAGATGTAAAGGAAGAATAATGGTCCTAAGGACCCAGCCCCACCCTGGCCATTCACTCTGTGGCCCTGGGCTGAGGGCTCTGGCCTCTTCAGCTCCTCTTCTTTCTCTCCACAATGGGACGTGACCGCATTCATCCGCACGGGGGGTGGTGAGGTGCCTGTGCACCGGGAAACTGTTGTTTCATCCTGTAAGTCTTTTTTTTTTTTTTTTTTTTTTGAGACGGAGTCTCGCTCTGTCGCCCAGGCTGGAGTGCAGTGGCGCGATCTCGGCTCACTGCAAGCTCCGCCTCCCGGGTTCACGCCATTCTCCTGCCTCAGCCTCCCGAGTAGCTGGGACTACAGGCGCCCGCTACCACGCCCGGCTATTCATCCTGTAAGTCTTATTGCCCTGGTCTTATTCAATTAATCCAGGGGCAACAGGGCTTCAGGAAATGGGATATAACCAACAGAAGAATGATACATTTTCTCCACTTGGACTGTAAGAACAAATATTTGCTAGATGTCTCAGGAATTTAGAATATTTGAAAGCCAGGTTTCTTCTAAATTTCTTTTGTGTATATTGGTGTTCTTCCTGTAAGTATAGAGATGATATTGCTTCTGCCTGACACGGCCAGGCCATTTATGAGTTCAGCATTCATTTGACAATATTTAATGCATATCTCTTATGCACCTAACTTGGTTCTAGGTACTGAGGTTACATCAGGGAATAGAATGAAGCCTCTGCCATGCTGGGGCAGATGTTCTGTAGAGAGAGACAGACTACAAACAAACATGCAAGTAAACATCTATTGTGTTGGATGGTAGTGTGTGCTGTTGGGCATGGCAGAGCCTGGCAGGTAGGGAGTGCAGGGAAGGCCCTGCTGCTTGGGTGGAATCTGAGCATGCACCTGGAGGAAGTGAAGGAGCCTGCTGGGGGCATAGGGAACAGATGGTGTGAACCTTTCTGCCCTGAAAAAGTAAAGCATGAACTGATCTATTTTTGGCTCAAGAAGTTATAGGGAGAAGTGAGATTTTGTTCCCCACCCTCCACATCCACAGAGAATTTGGGGGCCTGATCCATGGAGGCTTTAGAAATACCCAGATTAACTTAAAGGCTTCTTCTGCAGGGGTTGTGTGCAAAGTCTGCAGGCCTCCTAAAAGGCTAGCCATTAGCTTGGCGCTTTTGTCCAGTGTGCTGTGCGGAGGATGATGGAGAGGTGGCAGTCAGTGGCTGGATCAGTAAAGGCACCAGAGTCCTCCCCAGCCTTCTTGGGTTCAGGAGCCTCCAAGGAGGGGGAAGGTGGAGGGGACAGCTTCTGGGGAGGGATGGTGGGTCAGTCTGCCAGACTAAAGCTGTAGGTTTATTACCTACATGTCACTCCCGAGGGCCAGTCGGAGGCAGTGTTGCTCAGTGTTCTCCAGGGTGGGGAGCTGAGCAGTCTGAATACACTGTGCAGCGGGACCACTGAGAACACAGAGGCCCCCGGCCCCTTGCCCAGACCTCTTTCCTGCTGCAAGATCAGCAGATGCCCACTTGCAGAGGCGTGGGGGAAAGCAAGTGAGATCTGAATGATAAATATATTTTTAAAACAGGTGAAGTATCTTTCTTATAAGTTACTAAGTCAGACTTAAGTCAGACTTGACTCACGTATACTCAGTATAAGGGTGTTTCTGTTATGCCACCAAAACCCGGACCTTCTTGAGGAAAATTGCATCAGGAAGCTACATTTTCATTGCACATTTTAGTGTTGTGTGAGCAAATTTATGTAACCATATGCATTTAAATTGCTTAGCACAAAGCTTTGCCTATATAAGGGATGAAATAAAAGCCAGCTGCTGGTATATGAGCTGATAAATCTAGACAGGACCAGAGATCTTTTGGAAAATAACATACAGGTAACAACATGAGAGTCCTTTGAGTTTGAAAGTCTGAGGAAAGTCCTAGAGCAAATACGTCATGAAAGATGAAATACGTTAATGATGACTGCATAGAATACCACTACCAGAGCTTTTTGAAAAGGCACTTTAAGTGTATCTCTCCATTATGAATATTTTGTGTTGGCAGCGTGTGCTGTGTGGCCTGCTCACCATATCCATGGTATTTTCTCCCTTGGGCCTGGAGCTAGCCCACCCTTCCCAGTATCTATTGTAGTTAGATGAGACCTCGGGCTTGAATTTCAGCAGAAGTGATGTGCATCCTTATAGTCACTGCCTCCACTCCAGCACGCGGTGTTTATTTTCCATGAAGACTCTGTGCGTGCTGGACTGGAGGCAGTCCCTGGGCCAACCATGGAGGGCAGGTGCTGAAGACAACAGAGTCTCCATATGTGTGGGAACCAGAATACATGGAGGGGACACTTTGCTCATTTGTTTCCCCTGTCTAGTGCTGTTACAGAGGGAAGATTTAAACTTTGATGGTGTTTGGGGTTTTGGTCTCATTGATACAGTTGTGAGCCTCACCTAGTAGAATGAGGTATCATAAGCCATTTGACAGAGAATCCCTCAGTTGTTTCCCTGGAGGAATGTCTCACTTCCTGTTTAAATGTTACCTTTAGATGCAGTGTATCTGGATGGTCTGGGATGGGCAGAATCAAGAATCAATGTAGGTAACTTTGAAAAACAGTCTTTTGACCATTGACTAGAAGGGAATAACAGCTCCTCTCAAGTATTGTATTCTAGTTAGTAAGGATTTTAGTTTCTCTCAGGGGTACGTGATAGAATTTCTGAAATTATCTGTATTCTAGATGTGAGTAAATAAGTGGGTATATTCAATAATAAAAGCAAGTTTCTCATTGTCTAAGAAAAGAGTGATAAACAAGGAAACAAGTAAGGCTTGTATGAACCTTGTGATGTTGAATTGGAATCAGTGGTATTGGTATGAACACATGAGGTCATGATATATATGCAGAGAGAGATAGAGAAATGGATGTGGCTGTGTGTAAATGGACTCAGAGGTCCCAGCTCTGGCTACAGCGATGGCTGAGAAGCAGTGTCATTTGAGCATACCTGGCTTCCTGATCTTGGTTTCTAATATCCTCCAATAAACTGAATCAGGGCTTCTAGGAGCAATCCCTGATTTCAAGGCTGGGGTAGGGAAAGTGCTAGGTAAGCTTAGGTGAGCATTTAGTATCAGAAAGTAAGAAAGTGCTTACAAATGTTGGGAGTCTATTGAAACAGCATAGAACAGAATTGAAGGGTCTCCTGATGGCCAAATCGGGGGCAATTTGAGCAACAAAATAATGACATCATTTTGTACTAAAACCTATAGAATAAAAGTATTCCATAGAATAAACTATCCATGAGTCCACACTGATACAATACATAATTAAATAGATATATACATAAGTAAATACCTAAGGAAGGAGGGACATGTCTTCCTTACTGTAGAGGTTGATGGAATTAGACAGTCGTCATTCGACAGGAATCATAATAACCAAAATTTCAGGTGAGAGTCATTAGTACATGCTAAAACTGGTGAGTGATTTTTCTTTTTTCCTGAGACCGAGTCTTGTTCTGTTGCCCAGGCTGGAGTGCAGTGGCACGATCTCAACTCACTGCAACCTCCACCTCCTAGGTTCAATCAATTCTCCTGCCTCAGCCTCCCTAGTAGCTGGGATTACAGGTGCATGTGATCACACCCAGCTAATATTTGTATTTTTAGTAGAGATGAGGTTTCACCATGTTGGTCAGGCTGGTCTCGAACTCCTGACCTCATGATCCGCCTGCCTCGGTCTCCCAAAGTGCTGGGACTACAGGTGTGAGCCACCGCTCCTGGGTGTGAAATTTTAATGAGAAATAAAATACCTGCACAATCTCAAGGTATCTCCCCACATAATGCCTCTTAATTGCGAAAGGAAAAGCAAAACAGTGACTTTACAGTGTAGAAACCCAGCAGATACCAGCTTGACCAAGTGGTAAAAGTTAACCTTGCTGACAGTGGCACAAAGAGACATCGTGTCCCTCCTTGTATGATCACCAAGAAGGGCACAGCATCACCTCTATGACATATTTGCCAAAAATATGTAACTTGAATTGAATCACGAGGAAACATCAGGCTATCCTAAATTGCAGACATTCTATAGGATACCTTGTCGGAACTCCTCAGTGGTGTCAAGATCATGAAAGACAAAGACAGATTGAGGAAGTGTCCAAACTTCTAGAAGACTGCTAAATGCAATGTCCATTCCTTGTTTGGAACCGGGTCCAGAAAGGAACTAACGTGGAACTATCAGTGACATTCAAATAAGACTTGTGAATTAGTTAATATGAGACCATTGTTGATGTCCTGGTTTTGATCATTTTACTGCAGTTATGTAAGATGTTAACATTTGAAGAAGCTAGACTAATGGTATATGGGATATCTTTACACAGGTTGAGCATCCCTAATCCAAAAATCCAAAATTTAAAATGTTCCAAAATCTGAAACATTTTTAGTGCTGACATGATACCAACAAGTGGAAAATTTCACATCTGACCTCATGTGATGGGCTGCAGTCAAAATGCAGGCACACAATGTACAGTTCAGTATCCCCAAGGGAAAAAACGACCCTCCCAGCTCCCTCCAGCTGTGATATGTCTTTTGTGCGCATGCCCAGCACACCCAGATTTCCCCCATAGTAGCACACCCACAATGAGGAGTAAAATGACACATGTGCAGGCTGGACATGCCAAAGCAGGTTCCCACATGGGACCAAGACTCATGAGCATTACTCACTGTGTTTTTTGGTGGTGATGCTGAACAACCACAGATTGTCTACATGGGTGGCTGAGATAGTGACACCTTTGATTTTTGATGGTTCAACATATGCAAACTTTGTTTCATGCACAAAATTATTAAATATTAAAAATGTTATACATGATTGCCTTCAGGCTATGTGTATAAGTTGTATATGAAACATAAATGAATTTCATGCTTAGACTTGGGTCCCATCCCCAGGATATCTCATTATATATTTGCAGATATCCTCAAATATGAAAAAAACTCCAAATTTGAAACTCTTATGGTCTCAAACATTTTGAATAAGGGATAGTCAACTTGTTCTAGATTTGCAACATTTTCAAAAGTTTGAAATCATTTCAAAGTGCAGAATTAAAAATTAAAGAATTTAGAAGTAATTTGCATGTAAGCATCATTACCAGCTACTTACTATGAGGTCAAGGTTCATAGCAAGTAACATTGGCGCTTTTGTCCAATGTGGTGTGTGGAGGATGATGCAGAGGTGGCAGTCAGTGGGTGGATCAATAAGGGCACCACAGTCCTCCCCAGCCTTCTTAGATCATGTGCCTCTGAGGAGGGGAAGGTGGAGGGGACAGCTTCTGGGGAGGGATGGTGGAATTATAAACTTATTTAAAGACTGTGCATCAGCCTGAAAAGACACCTGAAGTTACAGCTACTTAGTACCTTCCCAGAAAAATATTCAGTCAGTTGAAACTCCTCACAAGGCTATGAAAATCCAGACCTTTGTGTGTATGTTTGAGGGAATAAGGCACCTTTTCCTAAGAACCAATTCATTCTACAGATACCTGTAGCATGAGCTATGTACAAGGAGGGGCACTGTGATGGGGGGACAGCAGTTAATTAGAAATGGCATTGTGTTCAAGAAAGTGACACTATACCAATTGCCTTTGACAAGTCATGGCCAACATTCACATAGTGTATTGTGAGCTCCATGGGCTGTGTCAACTGAAGAATGTCAAGGGTCATAAATTTGGAAAGGGGAGCTTTATTTCTCATAAAGGGTTGCAGCCTGCATGGCCATTCTGATAGGCTGGGAAGTGTAGCCTCCCATTAGAAGCTGGAAACAGATACTTTGAGGGGGGGCAAAGGGAACAAGAATTTATGCAGACTGGGGTGGCTAAATATGCATATTTAATACACTGTAGGAGGAGTCATGAATATTTATGAAGGAAGAAAGGAGAACCATGCACATGTGCAGTTAGTCTCATGCCTCTCCATGGGACCTATGTTTAACAATCTGTGGTGTTATCATCTGAGGGTGGAGTTTTCAGCCCTCTGACATCAAAAGGTGAAGCAGAGGATGCATTACCCCTCACTGTACATCTGCTGTAGACTGGCGCCAACCACTCCATGGTTGGTGGTCTCTTATCAGGAAAGAATGCTGGTTGGTTATTTTGCTGAAATTGTACAAGCAAGAGGCAGCCTCAGACAGTTGGTTGCTATCGGTGGAGTCTTTCAAAAGGGCTGGTTTCTGTTTAGCCCCTGGGAAGAAAGGTGGTTAGCAAGGGAAAGGATATATAATGAGGCATTTCTGACCTTGCATCCCATAATGGCCAAGAACTCAGCTTCCAAAATTTCCCTAGGGAATTCTTGGCCAAGAGGGGGGTTCATTCAACTGGTTGGGGGTTTTAGGGTTTCATTTTTATTTCTCAGCTGTGATGGCCCAGGAGGAGAGAGGATCCACTGATACTGTTAGATTTATGTGACATGGAGGAGAAAAGAAGAGTTTCAGAACAAGTGACATTTCTAGAAGATGGGCAGAATGTTCCCTGGCAGAAGAGTGTTGTGGGTGAAGAGCTCTGCATAAGTAACAAAAAATGAATATGAAAAGCTTAGCTTGTGAACCAGGAGAGCAGAGTGATGTACACGTGGACTGTAGCAGCCAATGAAATGTGGGAAACAACACCAAAAAGGAATCTGTCCACATTATGAGGTTCCCTGCTGAGGAATGTGCCCATTCCTTGGGGCTAGCCAATTACCATTCTTGTTTATGACATTTTTTTTTTCTCACAGAAAAGGAAGTCAGGGAACACTGGTACAATTGGTTTACATCACGTGTCTGATAAGTTTTTCTTTGTGAAAAAACAGTGGAGCCTAGGAATCGTGGCCTTGGTTTGCCTCATGGATAATCAGAGAGAAATGTGGTAGGCAGTGATATCCTCATTCACAAAACAAGTATTTCTGTTTACCTATGTGTTCCTCACGTTCCTGGTGACCTATATTATTTTCTGAGTTGAAACATACAGGTTTCCAACGGACAGAGTCAGTGAACTAGAACTTCTAGGAGAATTCATTGGGACAATGACCATGGCTGGGAGGTCAGGTGTGTCCCCTCCAGGCTGCACTTCCCACCCATGGGTGCTCAACACTGTGTCTGCAGGCAGAAGCACATTCTATCTTCATATCTGTGAAGATAATTATTTGCTTAAATTAAATGTGGGTAGTTCATTCTTTGCAAAATTATAGCTGATGAATGCCAAAATGTAGGATTTCTTAGTGTGAAAATAACTACCCTAGGTAGGGAGGGGTTATATTCCAAGATAGTTCCACACTTATCAGGATGTGGAATTAGAAAGAATGCCTTCAGCAAAGCAGAATACAACATTCAAAAGACTCAAATTATTTTCACATAGGAAAAGTTAAAAGATGGGTATAACTTGTTCAAAGCACACATAATTTTATATTGTGACCTTGTAAAGACTCTAATGATAAAATTAGTTTGACAGATGTCTTCTGCAAATGGAGTGGAATTTTTCTATGATTTTTTTCCTCTGATTTGTGTAAACTTCAGGACCTCTACCCTTACCCCTTTATTAATGTGCTTACCATGATTGCAGAACTTGGAATCTTCTCAATGGAAGAAAAGAGGCCCTTTTGAGTGACATTTTGGAAGCTACTCTGAATGTCTTAAGGTTGAGAGCTTTCGTATTATTATTAAAATGAAATCACTCTCCTGGGAAATGAATGATACAATCTAACATAGTGTGAAGCTGATAGGTCCCTGAGGCAAAGCAGTGGGCAGGGAGAGGCAGTCACAGTTGCAGCTGAGCAGAGGCACCCAGTGGGAGAGCAGGGCTTGGCTATGGCACGGGGAGCCAGAACGAGGAAGCCCAGCCCTCGGATCCAGTGACTCACATCTGAAGGAACAGAAAGAGTGTTATGGGAGGAGTCAGAAAACCCTGATTTCTGTGACTGCTTCCCGGGCCAGCCATGGTATTCCTGAATGAATGCCTTTGCCTTGGGCCTTGGTTTCCCTATCTATAAAGTCAAAAGTGTTGCCAAGAAGATACTTAGGGACGACAATGCTGCCAAGCTTGAAATTCTGTCAGATTACGAGGACTGAATATTAACGTAAAGTTCAGTGAATAAATTGCCTTAGAATTTCCCCCTTCAACTGCAGCCACAAAGAAGAAATGAAGGTGAGAAGCCAGTTTTGATTTTCACAGCACGTCATGTGGTTTGTTTTCCATCTGAGTGCCTATGTCGCCAAGACCCTAATTGGCCCAGAAGAATAAACAACTGGAGGGCCTCAGTGTTTGTGAAATGTTTTAGTCCTGCATTCTCAAATTCTCTCTCTTATAAACAAGCAACCCAAACAGCCGTCCAGAGATCTTGGTCATTTGCTGCTCAGGTCTCCTCCCTTTCGTGAGATAGTTTGGCAATTCCCGAAACCATCTTACAACGAATCCTGATAACTCATGCTCCACCCCAGCCCAACTGAAGCTCTCCGGGTTGTTCTAATGAGCAACCCTTGTTGAGGACCTAGATGGGGCAAACTATATCTGAGCAAAGAGAAAAGAAGGAAATTAGGTGAGGTAAGCTAAGATTTATTGCATGGAACCTGCATCTACTGGGGCTCATTAAAAAAAATGGATTGCATTTCAATTTAAAGAATGTAAAACTTTTTTCTTAGCAATATTGAGTAGATGGAAAACTGAGCTTGGTGTGGAACTACAGTTAGAAAAGTAACCTGTGACCACATCAGGAAGCTTTAATTGAATTATCATGGACCAATGGTCTTTCTTTGATGTTCTCAGATGCCACTACATCCTCTGGGAGCAATGAAGTTGCAGCTGAAATCTGCTAGTCCTGGCTCTTTCTTGGTGTCTCCACTGACTCACCAGGCAGCCGTGTCTCATCAGATTTATGATGCCTGTCAGGGAGCACTGTAGACATTTGAGGTGGGCTCTATATTTTGTGGTGCAGGCTCTTTCCCTTAGGTAGGTAGGAGTGCAGGAGTGGACAAATAATTTCCCCTCTACCCTTTACAGTTCTTAGTTGAGACGGAGCTCTGTAACAAAAGACAGATCAACAAGAGAAAAACAAGCAGAAGATTAATGCATGCCCATGTGCAGCTGTGAGATACCCAGAGAAATGAGTACATCTCAAAGAGGTGGCTTTGAATTCAGGTTAACTGTCATCCTCTGCTGAAACGAAGAAGGGAGTGGGGAGGCCTGGCTTGGGGAGGTGACCTAGAGGAGCAAGAATAAGGCTTGTTATGCAGATTTCAGCGGGCGCCTCTCCATTGATGAGTGATTTAGAGTCCTCTTCTTCCTGGTACCCAGAGGAAGACACCCTTACAAATGGAGATTTCCTTCTTAGATGCAAGTTTCCCTTCCAAAGGGCCACTTCTGCTCTGTTTCCAGAGCTTCTCCTGCCTGCAGTTTCTCAAAATTACCAGCTTAAAATCATCATTATGCCAAAGAAGCATATTTTGGGGTGGCATATTCTGGACTCCTACAGGAGGTTCAGCTTCTCTGTCCCTACCTACTGCACCTAGCAACACTCCCTGCAATCCCACAGCCGGAGCATCCACACATTTTCAGGTCCCCTCAGGGAGAGCTTGTGGGGACCCCTGGGCGGATGGAGGAGGGTGAAAGCCTTGCAGAATGAAGTGTTTACTGAGATTTGACATGTTGGGGCGGTCTACCCCCTACACACACCCCTGCAGGATCTTGTTTGCATCCCCTTTGAGTGCCTTATTTGGGCCAATGATAATATTAACATTTTTTTAACACTTTTCTGATAAAATAAACAGAATCTTGGGAATATCCGCACAATGCACTTCACTAGAATATAGGTTCCATGTTGCAGAAGTAAGGTGTTCCTGTTCCTCAGCAGTTCGTCCTTCAACCTCGATTCCGGGTTCCCTTTTGAGGAATCTTCCTCCCTTTTGAAGTAGCTAGAAAATCCTGAGGGATTGCGTATGTGTGAAGGCCCTATACATGTATAAAGAAGGTTTAAAGAGAAAGAATGTAACAGCTCATGAATCAGAAACTCTTGGTATTCCTAAGAGAAGGTATTTGTGGTCTAAGTAAAATCTAATTCCTTTTGGTGGGGAGAGGGGAAGAGATTGTACAGTTGCCAATTTTTAAAAACCTGACCGTCTGGGTCCCTGGATACTCTGAAATGATGCCTGCTTGCCCCAGTCTCGTCTTCCTAAGTCACAGCACCTTTGAATCTTCATCACATGGATATTTCAGACACTAAGTTCTACAATGCTGTGTGATTGAGCTAGGGATCAGAGAGCCAGGAGAAAAATAATGACTGACAGGAGCTGATAGAGGTGACAGGTAAGTTTCACTCACGTCCGTGTGAAGAGACCACCAAACAGGCTTTGTGTGAGCAATAAAGGTTTTTAATCACCTGGGTGCAGGCGGGCTGAGTCTGAAAAGAGAGTCAGTGAAGGGAGATGGGGTAGGGCCGTTTTATAGGATTTGGGTAGGTAAAGGAAAATTACAGTCAAAGGGGGGTTGTTCTCTGGCGGGCAGGAGTGGGGGTCATGAGGTGCTCAGTGGGGGAGCTTTTTGAGCCAGGTTGAGCCAGGAGAAAGAATTTCACAAGGTAATGTCATCAGTTAAGGCAACGACCGGCCATTTTCACTTCTTTTGTGGTGGAATGTCATCAGTTAAGGCAGGAATAGGCCATTTAAATTTCACTTCTTTTGTGATTCTTCAGTGACTTCAGGCCATCTGAATGTATATGTGCAGGTCACAGGGGATATGATGGCTTAGCTTGGGCTCAGAGGCCTGACAGTAAGACAGGTTTCAATGACCAGTCAGGTTTGGGAATCGCCGGTTTGGGGTTATGCTATCAGTTATTGGGTGAATTTTTGGATTTAACTGTTTCTCATCTTTCTCTTATTGTCCTAATTTCTTCAACTGGCTTGTGAAGTTAATATTCAGAGCTGACCATTCTTAGCATAGCTGTGTCCAAACTGATGATCTGACGTATTTCATGACAGAAACAGTGGTCAATATAGGACGATAAGCTACAATGCAGGGATCAATGTGTTCACACCTCGAGACATTTTAAAACACTGTGCTTGAATGATAATAAATATCTGCTAAGTAGTGTTGTCAGCCATTCAAAGCTGAATATTTAAAACTTAGCTTTTACCCATGGATATTGCAAAATTGAGCCTATTAAAGTGTGAATAAAATTTGAATAATAATTTTAGGAACGATTGACAATTGTTTGAATCATTGTGCCATGGATTTTCATATAATGATTTTATGCCTGATTTGAAGTGTGAAATTGAAACCAAGCACATTCCATTTGTAGAGGGTGCCAACCTGAGTTCCTGGAAAGGAAGGCATACCTGTCAGTGCGTGTGCGGAGTCCTGGAACAGTCCGTGCTGAGCAGGGTCGTTCCTTCACTCTTTAGTTGGTCCCACATTTGTGGAGCAAACACTCATGGGCACCTGCCATGTGCCTAGCGCTATGCCAAATGCTTCGCATGCAGAGCGAAGACCAGGAGCTTGCTGTGCTGTTGTGGACATGGCAGGAATAATTACAATTCAGACCGATGTGCATGTGCCTGCCCAGAGGTCAGTGTGGTGCATGCAGGCAACTTGTAGGAAGCCCCACTTGCCAGGTGGCGGTGGGGACCATGAGGAGATGCACAGAGGGGCCTGGTGAAGGGCAGTGGAGGAAGCATTGCAGCAGAGGAAGAGCTTGTCCAGGACACCAGAGGGTGAAGTGGCCCCACAGCATGTCAGCAGCAAGTGTGGGGAGAGGCAGGCTGAAGAGGGGGTCGGATCTGATCACATTGGGCTTGCGAGCTGAGCCCAAGAGGGCCACACTTCAGCAGTGTGGGAGCACGGAGGTGTACAGCTTCAGGAGTAACAGGATTAAGTTGGCATTTTTGAAAAATCATTCTGGCCACCTTGTGGAGGATGATGGATGGTGGGTGGTGTTCTGAATATCTGAGATAGCTACAGCCATCCAAAGCCTGCTGCTAAGGAGGAAAGGTGGATTATCTGGATCAGCTGGGGAATAACTATAGACGAGAGTATAATAAGAAAAAAAAACACATTGAGCATCATATTAATCTTGAGATTGTATGCAAAATGTTTTGCAGCGTTAGTATGGATTCTTTATAAGTATTAATAGAAATAAGCTATTAAGGCTGGGCGCGGTGGCTCACGCCTGTAATCCCAGCACTTTGGGAGGCTGAGGTGGGCGGATCACCTGAGGTCGGGAGTTCGAGAGCAGCCTGACCCACATGGAGAAACCCCATCTCTATTAAAAATGCAAAATTAGCCGGGCTTGGTGGCGCATGCCTATAATCCCAACTACTTGGGAAGGCTGAGGCAGGAGAATCACTTGAACCTGGGAGGCGGAGGTTGCGGTGAGCCGAGATCGTGCCATTGCACTCCAGCCTGGGTAACAAGAGCAAAACTCCGTCCCAAAAAAATAAATAAATAAATAAATAAGAAATAAGCTATTAAATTGTACAAGTTGTCATTTGCCAATTCTGGCCTTTGACTAGACCTTTGGGGAAGTTTCTTTTTTGTTTTCAGGTGTGTGCAGGACCAACAGCTTCCAGAAAAGAACACTAAACAGTGCTGCCATAGATAGGTTATGTATGACATTTTTTTTGGTTGTTTTTCTTTTCCAAAGTGGGCAAAAGAGAAAGAATGAGACAGAATGAGAGATAAACTGATTGTGGAAGTACTTGCAGAAGTGAGAACTCTTCTTCCTTTAAAATGATTAACAGAGGATAATATCATTTACAAGGATCAAGGGATCTCTACCTTTGGCCTAAGAGGCAAATGGCTTTGGAATGCTTGGATTTGTTACAGCTGTTGAGTTCTCTTGGTTAACGCCAAATACCAGACTGACAAGACGAAGATCCAGCTCAGCTTGTAAAGAGGTGTCTGTTTCAATGGGAGGGAAGAAAAATATGGAGCAAGGGAAAACAAAATCAGTACCCCTAAGAGAAGCATGACGCATTACGTGTGATGGGTGAGGGAGGGAGCCAGGGGGAGAGAGAGATTCCATCCAATTATCAGATCTGAAGGGCTGTCTTTAAAAAATGTGGAGTTCCAGTTCTGGATGAGCGTTGTTGGGAAGGCATGATTTGGACAAGGGGAGAATTCAGGGTAGCATCTTCCCTGGAACCCACAGCATGTTACTGTTTTGGTGATGGGTAAGTAATCGAAGTGCTAGGATGTGTGGTCTTAGCTTTACACATGGTCCACATTATCCAGTCCCTGGGAGCTTCAGAGCTGGAGAGCAATGTCATTAGAACTGGGCTGTTGTTGGGTGGATATTAGAGCTGGGCTGTCATTGGGTGGAGGTCCCCAGAGCTGGGCTGTCATAGGATGGAGGTCCCCAGAGCTGGGCTGTCATCGGGTGGATATCCCCAGAGCTGGGCTGTCATAGGGTGGAGGTCCCCAGAGCTAGGTTGTCATTGAGTGGAGGTCCCCAGAGCTGGGCTGTCATAGGGTGGAGGTCCCCAGAGCTGGGCTGTCATTGGGTGGAGGTCCTCAGAGCTGGGCTGTCATTGGGCGGATGTCCCCAGAACTGGGCTGTCATTGGGTGGATGTCCGCAGAGCTGGGCTGTCATCGGAGGGAGGTCCCCAGAGCTGGACTGTCGCTGGGTGGAGGTCCCAAGAGCTGGGCTGTCTGTCATTGGGTGGATGTCCCCAGAGCTGGGCTGTCATTGGGTGGAGGTCCTCAGAGCTGGGCTGTGGTTGGGTGGAGGTCCCCAGAGCTAGGCTGTGGTTGGGTGGAGGTCCTCAGAGCTGGGCTGTGGTTGGGT
This sequence comes from Homo sapiens, assembly GCF_000001405.40. Classification (NCBI taxonomy): domain Eukaryota; kingdom Metazoa; phylum Chordata; class Mammalia; order Primates; family Hominidae; genus Homo; species Homo sapiens. The sequence goes on along the minus strand of NC_000015.10, from coordinate 26,716,868 downwards.
GGAGGTCCTCAGAGCTGGGCTGTGGTTGGGTGGAGGTCCTCAGAGCTGGGCTGTGGTTGGGTGGAGGTCCTCAGAGCTGGGCTGTCATTTGGTGGAGGTCCTCAGAGCTGGGCTGTTACTGGATATATGCCATGTGAGCTGGATGGCCTGTGAAAGAGAAAGGCAGTTGGTGATAAAAATAATTGGATGATTCTTAAAGAAATAGAAGAGACTTGCTGTTGGCAGTGAGAACCCACAAGAGGCCTCTAAGGAGATGTAAGTAAGTGGGATTCACAAGTTGATGTGAGGCAGGCTGTGAGAAGTTGGTGAAGACGGTTTATGGGTTTGACCTGCTTGGGGAACTTGCACACATTGCTCAAACCCCCTGAGCATCGTTTCTTCATGGCAATTGTGAAGATGGGTTAGGTGCTGCATGGTGAAATACAGAGGGGAGCTCTTAGCTCTGAGGGACTCGAATGTGCTGTGGTATGACACAAAGGGCTGAGATAGGGGTTTTAGGAGCCTGTGGTTCTCTATAAATATGAATGCAGCATCATCAGCTACATCAGGTTCATTATCCTACCTCTTTGTTGGATGTGCTTCCACCTCCACTCCCAGCGCACACCCATCACACACACAGCCACGTTCAGTGGGAAGAGGATCAGCATGTAGCATTCAGTTGCTGAGAGCTGTTTTGCAGTTTGTACTCTCTGGGCCTTGAGGAGAAAAAAATCAATACAATCTTACATTTTGAAGATGAGACTTTTCTGTTTGTTTCCCTTGAGTCAGGATATTGATCAGCTCATGTATAGCTTGAGTTGGATGCACTTGCTTTAGAAGGTGTGGGGAATTCCTGCATGGCTCAGCTTTTCATTCTAATTGAAAACCAGCACTGTGTTCACAACAGTGTGTGTTCTTACCATGGCTTGTTCTCTGTGTATTTTGCTTTTTGTGTCTGGAAGATGTAGCAAGTCTGGAAATCTTAGAGCAAACTATGGAGTGTTGAGGTCACATTCTATACATTATAAATGAGTTGCAATAAAGAAGGCCCATAAATGACAGACCATGGATGTTTTTAATAGTTTACTAATAAAAGAATGGATTTTGCACACAAGACAACAGATGATTCAGGCACGGGATGCATCAGAGTAATCTACTTATCATTAGTATATTAAATATCACAATGCAACCAACACCATGCACCTTAACAACATTTTCTAGCATTTCATTATCTATAATTTTATCTGAAAACATATTGTATGTGCTCAGGACTAGTAAGAGAATCGGTTTATAAATAGTTATTATTTCATAATTTCTTCAACATAATTACCAAATGCTAAGTCATGTCCTTCTCGTTCCTGCCTCGGCACTTAAGGACTTATTGTCATAATTTGGCATTTTTGTGCAAGTCTTATTACATCGTGTGGGTTTTCTCTCCTCTCTCTTCTGGGATGTAGCACATCCCACACACAGCTGCAGGGAAAAATTCTCTGTCACCATCATATCTGTTGCTCTGTTTCCTGCTCAGTTCTTAGAGAGGCTTCTGAGGACCCTCAAAACCCAAAGTTAACTTTGCTGGCTGGAAATGGCAGCTTTGAATAATTGGTTTTTCTGCTGTCTCTCAGATTTTTCTGACCTCTTCAATCACCAGCCCAAGTCTCCCACGTGTGTTCCTGCCTCGTTCCAAGGCTGGGATGGTTAGAAAAGCTCGCTGGTCCTGGTGAGAGAGACTCTCTCCTTGCTCACACCTGCCTCCTGCTTCAAGCTCAGACCCCCCCAGGTCCTCAAGGAGCTGCCCATGGCCCCCTCTTGCCCTCTTGTCTGCATGCCCTCAGTATGGATATATTTACCTGGCACCTTGTTTTTTGTGCCTAACTGCTATGTGGCTTTGTAATTTTTTTGCACGTGGCTTTTTTGGGATGTGCTTTATCTCCCCTTGAGGCAGCGGATGGTTGTGTTTCTCTGTTTTTGGTGTGACCTCTGAGAACTTAGTGTTCTCCACAGACTACAGATTTGTCTTTCACTCCTATTTCCTGAACTGCTGTTCATTGAGACAGTCCTGAGTGATTTCCTATGCACCTTTAATAATTACTAACAGTGATAATGAAAATAATAATAGATAGTGTGAAAGGAAAATAAATCTTGGGACCTCTAAATCACTAAGCTAAAGGGAAAAAGTCAAGCTGCGAACTTCTTAGGGTCAACCTGCCTCCCATTCTATTCAAAGTCGCCCCTCTTCTCACTGAGATAAATGCATATCTGTTTGCCTCCTTTGGAAAGGCTAGTCAGAAACTCAAAATAACTCGACCATTTGTCTCTTATCTACCTATGACCTGGAAGCCCCGCCCCACTTCCAGTCTTCCTGCCTTTGCTTTGAGTTGTTCGGCCTTTCCAGACTGAACCAATGCTCATCTTACATACATTGATTGATGTCTCATGTCTCCCTAGAATGTATAAAACCAAACTGTGTTCTGACCACCTTGGGCACATGTCATCAGGACCTCCTGAGGCTGTGTCACGGACTTGCAGCCTCAACCCTGGCAAAATAAACTTTCTAAATTAACTGAAACCTGTCTCGGATTTTTGGGGTTCACAGTAGTTATGGGGGCATTGTTATAGTTCAGGCACTGTGTCAAGCAGTTTCTGTGTATCATCTCACTACATCCTCACACCGACCCCAATGCAGGGACACTTATGAAGCTCTTTTTACAAGGGAAGAAACTGAGGCTTAGGGAAAATAGGTGATTTGTCGTAGCTCAGACGTCTAAATATTCTGCACACCTTCCTCGGCTGTTTTCTGTGTGTTTGAATGCAGTGACAAACATATTCTCCTTATTATTGTTCTCGTTGCTGGCACGTGTTGAGTTTCCTTCCGGGTCAGAGTCTCTGCCAGAGTGGTCACCTCAGCCCCGCCATGGCAAGTGTGCCTGGGGAAGGCACTTTGGACACTCACAACATGTGGCCGTTCAACCTCCACCAGCCGTCTCTGATCCCTGGTTCCTCTGCTGGGTTTGCTTCCTTCTTGGGTCTCTTCCCCTGAGGGTGTGTGGTTTGCTGAGGTACAGCACACCTGCAGTAAGGAGGCAGAAGTGGGCACAGGAGTGTGCTGCCTGATGAATGCTCACTTGCACATAAGCTCATGCAACCAGTGCCCAGATGGAAACGGGGAGCATGCTGTCTCCCACCCACGACATCTTATGGAAACAGCGTGTTGCGGCCACCAGTTCTCACTCCTTCCTGTGCCAGCATTGCCTGTCCATGGCATTCATTCTTCCCACCCTGTTGGCCCCTCTTGGAGAATCTTTTTGATGCATATCTCTGATGTTTTTCCAGCCTCTACCCTACAGACCTCCAGGCTGGATCATCCCGGTAGCCTCTTCCTCTCTCCTTACTCCTGAACCCAGCATTGTGTTTCGGGGCCCACAGAGATGACTGATGGCACCAGGCGACTGAGCTGCCAGTGTTGCTGATAGGGCCTGGGTCTCCCCTCTCCTGTGCGTCCACTCTCTGCCTGTCCATCCTCTGCCTCTGGTACCATTCTCTCTGCCCGCCACATTCTCAGCAGACGGCCTCACACCATGAAAAAATAATAAAAAGGTTATCAAGAGGAAATTCCTTTGGCTGTCCTCCCACTACCACTGCCCTTCCCCTACAGTCACGGCCTCCTGGGACACCTTTCCCACTGCCGCACCCTGCCTCAGCCGCTCTCAGGAGCTGAGCGCCACCTGGTTGCCCAAACCAGAGTCAGGAGGACCCCGACCGTTTCCTCGTCCTTGCCCTCATGGGCACCTTGACCAGCAGAGCCTGGTTCTCCCACTTCTTAAAAAGCTGTCCTTTCTTCTACCCCTACCTGACCCTGGAACTCCCCCATGGTGGCATGCTGCTTCTGGCCAGCAACCTCGCCCCTCCGTCTGCCTTCGCTGTGCAGCCAGCATGATGCGGAGTTTCCGAAGCCTGCAGCCCAGTGTGCTGCTTCCTGTGGCTGGCTTTGGGTTTCCCAGCCCGCGGGGTTCCTTGAAGCTTCCCTGCACATCTCCTCAGCCTCTGCTCCGGCCACGATATCTGCTCTGTGCCTCCCAGCTGTTTGCTGTGGTCTCCTCAAGGGCATCTCCTCCCCACCTTCCCGAGGTGGCCGTGGGCACAGGGCCCTGGCTTCTTCTTTCTCTCCCCCTCCTCGCCTTTCCAGTGCCTTCCACACACTGCAGCAACACTGACATGTAATACAAGCTGTCACTTCTCCCAAGGGCCAGACTCACATCCTAAATGACCACTTGGAGGTTTCAGCACCGCAGATATCAAATGTCCACAATAGGATTCTGGAGTCACGGGCTCTCGGCTTCCCCACACTCTAGTCCTTGTTCGTCAGAGAATCCTATAGTGTGCTGCCTGCAACAGCTGCACAGATTGAACCCCCCCTCACCACTCCTGCCCACCCCTGCTTTCCCACAGCTTCAGCATCTCCATCTGGACACTTCTCCCAGCCTCCTTGCTGCTCTTCTGGTTCCCCTGCTTCTTACATAGTAGCCAGAGTAACCAGAGAAAACCACATTTATTCCCTTAAACAACCCACTGATATGGGCAGGCATGGTGGCTCATGTCTGTAATCCCAGCATTTTGGAAGGCTGAGGTGAGAGAATTGCCTGAGGCCAGGAGTTCAAGACCAGCCTGGGCAACATAATGAGATGCTGTCTGTATAACAAAAAAAAAAAAAGAAAGAAAAGTCCACTGATGTGAGCATTCTCCTTCTCCTTCACATCCTCCCCAGTCTTCCCTCTGCCCACCTCCCTGGCCTCCCACTTAGGCCCTGTGCTCCAACCTGCTGTCTCACCAGTGCATGACGTCTGTGCCCACCCAGGGTCCTTGCCCTTGCATCTCAGCTGCTCAGCCTGCTCTGCTCGTGATCTGCACCAAGCTCTCTTCTTCTCAGTACTCAGATCGATACTAAAATGCCTTCTCCTCAAAGAGCTCTTCCTGTTTCCAAAGCAGCTTTTCCTCTCCATGCAGTCCCTCTCTCTCCCCTTACTTGTTTTACTTTTCGCAAATTGACAAGTGTTAAGATCGCATTGTGAAATCATTAGTTTATTTCATTACGTTCGCTACTTCATTACAATACCAAGACAGGTGGTTGATGCTGCTGGCTGCTGCTGTAAGAAAGGAAAGTCTTCTTCCATGCTAGCGGCAACCAGAGCCATTCCAGGCAGGAGCTCAGGTTGGTTCCCCACATTTTCGGGCTTACTCTGACGTGTCCTGCTGTGATCATGGGCTTTGTACGCTAAGGCTCAGAAGAATGGGAGATGGGGAGCCTGGGGCGGGGGAGGTAGTGTTGACAAATCTAGATAAGAGCCAGTCAAAATCACTCTCATGCACACACAATAGAATACATTCATAAAATGAATATGAAGCAGATGGAAATGATATGAGGCCGAGCGGAGCAGTGGATTTAGAATATGCCACATCCGTCACGAAGCTGTAATATGTGAGATCCACAAATTATCATCCAAGGGGGTCGGAGGGCCAGTTTCCCAGAAGGAGAAACTTACTGTTATGTGGTGGTGTCTACCCGGGAATCAAACTTATTGCTTAGGAAAATACAGTCATTTCTGTCTTCAAGACCAGCCGACATCCTCATAGAAAAGGAGGAGTTCTTTGCCATATGACAATGTCCTCAAAAACATCTTTAAAGTAAACACAGTGATATATTTTGCTGGCCTTTCCTCATTAATATAGGCCAATGATATCATTCCAAAGGGAAGATGGTGGAATCCATTTGCCAGATGAATTGGCTGTAGAATGATCTATCTAGATTTGTTTTGGAATAGATGGTGTTGAACTTGATAGAAAACACCAAAAAATTATAAGGTATTTTCAGACTACTTCCAGAGCTCATGAGGCATAGTATGTGCTTAGATTAAAGGAGATGTCAAAAACAGTCTCCCAGGAGAAGTCAAAAACAGTCTCCCAGGAGAACTGAGAGATGGAAAAAAAAAAAAAGATCAAAGTGTTATTCATTAAGAAAATGAAAAGACAACCCACTAACTGGGAGAAAATATTTTTAAAGTACATATCTGTCCAGTATATAGAAAAAACGTTTATAGCTCAATAGTAAGAAGACACAACCCAGTTGAAAAATGGGCACACTCTTTGTATCAATATTTCCCTTGAAGATTGACAATACTAAGTATTAGGAAGCATTTGGAGAAATTGGAGTCTTTATACATTGCTGGTGGGAATATAAAATGGTAGACACTCTGGAAAACTATTTGAAGGTTTCTTAAGAACTTAAACATAGCGTTACTGTATGACCCAGCAATTCTGCTTCTTAAGTATCTGCCCAAGAGAAATGAAAATATAGGCCATCCCAGCACTTTGGGAGGCCAAGGTGGGAGGATCACTTGAGGTTAGGAGTTCGAGACCAGCCTGGCCAACATGGAGAAACCCCATCTCTACTAAAAATAGAAAAATTAGCTGGGCGTGGTGGCAGGTGCCTGTAATCCCAGCTACTGGAGAGGCTGAGGCAGAAGAATCATTTGAACCTGGGAGGTGGAGGTTGCAGTGAGCTGAGATTGCACCACTGCACTCCAGCCTGAGCAACAAGAGTGACACTCCGTCTCAAACAAAACAAAACAAAACAAAAAAACAAATTATATGCCACACGATTTCTGTGCAGGGTATTCAAAACAGCCCTAAACTAAAAACAACCCCAGTGTTCAACTGTTGAATGAATAAACAAAATATGGCCTATCTGTACCATGTAATACTATTTGGCAATAAAGAGAAGGTACATGCAACCACATTGATGAACCTTAAGGAACATTATGCTAAGTGAAATAAGCCAGACACCAAAGACTACATAGCCTATGATTCCATTTATATAAGAAAGGCAAAACTATATTTAGAGAGAGTAGATCAGTACTTGCCTGGGGGTGAAAGTAGAGAATGACTGCAAAAATGCATGAGGAAACTTCTTGGGGTGATGGAAATTTTCTAAAACTGGATTGTGGTTGCCTTAGTCTGTTTGTGTTGCTATAAAGGAATACTGGAGGCTGGGTAATTTATAAAGAAAAGAGGTTTATGACTGGGTGTGGTGGCTCACGCCTGTAATCCCAGCACTTTGGGAGGCCAAGGTGGGTGGATCACAAGGTCAGGAGATTGAGACCATCCTGGCTAACAGGGTGAAACCCTGTCTCTACTAGAAATACAAAAAATTAGCTGGGCGTGGTGGTGGGCACCTGGAGTCCCAGCTACTCGGGAGGCTGAGGCAGGAGAATGGCATGAACCCAGGAGGCAGAGCTTGCAGTGAGCTGAGATGGCGCCACTGCACTCCAGTCTGGGCGACAGAGCAAGACTGTCTCAAAAAAAAAAAAAAAAAAAAAAGAAAGAAAAAAAAGAAAAGAGGTTTACGTGGCTCATGGTTCTGCAGGCTGTGCAAGAAGCATGGCACCATCAGCATCTTGTGAAGGCCTCAGGAAGCTTCCAATCATGGCAGAAGTAGAAGGAGGGTCAGCATGTCCTATGGAGAAAGAGGGAACAAGAGAGGGGAGGTAGGGGGTACGGGCCTTTTAACAACTCTCCTGTGATCAAATAGAGTGAGAACTCACTCCTTGCCCAGAGGCGGGCACCAAGCCATTCATGAGGTCTCCACCCGCATGACCCAGACAGCTCCCACCTCCAACGTTGGGAATCAAAGTTCAACATAAGATTTGGAGTGGACACATATCCAAACTGTATCAGTGGTGATGATTGCTTGACTATAAAACATTTGCTAAAAATTATTGAGCAGTACTCTTAGAATGGATGATTGTTTTATCTATAAACTGTACCTCAATAAGTTGCTTTATGGAAGTAAAAAATATATCCATATGATCTTTTAGTAGAAAAGATAATAATCAATATTTAAATTTTCTTAGAAACATAGTACAAAATAAGATATGCAGTACTAATAGTAATAGCTAACACATACCAGTTATGTGCTTCTATGTGATAGCTCTCTGGATCCTTCCAAACAGCCCGCATAAAGGTCCTGTACTGATCCTCATTTTACAGACAAGGGAGCTGAGGAAGGGAAAAGCTGGTTTTATATACCTTGCCTAAGGTCACACAACTTTTAACTGGTGGAACCAGGATTGAAACTCTGATAGCCTTGGAGTTTGGCTAGCAATCACAGACAAGCTGATGCCCATGGATGTGGCGTGCTATCTTCCACTTCAGGTCTTTTGCACATGCTGATTCCTCTGCAGAAACACTCTTGAACCTTCTCTTCCCTGCGATGACTCCTACTCTTTTTGGAGTTGAGCTTCATCGCCTATTCCCTGGAGGTATTCTTTCACCCCCTCCCATATAGCTCCTCTCCTCATGCAGTGCCCTAGTACCCAGGACTCTCTTTGTGGAAGCAGCAGTCACTTTTGCCTATGCCCTCATTCCCTCATTGACTGCCTGTCCCTGGAGTGTACTGCCTAGTACAGTGCCTGCACCTGGTAGCTGCCCATTTCTTGGCACTATCTGATCTGCACCTGTATTGAGCAGGAGTTAGTCAACAAGTGAGCTGAATAGTAGTTGGTAAATGCCATCTGTGGATCTGTTCTCACTTTCTGCTTCATCATTTCTTAGGGAGCCAACTGGGACATAGCACACATTTCTTGAGGGTGACTGTCATGTAGAACAATCAATTGTACTCATCCTTTTAAAGATTCAAACTCTAGAAGAACATGAACATTTTTATTTCTCATAGAACATCTCTAGGAAAACTAGTATTTCCAGAATTTTCTTGGAAGTTCTGACCTGGTCATGTATTATAGGCTGAGTATTTTTAATCTGAAAACCTGAAATCTGAAATGCTCCAAAATCTGAAATTTTTTCTGTGCTGACATGATGCTCAAAGGAAATGCTCACTGGAGCATTTAAGATTTTGAATTTTGGGGTTGGGGATGATCAATTGATATAATGCAGATATTCTAAAATCCAAAAAATTTGAAATCTGAAACACTTCTGGTCCCAAGTATTTCTGATAAGAGATCCTCACCTATGTATCATTTTGGGGGACATTCTTTTCCTCCTCTCCTCTGCAGTCTTCCCATTTCATGTAACTTCTGCCCCATCATTATGCTGAAACACCTCATGTTTAAAAGGCCTATGTCCACCTACTTGCCAAGCCTAAGTGACACTGTTCACACTTATACGATTGGGTCCTCTTGCAGCATTTGACAACTTAGCCTGGGGCAGTGAACCCTAATTACCTCTGCAGCTAGGAAATGTGTCTTGCTCTGTGTGGCAATGCCTTCCACATCTCAAATGCACCATTGCCAATAATGAATGCATCCTCTTCTTCCTGGACCATATTCTCTCTTTTTCCATGACCTATGGTGGATACTCAGGCTCACACGTGACCCTTTCTTGCCCTAAGCCTGCACTTCTAATTAAACATTCACTCTGAGTGACTCTATCCTAGATATTTTTCAAGTCTCTGCCGTCTTTTCCAGCCTAAACACCACAGTTTTCATTCAACATCTTGCCATTTCTTGCCTGGACTTTGTAGTCATTTCCCAACTGGTTCCTCTGCCGCTGGTCTTGCTCTCCATCCCCTGTGCTGACACGATATTCCTTTAATATCTATCGGTCTTACCTCACAACTTCCATACAAAAGAGTTCCTGGGAACATGCCTGTCCTGCTCTTCTCACTGGGAACCTTATCCACAGTGCTCAGTGCAATTCTTCCTTCTCCGTGAAGCCTTTCTAGCCTCCAAAGATACTTTCTCTCTTATGATCCTGTGGCATCTGGTGCATTTTGTTAAAATATTTATCATGTGTTTGCAATCATGTATTTCCCCGATTCTTTCCCGTTGATTGTGTGAGTGCCTCCAAGGTGGAAACCACAGTCTCATCCTTCCTGGCACTCCGACACCTAGCACCTTGGCCAGCACAGAGTTGCAGCTTCAGCACTGCTTCTCAAATACAAACCCTCCTTCCTATCCAAACTTCCATCTCCACCTTTACTCCTCACAGAAGGACTGAGGGTAAAGGAAGATGGCTGGGAGGCTGAGACTCCCTTTTATTTTCATGCAGAATATCTGTGTACAGATTTAGGGCATAATGGCTTAAAGAATTTTTGTTGAATGAATGAATACATGAACACATGGATAAATGAATGAAAAAACACACCCTTCCTCCCTGAAAACCCTTGTTGATGACTCTGCTTCACTCATTCCTTTTTTACTTTGAGGTCCTTTTTACTCTATTCATGCATTTACCCCTATTTTCTCGTTTTTTAAACCTAAGTTGTTTTAAAACAAGTTAGTGCAGATTTTATCAGAAAAGGAAGCAAACCTTTTTTCTCCTTAACTGCAGTTAGTCCATTTCTTTGTGTACATTAGGTGCTAAATAAATGTTTGATGAAGCAATGAATATATTAACAAAGCATAACATGCCATAAAATGAAAAGGAACAGAAAAAAAAAACCCCTCAATTTGATTCCAAAGCCCTAAGTGACTATTACCTAGGTTTTTGAAAATAACAGCTAAGTGTGAATTTCCAAGGAAGGATTTCTAGGCTCCTGTAACACTTCTGTATGAACTCTTTTGTATGAAGATTTTATGGATAAGTATGTGTCATGCCTGGTTGTTTCGTTGCATGAGGCGGGTATTGCCTCAGGCGCTGTGCCAGGTTCAATTTTTGTGCTGGGACCCCGTTGAGTTTCGAAGGTGGATAGAGCCTGAAGCATCTTCTGATTGAAGTGAATGAACATTGAGTGGAGTGGGATAGTCTTTGTTTTGTTTAGTTTTTTGAGGCATAATCAACATCCATGTACTGCACATATGTATTTATCTATTTATTGTTTTTTAATTTTAACTTTACAGTCAGGGGAAACATGTGCAGGTTTGTTACAAGGGTATATTGCATGAGGCTGAGGTTGGGGCTTCGGTGGATCCTGGAACCCAGATGGTGAACATGGTACCCAATAGGAAGTTTTTCAGCTCTTGCCTGCCTCCTTATCTCCCTCCTTTTGGAGTTTCTGGTATCTATTGTTCCCATCTTTATGTCCATGAACTGCACATATTTAAATGATACCCTATGGTGAACTGTGAAAACCCAGGAAACCATCACCATCATGAAGGGAATGAACATATTCATCTACCCCCAAATGTTTCCTGCTGCTCCTTCATAATTCCTTCCTCTCTCGTGTCCACCCTCATCTTTTGTCTGCACTGATTGGTGTCTCTTAGAATGTTCTATACATATAATTGTATAGAATGTACTCTTGTTTGTCTGGGTTTTTTGTTTGTTTGTTTTGTTTTGCTTTTTGCTCAGCATAGGTTTTTGAGATTTATCCATGTTTGAGTTGTATCAACACTTCATCCTGTTTTATTGGTGAATAGAGTTTCATTATATAGATATATGCCAGAGTTTGTTATCATTCATCTGTTGATGGACATTTGGGCTGGACTATGTTTATGTCTCCCAAAATTTGTATGTTGAAATCCTAACCCCCAATACGATGTTGCTGTGGTTTGAATGTTTCCTTTTCAAAATTCAGGTGTGCCAATGTGATAATATTAAGAGGTGTAGCCTTTAAGAGGTGGTGAGGCTTCTTCCCTGTGAATGAGATCAGATGTCTTTATAAAGGCGCTTGATAAAGGCAGTTGGTTCCCTCTTACCCTTCTGCCTTTTGCAATGTGAGGACACAGCAGGAAAGCCCTTAACAGATTATGCCAGCACCTTGATCTTGCATTTTCCAGCTTCCAGAAATGTGAAGGAATACATTTCTGCTCGTTATAAATCATCTAGTCTCAGGCATTCTGTTATAGCAGCACAACTGGACTAGGGCAGGACTTGATAGGGTAAGTCAGAGGAGGAGAGTGTTGCTATAACAAATACCAAAAAACGTAGAAGTGGGATTTGAACTGGGCAGTGGTTAGTGCTTGGGACAGTTCTGAAGTGAACGCTGGAAAAAAGCCTATATTGCAGTGAATGAAGCATTAAGAGTGATTCTGGTGAGAGCTCAGAAGAAGAGGAGAGGTGAAGGGAAAGCCTCATTCTCCTTAGAGATTACCTAAGTGGTGTTGGCAGTGATGATTATTTTGATGAAGTCTCAGAGGGAAATGAGGAACAAGGTATTGAAAACTGGAGGAAAGGTCACCCTTGTTATAAGGCAGCTAAGAATTATATACATGCTGTAGGACTTTCTGGAAGGCAGCAATTAAAAGCAATGGCTAGGATATTTAGCAGATGAAATCTCAAAGCAGCAAGGTGTTCAGGATCCTTCGTGGCTTCTTTTACATGCTTACAGTAAAATATGAGAAGAGAGAAATATTTAAAGATGATTTATAATTAAAAGGGAAGGACAATGTAGAGATTTGCAAAATTCTCAGCCTGGCCATTTAAAGACTAAAAAAATGTGTTTAGGAGAGAAAACCAAGGGTGTGGCCAAATGACTGTTTGGCAAGGAGATTAGTACGGATAAAAGGAAGCCAGGGGCTATATACATCAAGACAATAGGAGAATGACCTCAAAGACACTTGAGAGAGGTTCAAGGACTTCCCATGGCAGACTCCAAATGCTACAACCTTGATGGCAGAATGGATGCAGGGCACCTGTGGGACCTCAGGACTTACTTCCCAAGGCTACTTTAAGTCTTTTCTCCACATTCTGGCACAGCACTTCCCAGACACCCTGGCTGTTGCTGAAGCAGGCTGAACTGTGGCTCTGACAGTGGCTCTAGGCCTTGGCAGTGTACCCTTAGTACTGATTCTGTGGGTGCACAGAATGCAAGAGCTGTGGTGGCATGCCTTCCTCCTCCCAGATGTCAAAGCCTATCTCAGAGAAGGCCCATGCGGAGAACTGCCACAGGGGTGGAACCATCACAGACAGCCTCCATAACGCATTACCTAGTGGAGTCTTGGGGCCTGGCTGCCACCAAGACCCCAGAATGTAGAGCCATCAATATGCAACGCCAGCCTGGCAGAGCCACAGGCATTTGACTTGAATGTATGAGAGCTAAGGTGTGGGTCCCGCAAAGCCAGCAAAGTGGGGCTGCCCAGGGCTTTGGGGGTTCATCCTCTACCCCAGTGTGTCCAGGAGGTAGTACATTGAGTCAAAGATTGTTCTTCAGTCTTAAGATGTAATGCTTGCCCCCTTTGGGTTTTGGACTTACTTGGGACCTGTTACCCTGTTCTTTCCTCTCTTTTGGCACTATCCTATGCCTGGCCCTCCATTGTCTTTTGAAAGTATATAACTTGTTTGATTTCACAGACTCACAGCTGGAGGCAAATTTGCCTTGGGATGAATTCTACCTTGAATGTCACTCATGCAATGTTTGGATGAGATTTTGGACTTTAGACTTCAAAGTTGATGCTGAGATGAGTTAATACTTTTGGGCTATTGGCATGGAGTGAATGTATTCCAGATGTGAAAAGGACAGCGTTTAGGGGGCCAGAATCAGATTGTTGTGGTTTGAATGAGTCCTCAGGTGCTGCCAATGGATAGGATTAAGAGGTGGAACATTTAAAGGATAACTGGGCCATGAGGGCTCCTCCCTTGCAAATGGGATCAGGGGTCCTTGCAAACGGTCTTGACTGAGGGATTGGTTTTCTGTTGCCTTTCTGCCTTCCACTGTGTGAAGATACAGCAAAAAGGCCCCCACCAGGTGCCGGTGCCTGAATCTTGGAATTTCCAGCCTCTAGAACTGTGAGGAAATTAATTTCTGTTCTTTATAAATTCCCCAGTCTTAGGCATTCTGTTATGGCAGTACAAAATGGAGTAAAATGATGCTTATTAGGAGGTGGGGCATTTGGGAGGTGATTAGATCCTGATGTCAGAGCCTTCCTGAATGGGATCAATGTCCTTATGGAAGAGACTGGAGAAAGATTTCTTGCTTCTTCCACCATGTGAGATTAAAGCAAAAAGGCCATTTATGAACCAGGAAGAGGGCCCTTAACCAGACACCAAATTTGCTGGAGACTTGATTTTGGACTTTCCAGCCTCCAAAAGGCTGTAAACAACAGAAATGTATTCCTCACATCTATTTGAGAGATGGTATTTATGGTATTTTGTTACAGCTATTTCGTTGTAACTGCCTAAATGGATTAAGACAGGCTGTCTCCAGGTTTGACTATTAAATTAAAAAGGCTGCTATGAACATTCATGTACAAGTCTTTGTGTAGACATATGCTTTCATTTCTCTTGGGTAAATACTCAGGGGTGTATTGGCTGGATCATATGGTAAGTGTTCATTTAATGTTTTCTGAAATAACCCACAAGTTTTCCACTGTGATAGTATCATTTTATGTTCTCATCAGCAGTGGGTGAGTGTTTCAGGTTCTCCTTATTTCTGTCAACACTTGGTATGGTCAATCTCTTTAAAATTAGCCACTCGAGTAGATTTGCAGTGCTCCTGATTTGTATGTCCCTAAGGACAAGTGATGTTGAACACCTGTTCATGTGATTAGTTGCTGAATATTTTCTTAGGCAAAGTGGCTGTTCCACTCTTTTACCCATTATCTTATGGAGTTGTTTATTTCCTTATTGTTGAATCTCAAGGGTTCCTTACATAATTGGATGTAAGCTCTTTATCAGATATACGCTATACAAATATTCTTTCCCAGTCTGTGTTTTCATCCTCTTTTAGCAGTGTACTGTATGTTTCAAAAGACAAAAGTTTTTCAGTGTAGTGTTTTTTACAAATTGTGCTTTTGGTATTGAATCAAATAAATCCTTTCCCAATATAAGATCATAAAGGTTTCCTCCTGTGTTTATTTCCAGAAGTTTATAGTTTTAGGTTTTACATTTAGGTCTCTGGTTCTTTTCCACTTGATTTTTATGTATAGTGGAAGGTCTGGGTTGAAGTTCTTTTTGGGGTATGGATGTTTTCGCCTATGGATATACAGATGTCAAATTAGTCTAGCAGTATTTATTGATGTTTCTTTTTCATTGAACTAACTACCTTTGTCAAAATCTGTTGTTCAGGTATGTTTCAGTCTATTTCTGGACACTATATTCTGTTTCATTGATCTCTCCATGTATAGTTATACCAATACCACACTATCATAATTACTGTAGCTTTAAAATAACTCTTGAAATAAGGTGGTGTTAGTTGTATGACTTTATCCTTTTTGAAAATGTTGTTTTGGCTATGCTAGGTTCTTTGAATTTGCATGTGAATTTTGCAATGTTTGTCAATTTTTGCATTGAAAAGCCTGTTAAGTTTTGATTAAAATTGATTTGAATACACAGTTAACTTGGGGGAGAATTGACACCTTAGCAATATGAGTTTTCTAACCTGTGAACATGGCATATCTCTCCATTTATTTAGGTCTGCTAAAATTTCTCTGAAATATTTGCTGGTTTCCATTGTATAGGTCATTCACGTCTTTTGTCATATTCATCTCTATTTCTTATTTTTGTAGGCTATCATATAAGGAGTATTTTTAATGTAAATTTTCAATTGTTTATTGCTAGTATACAGAAATAAAATTGTTTTTGTGCATTGACTTGATACCCCACAGTCTTGTTAAACTTGTTTATTAATTCCAGTAGCTTTTCTGTAGATCCCATTGGATTTTCATGTCATCTGTGAATAAAGACAGTGTTGCCCCATCCTTTCCAATCTAGATGGCTTTTCTCTCTATTTTTTTCCCCCCAACTTACCACACTGGCTGGATCTCTCAAGTGTTGAAAAGAAGTGGCAAGAGCAATATCCTTGTCTTGTTCCTGATTTAGAAGGAAAGCAGTCAGTCTTTTTACTGTTAAGTATGTTTGTAATAGTTGTTTCACAGATGCTCTGTCTCAAGTTGAGAAAGTCCTCTTCTCTTCCTCGTTTGCAGAGTTTTTTTGTTGTTTTTTTTTTTGAGACGAGTCTCGCTCTGTCTCCCAGGCTGGAGTGCAGTGGTGCGATCTCGGCTCACTGCAAACTCCGCCTCCCAGGTTCACGCCATTCTCCTGCCTCAGCCTCCCAAGTAGCTGGGACTACAGGCACCCGCCACCACGCCTGGCTAATTTTTTGTATTTTTAGTAGAGACGGGGTTTCACCCTGTTAGCCAGGATGGTCTCGACCTCCTGACCTCATGATCTGCCCGCCTCGGCCTCCCAGAGTGCTGGGATTACAGGCGTGAGCCACTGTACCTGGCCGAGAGTTTTGTAAGACAAGGAAAGGATGCTGACTTTCGTCAAATGTTTTTCCCATGTCTATTGGGATCAACCAATTTTTTTTCTTAGTATGTTGAATTACATTGATTGACTTAAAAAAAGTTAAACTTTCCTTGAATTGTTGGAAACTTGGTCAAGATATATTATCCTTTTATATGTAGTTAGATTTGATTTACAAAATTCTATTGAAAACTTCTGCCAAAATGTTCATGAGGGATACCGATCTGCAGTTTTCCTCCCTTGAAATTTACTTGTGATTCAGGGCTCATGGTAATTTTAACCTGAGAATAAACTGGGAGGTGTTCTCTACTTGTCAGTATTCTGGAAGAGTTTACATAGAATTGATATTAATTCTTCCTTATATGCTTGGTAGAATTTATCCTTGAAATCATGTTTGTGGGAAGGTTTTTATCTAAAAATTAAATTTCTTTGATAGATAGAGGTTTATTCATGTTATCTATTGTTTCTTGAGTTTGCTTCAATAGTTCGTCTTTGAAGAATTTGTTGCATCTACATTGTAGAATGTATCAGCATAAAGTTGTTCATAACATTCCCTTAGTTTTCTTTTTGACATCTGTAGGCCCTGAAATGATGTCTCTTCTTTTATTCCCAATGTTAGTAATTTTGTTTATTCTCTGTTTTGTTTGTTTTTTTTCCTTATCAGTCTGGTAAAGGTTTATTGATTTTTTTGAAGAACTTTTTGTTTCATTGATTTTTCAGTATTGTTTTTGTTTTCTCTCTTATTGACTTCTAATCTGATCTTTATTATTTTCTTTCCTCTACTAACTTTGGGTTTAATATTATCTAATTTTTCCAGTTTTATAAAGTGGAAGCTAAGGATATTGATTTGAAACTTTTTTTTTTGAAAAAATAGACTTTCAGTGGTTGTAAATTTTCTTAAATATTTCTTATTTAAGCAGCCCACAATATTATGTTTCCATTTTTATTCAATTCAAAAATCTCACTTACGCTCTTTTATTTTTTCTTTTGTTTGCTCTCTGTATTTTATTTTGAGTTGTTTCTAATGCAATGTCCTCAAATATACTCACCTTTTCTCCTGCAAGTTCTAGTGTATAGCTACTTCCATCTGTGTATTTTCATCTCAAATATTATTGATTTTATTTCTAGAAGCTCAATCTTAGTCTTTTGTGTTATCTTTTGTGGATCTAGTTAACTTTTTGAGTATCGAGAATAGACTTATAATAACTTTTAAAATGTCTTTGCTAATTCTGACATTTAAAAAAGTTTTGAGTTTTTTTTTTTTTGATTCACCGATGTACTTCCGTATTCTGGGTTATATTTTCATGCTTCCTTACTTGTCTGGTAATCTCTGTTTGGATGCCAGACATTGTGAATTTTAACTTGCTGAGTACTGGATATTTTTGCCTTCCTAGAAATATTCTTGCGCTTTGTTCTTTGACACAGTTACGTTACTTGGAAACATTTTATCCTTTTGGGTCTTGCTAATATTGGTTAAGCAATACTGGAGCATTGCCTAGTCTAGATTTAATCATTACTATTACTGAGGCAAGACCTTCTGTGTACTCCATCTCATGCCCTATGAATGCTGCTCTGTGGGAACAGATACTGTTCCCAGTTCTGGAAACTTCTTCTTAAACTCTGACAAATTTTCCTCTAATATTTATATTCCTGCTTCTCAATGCACTTTGTGTCCGTTTTTCCTTTTTTTCACTGTTCTCATAACATTAACTTAATGTAAAATCAAACGCTCATCACACTATATGAATGACGTTCCTTTTTCTCTTAGTTTTATTAAAATTTTAATTATTTAATCTAAAATGGGCAATTATGTCACTATTATAGAGGTTCAACATAGCTCACTCAAAAATAAATGTTATGTTTTTGTCATTGTTTTAGTTGATGAATTAGATTTACTATATCGGCTTTCTTTTTCACAGTCTTTGAAGCTAACATTTTAACAGATGAAGTTTCTGACAGCTGAGTGCAGGGAGAATAAACATGCATCTGTGAACACAAGCCAGGCGGGAGCCTTTGGGGAGCGACAGGGGAAAGGCAATAATGAGCCCAAAAGAGGGAGGATTAGCCCCATAAATATCGCTCATCTCCCATCAGACCCTCTCTTAACGTTGCCCCTTCCCTCCCTCTTCATTCTGTTTTATCATTTGTTTTCTCTCTTGGATGTATACTTTTTGTCATTAAAATTTTTTCTCTTTTCTATTTTTATCCTTTTGAACATTTAAAGAATCTCTTCCTTTTTTCTTGTTGCAGGTCCCTTGTCACAATGTTGTTTATGTTTGCAGAGCAGTACCCTATAAATGTGTATATAATTGTGATTCCCTGAGTGTGGTCACAAGATGATCCATTGAATTCTAATAGATTTCACTTTGGAATTCATAGCCAGTTCACAAAAGAAATGGAAGAATATGTAATAAAGAGTAAATACATCTTTTGGCAATATTTTAGCAACCAAAATATTACCCGACCCTAACGTTGTGGAGTCTATGGGTAAACACTTTATTGCATTTTCTCCCTGTTTCTAATTCTCAGAGGCAAAGAGGCTAATGACGTTATTCATGTCAATCCATCTGTCCGCTTTCCTCCTGGGGTATAATCAGTTGACATTTCTTTGGCAGTCTGGGAGGCTAACCTGGCAGCTTCCTTTGCATCTGTCTTTTGTGCAGATTGCACGGGGGCTGTTGTGTCTCTTTTGCTGGGCATGATTCACAGAGGCTTGCTTAGTTGATGAGCTGGGACTCCTTTGATCAGCTCTAAGATGATGAGGGAGGTGGGGTAAGTTGAAATGCCAGATGAGTTCTAAATTATTTCATAGATCTGTAATTCAACGGAAAAATAAAAGTATTTGGTGGCATCTCTTTTGATAAGAGCCCGGAGTTCTGCTGGGAGAAACAGTGAACGTGGAGAAACAAATGAGAGCACAGCGTGGTTGCCTGGTCCTCAAGAAGCTTGTATTTAAGACCAATTTTCTTCAGTGAGGGCTTGCAGGATTTACCAGCTCAGTGACCTCAAAAATGTTTGGATTGGAGGAGGGGGATATAAAGAGATATTGCAGTCCCTTTTTTCAACCCCAGGGGACA
Source organism: Homo sapiens (assembly GCF_000001405.40). Lineage (NCBI taxonomy): Eukaryota > Metazoa > Chordata > Mammalia > Primates > Hominidae > Homo > Homo sapiens. The sequence goes on along the minus strand of NC_000015.10, from coordinate 26,697,678 downwards.
GGGGACACATTGGACTTTTTGCACACTCTCTCTGAAGCCGTGGGATGAGAATTGAAAAGCAGCATTTAAGGGTGAATGTGGGTATGGACTGGCATATGTGCTCCCTCTTCCTGCATTATCTGAGGTCCTGCTTCACTGGAGGACTTGAGAAGGACCTGAGAGAGTGTGCCAGGGTGGAGGGAAGGAGACAGGCCACTCTCAGCAGGGGTAGGAGGCTTACCCTTGGTGGTCAGGGATTGAGACATTGACTCATTGGTCATTGAACAGATTGTGCTGATAGACTTTGCTTCTCTCCAGAAAATGTTCTTTCTCAAGCAGAAATCTAGTAATTTACTTTTTTAAAGAAAAGCACATATAGGTTATGTTTATTTCCAAGGCATTCAAAGGAAAATCACATTATTTTAATAATAAGGAAAAGCTTACCCTTTGAGAATAGATCATTACTTAGGGTAATGTGTTTCTTAAGAAACATTTTTCATAATCTTGTGCTTAAAAATAATTGAAATCTTAGAATTACACTTTCCATGCATTTAGCACTCTAAGGAATCTGTGGGGATCTGAAATTGCAAGGCCACAAGTAGGTGGAAGTAGCCAGAAGAGACTTGTATGTTGCAAGGATTCTTAACAACTCTGTGGGTTTGGATATAAATGTGTTTAAAGCACAAGTTTTGATGTATCATTTCTTTTAAAAAAATTCCCTAAATTTGATTTTGTCATTTGTTGACATTCCCTTAAATTCACTGCATGTTGGCCATTGTCGGGGTGCAATATTGCAATGTCAGAAGTAGCCCAGTGTTGCAGTGCCAGGGGTCACAGAGCACACATGCTTCATATGCGAGTTTTTTGTGGGAGCACTTTGACATCAAAGTCTCCCACCCGCATTGGTGTTCAGGTACTCTCGATTGTACTGTGGGTCCCTGAGACCCTCTGCAGGTTCCAGCCTAAGTGTGGTGAATGGGTCGACGTGGCAAAAGGCAGTGTGGCTGCTGGTTGCTGGGGAGACAAGAGTCAGATTGCCTGGGACCCTGAGAAGAGAAACCCCTGTCTAGATTCAGGTAACTGTTGATCCAGTGTCAAGCTAAGAGTGTATACAGGTTTGCTGTATTGAAAATCCATTCTGACTGAGTACATGGGGTTATACCAGGCATAGCATATCTCTGTCCCCAGGAAAAGATGATTACCTGTATATGGGAGGTAAGATTGCAGGTCCCAAAGTTTGGAGTGCAATCCTGCACCTTTCTGCTCTACGTCATCGGGCCTCAGTTTATTCATTGTTTGAATGATAATAATAATAACAGTAATTATAATAGTAATAGCAGTAGTACCTATCTTAAAAAGGTGTGCGGGGTTTAGATGGGAAAATGTATATACAAAATGCTAAACACCATGCCTAGTCACAGGAGGCATTAAAAACAGGTGACTATTATTAAAATAAAAAAAAATAAAGTATGTGACAGAGTGACAGAGACTGCACTGTTTACTTTATCAGTATGTGTGCACCTGTGGAAATAAGCTGGAGGAGGAAGGATGTTTATAACCTAGATTCCTATAAGTCCAATATGGGAAGAGACCTCAAAGAATGTAAAATTTCCATCTTAGAGAGAAATAATTTCAGCTTCCAAACACTGTTGCTTTTTGTTTCCGGTTTTGCTTCGTATTGTTTCATGGTTCCCCATGTAGAATTTACTTACTAATTTCTTACTTAAACCTACCGTGGAAGAAAAGACTTTTGGGAGTTTTCATAGGCAGAAAGAAAAGACAAATTGCCTCTCCATGCCTGAAGATACAGTTTCCTTGGATTTACTGTCTCAGTATCAAGGAAAAGCCTCTCTGCTCTCTGTTTTGGCTTCTAGGATTTGGGAAGAACTTCCAGGATGTTTTGCTTATTTCACCTATCCAGAAGCTGTAGTCACCAAACTCATTGTTGCTATTATCATTTTGAACAGTTATTTGTTAGATCAATTAAGAATTAGGAAAATAAAATATTTTATTTTACCATCACTTATTTTTTTCTTTAATCCTTTCCCTTTCTTTATACAGATCTGAGTTCCTGACCTATGTAAATTTTTTTTCTCTCTGAAGAACTTCTTTTAACAATTTCTTGCAAAGCAGAACTACTGTCAACAAATTTCCTCAATTTCTGTTTGTGAGAAACTATTTCTCCTTTGCATTGCAGGGATAATTTTGCTGAATAAAAAATTCCAGGTTGTTAGTTATCTTCTTTCAACAATTGAACTATGTTACTCTATGTTTTCATGGTTTCTGAAAGAAAATTTGATGTAGTTCTTATCCTTTTTCCTCTGACTTTCTTCCAGCTCTTCACTCTACTGTATGTTCTCATGGTTTCTGGAAGCAAGTCCGGTATAAATCTTATCCTTGTTCTTCTATAGACAACGTGTTTTTTCCTTCTGACTTTCTTGAAGATCTTCTCTCGGTCCTTGGTTTTCTGCAGTTTGAATATGATATGCCTAAGTGTACATTTTTTGGGGGTCATTTATTCTATTTAGTCTGTCATTAATTTTGGAAAATTCTTAGCCATTGTTACACTGACTATTTCTTAAGTTCCTGTCTTTCTTCTGTTATTACCATTACATATACGTTTGTTATACCTTTTATAATTGCCCCATGGTTCTTGGATATTCTGTCAATGTCTTTTTTCTCTTTATTTTTCAGTTTGAAAAGTCTCTATTGACATATTTGTGAGCTCGCTGATTCTTTCCCCAGCTATGTCTGATCTACTGATGGGCCCATCAAAGGCATTCTTCATTGCTGTTACAGTGTTTTTGGTTTCTAGCATTTTCTTTCAATCCTTATTTAGTGTCTTTATCCCTCTGCTTACATAACCCATCTGTTCTTGCATACTGTGCACATTTTTTCTATTAGAGCCCTAAGCATATTAGTCATAGCTATTTTTTATTTTTTGTCTGATAATTACAAAATCTCTGCTGTATCTAAATCTGACTCTGATGCTGACTCTGTCTCCAGACTGTGTTTTTTGCTTTTTAGAGCCTCTTGTAATTTTTTGTTGAAAACCAGACATGATGCATTGGATAAAGAGAACTAAGTTAAATCAGTCTTTAGAGTGAGGCTTTATATTTATCTGGCTAGGGGTTCAAGTGTATTTACTCTTTGCTGTAGCTGTAGATGTTAGAGGTTAAAGTTTCATCTAGTGTTCTTGTTTTTGTCTTCTCTTTTGTCTTTGGGCTTCTCTAGACGTTCCTTCTTAAATAGAATCTGAGCCTTTCAGTTCTTCAGTGGTGATTCCTTGTTATTACACAAGAGCCCTGTTGGGGTCATGGTAAGGTATCAGGGAGAAGTATTTTATATTTCTGTGATTAGGTCACAGTTTTTAGTAAGTCTGTGTCCCTGGCCTGTGACCTTCACAAGTGCTTCTCAGCTCTTTTTCTCCCCGTTAAGTGAGAGAAGAAGAATAGATTTGTCTGGAATCAGGTACTTTCCTTCCCCCATATTGGTTAGGCTCTAGTAAAGTAGTTATCCTTGCAGATAGGCCTTTGTTAAGGGAAGAAGACTCTATGGGTGGATTTTAAGATGATTTCTTTTATAAAAATTTTTTAATTTTTATATGTTGCCCAGGCTGTTACATATGTTACTATGTTGCCCAGGCTGTTCTCAAACTCCTGGCCTCAAGTGATCCTCCTACCTCAGCTTCCTGAGTAGCTGGGAGAACAGGTGTGAGCCACTGAGCCCAGTGGAAGATGATTTCTTTTCCTCTCTTCCTGCTGGAAGAACAAGGGGATTTTTCTGTAGTCTTCATCTGAGAACTTGATGGGCCTATTGGTGGGAAAAACTCTCAAAAGTATAGGGGCTCTCCTAAGACTGGGCCCCCAGGAATTTTTAACTCTCAAGGTAGGCTATGCTCCATCTACAATCTCAGCAAGTATGTTTTCCCAACAGTTGCTGGCTACAGCGGCAGTTTCCCCTCTTAGTGAGCTATGATTCTCTGTATCTATCTCTCTCTCTCTCTCTCCAGTTTTCAGGGCTTTGTCCTATGGATTCAGTTTTTGGATGGATCTAATAAGAGTTGTTTTGTTTTGTTTGTTCAGCTTTTTTTTCTTGTTGTGAGAACAGGAGTGATGAACTTCAGGCTCTTTACATGTTGGAGTGGGAGGCAGAAATCTGCCAGAGGTTTCAAGATCACCTCCTCTGGGAGTGTGAAGTGTAGCTCTCATGTGGTGGAAATACCGCTCTGGTGGAACTCCTCATACCAGGCCAACAAGGGCACATGAAGTGCCTGTGTATTTAGCATGATCTCGCAGGGGAAATTCCTTTCCATTTCCTCTCTTATGTTTCCTCTTGCTGTTTCATTTTTCTGGAAACGTTTAGAGACTGCTAGGAACGCTGAGCCAGCTTGGGGCTCTGCCATTAATCAGCTGAGTGAATTCAGGCAACTCAATAATCTTTCTGTGCTTTGGATTTTCTTACCTGTGAAAACATTTACTGATACATGTATTCTTCACCTGATTCTTGTCAGAGTCAAGTAAAACAATGTACAAAGGCTCTTTAGAATGAGAAATCCCTGTTTATAGATTATTGGTATGGGTTTATTTTGGCCAGCTGGAACTGTTGTGACATTAGATCCTTAATATTTGAAAGACGTCTGAGCCTGGGAGCGGGAGAGATCTTCCTGTGCAGTTCTGGTTTTCATGGACTCTAATTTTTGCATATATTCTCCCTCAATCCTTTGTGTAACCAATAGTTTTCTTAAAGTTCGGATCTAAATCCTTTGCTCTTTAGGGAAAATTTTTGTCCAATAGAAAAGAAATGAACTTTTCTCAAAATTGGAAACATTAGAACTAGGCTAAGTAAAACGAGATTTCTTGGTCTGATTGTGTGTAGTTCTGATTCACAAAGCATCCTAGTGTACATGCATTTATACTATACCATTATCAAAGCAGTATAAATAATACGAAAAAGATTTTTTTCTCTGCCTTCATTGCAAAAGCTATTGGGATTATCACATGTAGACTTGTGACTAAAGTAAATATGCATGTATCCTTATCAGCTACCTCCAAATAGTAGTCAGCCATGCATGATGCAGAACATAAGCCTTTGAGTGCAAAACTTAGGGAATTAATAATCACAATTTAATGCCATCTCTAGCTTCCAAGCTAGAGTCAAAATACTTGCTTTTTTGAGTTGATTACAGTCTTGGCGGGATAGAAAATTACTTTTGGACTATAACTGATTGTTTTACCAAATACTAATATCTAAAGATTTCACAGAAATATAAAGGAGATCTTTGTGATGTTCAAACATGGGAACTTTTGTATCTGAAAAGGTTTCTGCTGCCACCAAGAAAAGGTAGTTTAGCTGTAACTACCTTCCTCCTGCATGCAATCTGTTTGGTCTCTTATTTCTGTTGTAATGTTAAAGTGTATTTCAGTTGGATACCCTCTCTCTTAGACAACCACAAACCAGAAAAGGGATTGTTTCTGAGAAGAGAAAGATCACCTCCATGAGATTAATTCATGTTTGGATGGCAGAAAAGACACTTGGCTTGAAGCCCGTCAATATTGAGTTGATCAATGTGAGAAGTATTGAAGCAGAGGTTGATATGTTCTTCTGGGTTATTTTCAATTCTAATTTTTATAATTATGTTCTCTTTAGTCTAATTTACTATAGACTGATTTGTGGCAAGCTACTGAGAAGAATCAGTAAATTCTAATCACAGCCACTTGAACCAACACATGACCCTGGTGTAAGGCTCCAGTGAGCAGGTTAGTTATAATAGATACAATATAAATAATACATTTTGATTAAGGATGCTAAAACTGGAAGATACACCAATATATTTGTAAGATCCATGAGCTGCACATAAGGAATGGGTTGTGGGGCAGATTATTGAGTTACTAGCAAGGCCTTTCTTTCTTTCTTTGTTTTCTTTGTTTTCTCAACTTGTTGAGAATTTTTGAAATGACCCAAAAATTGGGTCTTGATATCAGTAGGTAGGAAATTAATTAAGTATAGAAGAACCCCCAGGGAAGGAACAGATAAGTAACCTTATTTCTTGTAATTCCTTTTTCATGAGATTAGGTCATTAAACAAATTGTGATTCAATTTTTTTTCTTCCTTCCCTTCCCTGAAGAACCTGCTTGCAAATTCCCTTCGCCATGGGTCATTCGCTTCCTATCTATCCTCCTTACTCTGAGAGGCTGCTAGCTCAGCTGAGGTAGCTGCCTGGAAGCAGAGTGGATGTAATGAATGGAAGGGATGCTAATAGGGCCAGAGGCTCCCTGGGGTGGCCTTTTTGGGATTCACCCATGTGAAGTCCCCTAATCCTTTTTACTTTCTATTGTTCAGGCTTCTTTTTTCTTCCCCGTCTTTGCATCTTGATGGTTCTTTCCTTCCGTACCAGGAAATTTATAAAGAAATCATTTCTTTGCTTCATGTTACCATAGAAACTCATATACAAAACTCATATATTAAAAAGGGGAAAAGAGGGAAAAAACAAGAGAAACCTAAGGGATGTTTGAGAAGATAGAAATGAAAACAGAGCAGGGAGAGCAAGACTGGGACTCAGTGTCTCAGTACCAGCTGAGAAGGTATTTGCTGTCCAACCTGTGCTAAAAGAATCCTGAAGAAAAAAGAAGGGGAGGGAGAGGAGGGAATAAGGACCAGGAATGGGAAGATGCATTGCGAACAGGAGGAGGGGGAGTGAGTGGGGAGGGGAGAAGAGGACTGGATCAGCTGGGGTTTGAAAGAGATCTGTAGAACAAATGCGATTGGCCAGAACTCTTGCATCACCACTGATGTAATCATGCATTTAATGATGACAGGTTTTGCATAATTCCTTGCACCAGAATCAAACAGAGCAAGAATTTTGATCTCTGGTGCAAGGAATTATGCAAAACCTGTCATTAATTACCATAAACATGGCATGATTTGGAGTCAATGGCAAGTATATCCAATACCTTTTTCTCCCTCCAAGTCCTGGTTACTGGATGGACGACTGTGCTGGGTACAGCACAAACACTAAGTGGGAACATCAGCCCCACGATCACTGGGACAGGATGAGCAAATGCCAGCCGTCTGCCCTGGAATGACCAGAGTGTGCCCACTACCCATCACCAGCTCTATGTCCCCACCTGATCTACGTTTTGTCCTAATGTCCATGCCGACACCAACAGGCCAGGGCTGAGTGATAATTTGACTTGGCTCAGGATTAATCTTATTGGTAGTCAAGAAACCGTTTCTTTCTTATTTGCCTAGAATGAAACCATTAGTGCCTCCAATGTATTTGTCCCCAAGTCTTTGTAACTGCTTTTGTACAAGAATTTCAGGCCTGGCATGGTGGCTTATGTCTGTAATCCCAGCACTTTGGGAGGCCTAGGTGGGAGGGTCACTTGAGGCCAGGAGTTCAAGACCAGTCTGGGCAACATAGTGAGACCCTGTCACTACAAAAAGTTTAAAAAAATAGCTAGGTGTCATGCCATGCACCTGTATTCCCAGTTACTCAGAATGCTGTGGCGGGAGGATCACTGAGCTATGATTGCACCACTACACTCCAGCCTGGGTGACAGAGTGAGACCTTGTCTCAAAAAAAAAAAAAAATCCGTGTACCTTCTCATTCTCCAGATTGGTAAAAAAAAGAGCTGTATCTAGTGGGGTATGGCCAATACCCTATTTTAGATGTATTTTAGAGCTGTTAGTTTAGGTTAGAGAAATAAAAATGAAATTCTAAGCCCTCCAGCTGACTGAATGGACACCCTCTTGGCCGAGGGCACCCTAGAGCAATCTTGAAAACTTTCCTAGCCATGGCAGGAGGGGAGATCAGGCACGCCTCGTTATCGTCCCTCCCTTGCTGACCATGATTAGGCTTCTTTCTTAAGAATTAAACAGACCAGCCCTTTGGAAAGGCTGGCTTCACCGCTGATGGCAGACAGCCTCCCCAGGCGGCCTCTCCCTTGTAATTTCAGCAGAACAACCGGCCAGCATTCCTTCCTGCTTGGGGACCACCCAGCACAGAGTGGTTCTGGTTGGTTGACATGGATGCACAGTGAGGGGTTTCGTGTCCTCTGCCTCACCTTTTGATGTCAGAGGGCTGAAAACTCCACTCTGGGGTCATGCTAACGCCACCAGTTTTTGAACATGGGTCCCAAGAAGAGGCATGACGTGTAATGAGGCATGAAGTGTAATGTTTCTCCTTGCATAAATATTCGTGACTCCTCATAGCTTAATAAACATGTTTACTTGACCACCTCACTCTGCATAAACTCCAGTTCCTTTTGCCCCTTCCTGGAAGTGTCTGTTTCCAGCCTGTGGTGGGTAGTCAAGCTTCCCAGCCTGTCAGAATGGCCATGCAGGCTGTGACCCTTTATGAGAAATAAAGTTCTCTTTTTCAGGTTTATGAACCTTGTCATTCTCCAGGTGACAGGTGTGATTGAGTACACGTTTGCTGTCCCTTTTCCTGTGGTGTGTGTAGAAGCATCTGAGTCACCAGGGCAAGTCTGCGATGGAGGTCGCAGGAAGCCAGGTGCAGGAGACCAAGACTGTCCCAGGCGGGGCACTGGGGGACCTGGGACTAACCCCGGCCATCCTGGGTCAGTCCTGAAATTACAAACCACTGAACTCACTTCATAAAGAGGCCTTGTGATTCCACCAACCCATCTCTATTCTGCAGGAATGTGGCGAGGACAAATATGAGTTGAAATCTCTGTGAACCTTTTAAAAGAGAGGCAATTCCAGGAGTGTTATTCCTGCTTTAGGATCTGCATAAGAAAATGGGGCTTAAAGAAACCAGAATAAAGAGGAGCTGAAGTTTTATTACAGATTTGTGCTTTACAGTCCTGTCAACAGCTTAGCCACTCCTAAGACAGCTGAAATCATCTATGGAAACCTTTGTAGGATTCTTTGAATATTACAGTGTTCAGCCTGGGTAGCCAGCTGTCAGTGGCTAGCTTTATGTAGCATCAGAATTTCTCAGCCACTCCTCAAAAGTGACTTCTATGATTCCTGTCCCATAGAACCAATGCAGTGAATGTGGATCACAGTAGCCTTTATCCAGTATGGTTGAACTCCAGATGGACATAAGCAATAACTTAGGAGATGGATCACAGAAACTCCACAAATAGCATCGGTGACACACCTATGGCTCTCATTTTTATTGATTCCTTCAGAGCATGTTTGAAGAGTCCTCTGCTTCTCTGAATTCTTTATGCCCCACCCCCAAAGAAACAAAACAAACAACCACAAAACCAGTATCGGCATAGAGTCCTAGAAGCTTAATCCATGGACAGATAATTGTAAAATGCTGGTTCAGCCTCAAGTCAGCCATCGCCCCTGCTGAAGTTTAGAGTGGGAAGGGCTGGCTGGGGTCATAGAGCTAGTGATGGGTAGTGGGCACCCTCTGGTAATTCCAGGGCACACGGCTGGCATTTGCTCATCCTGTCCCATTGATCACGGGGCTGATGTTCCCGTTTAGTGTTTGTGCTGTGCCCAGCACAGTCGTCCATCCAGTAACCAGGACTTGGAGGGAGAAAAAGGTATTGGATATACTTGCCATTGACTCCAAACTATGCCATCTTTATGGTAATTAATGACAGATTTTGAGCTTTCCACTCAAATGACCAGTCTTGTCGTCATTATGAAATGAAGAAAACTTTCTAATTTTAGTTTCTTACACTTTTTGGCTGAAGGTCATATGTCATAAAGTCAGAGTGTCTTCCTCAGTAATAGGTTGTCCACTGGACTCAAAAAGCGTGCTCTGGAAAAGATGAAAGTTACTAAGATTCAGTAATTGTAACCTACTAACAATTAAAATAATAGGTGTTTATTCTAGGTAATTATTTGGTTTGAAGCTGGGCTTCTTTTTAAATACACATTTTCTAATGATGTGAAAAGAACATTCATCACAGAAGTACTTATTAAAACTTTCAGTCAGCAGGTGTAATTAACAGCTCCAGATATGCTACAGGGCAGCAGAAGCAATCGGTGTGGAAAATGCAAGACCTGCCCCATTTTGCTCTTGTCAGTCAAACTTTTCTCAATTAAGTGAAAAACAAAACAAAGGATGTGATGGTTCTAAATATTTTATATTATACTATTTTTCATCATTCTGAGAAATGATTGAGAAGGAAGGAAGGGAGAGAGGGAAAAGGGAAGAGAGGAAGGAATGAAGCAAAGAGAGAAGGGAGGGGATGGGAGAGGTAGGCAGGCGGAGGAAGAGAGGAAGAGAAAGAGAAGCATGATGTCGAGATGTGTCAGGTCACGCTGATTTAGGGCATTGCATGGACACGTATCCTGTTAGCGTCACCTCTTTTGTATCTAGGCAGTTGCATCTGTATGCAGTTACTTATATGAGTGAACATATGATTTAATAAAGCTCTTTGAAATTTTAAAATCTTCACCAGATTCTAAATCTCCCATACACATATATAATTTTGGTCTTTGAAAAGGTGGCATTGATAAATTTCTTGTGAAATATCCTTAAAATAAATTATGAAACTGCACGAGAAAGCTGAATATGTAAGTGTTCAATCTAGCTCCCTGGAGCACAGTGGAGAGTCATCTGACAGTAGGATGAGGAGGAAGACACGAGTCAGAACACCCAGAGACTCCTCCCTGCACCCTCACTTCCCAGAGTGGCAGGGGAAGGCCCTAGGTCCCAGAGCCAGCTCGCCATCCCTGTGCGCCTCTTGGCATGGAGCCCCATGGTGCACCAGAGCTGGCGGGTGGCTGCGTGGTCATCTAGCTTATGCCTGTTGTGCTGAGCTTGTCAGTTTCACCTTGGCACTTTCCCAGATGCGGCTACTATTGATACTAGAACTTCCATTTTGTGGAGAACCATCACACTCTAGGTAGAGCTTCTGTTAAATATATTCCTTCCAAAGCAGACTTTGTGCAAGTTGGCCATTCACAGCGACTCCTGGATGGCATCCCACGCCGGGTGCCCTGTGGCCTGGTAGCGTCACTGTGCCAGCACGCTAAGGAGGCTGTGCTCATGCTGTCTCAGCACTTCCCTGGGACACTGTCAGGGCAAGGCAAGGCAACACTGCTGGCCTATTACCTTAACTTTGTGAAAACCCTTTGATCTGGGGTATATTTCCATGAGCTATGACACTGTTATCATGTTAATTGTTAAAGCCACACAGTATGACCATCAAAATGTCTCTGAGATGTCAACACCTATTCTTGCCTTCTGATAGGAGTTGCATGATTTTTAGAGCTTTGTGTATAGTAATGGATCTCATACTGTTATTTATCAGTATCACTTAGTTATTTATCAGTATCACTTTGTGAGGGTACTGAATATTCTCAACAACAGCAAAGAGGTGAGAATGCCCCCTGAAAACTTCAGTGACATCTCATCTTCATTTGTTGAAAATCTATTTTTATATCCAGTCCTTTTTCAAAATAGTTGGTGGTCATTTTTATAACAGTCATTCATATTTTAGGAACATAAGAACCAGCTTAGAGCTGGGTGCAGTGGCTCACGCCTGTAATCCCAGCAACTTGAGAGGTGGAGGCAGGAAGATCCCTTGAGGCCAGGAGTTCAAGACCAGCCTAGGCAACATAGCAAGACCCCATGTTTCTACAAAAAATAAAAAAATTAGTCAGGTATGGTGGCACACACTTATAGTCCCAGCTACTCAGGAGGCTGAAGGAAGATAGCTTGAGGCCAGGAATTCGAGACCAGCCGGAGCAGCATAGCGAGATCCCACTCTACAAAAAACTAAATTTAAAAAAATTAGCTGGGCATGGTGGTGAACACCTTTTATCCTAGCTACGTGGGAAGCTGAAGTGGGAGGAACACCTGAACCCAGGAGTCTGAGGCTGCAGTGAGCTATGATTGCACCACTGTACTCCAGCCTGGGTGACAGAGTGAGACCCCGTCTCTAGGGCAAAAAAAAAAAAAAAAAGACCATCTTACTACTGAGATCAGTCCAATATTCCTGCCATCGGCTGTACATTTGCGGGTCTTTCCTAGCCATCATTTTGACAAGTTAGAGGCCCACTCCTACTATCACTAGATCTCTTTAATAATTTATTTTGAATAAACTGTTTCATAATCGTATTGAAAGTATTCTTGAATCTAATGATTTCTTTCATCCTGCATTACTTTTTGAGATAATCTCATCTGCTTGATACCTAAAACTATCTCATTTTTTTCTACATTATATTTTTTTGTACTCGTATATGGGGTAACACATAACACAAATGCTTGGTGAAGTATTTTCAGAAATATAGAAAACAGATCCAAATTCTCTTTTCCCTTGGAAATTGTGCTGTTATAGAGTTGGATCCTATCTTTATGTCTTCCCATTCTAATCATCAGCCATTCGTGCCTCCATTCCTGTATCATCAGCTCCATCCCATAGGGGGATGCATTAGCCTCTGTGCTGCAAGATTCCTCAGCTCTGCTATGAATTGCCTTAGTTGGCTCCCCTGTAAGCAGACACTGAGAAGACGAGCTGAGAGGAAGGGGCTTCATCTGAGAGGGTTGTGAATGCTGGCGGAGAAGTAGGGCAGTGACCCAGGTGGGAAGGCAGCCACCAAAGCCCCGTGGTTAATTCACTTGTCACCACCTGGAGCTTCATCCCATGGGACCTGCAGGGAAAGGCTATGCTTCAGTGTCATCTGACCCCTGAGAAAAGGAGGAGGCACAGTGCAGGCACATCTAACTTTATCACACTTTGCTTTAGTTACTGTGTTTTTTACCAACTGAGGGTTTGTGGCAACCCTGCGTCGAGCAAGTCTATTGGCGCCAGATTTTGAATAGCATGTGCGCATTGAGTGTCCTCAAGTTACATTTTGGTAATTCTTGCAATATTTGAAACTTTTCTGTTATCATTCTGTCTGTCATGGTGACCTGTGAGCAGCGATCCTTGATCTTACCACTGTGGTTGTTTTGGGGCACCATGAACAGCACCCATAGAAGACGGCGAGCTGAATCCATCAGTGTTGTGTGTGTTCTGACTGCTCCACCAACCGTCTCTCTCTTTCTCTCTCTCCTGTTTTTGGGCTTCCCTTTCCTATACCCTGAGACCTAGCACTATCGGAAATAGGCCAGTTAATAACCCTACCATGGCCTGTAAGTGTTCAAGTGCAAGGAGGAGTTGCACGTCCCTCAGTGTAAATCAGAAGCTAGAAATGATTAAGCTTAGTGAGAAAGGCACGCCGAAAGCCAAAACAGGCCGAAAGCTAGGCTTCTTGCACCAAACAGCCAAGTTGTGAGTGCAAAGGAAACATTATTGAAAGAAATTGCAAATGCTACACACTGGTGCACTCTGGTGCGTTTTTCTTCCCATATGTGAACATTTCTCTCGTACTCCCCATCATTTGTTCTCCTCACCTAGATTGACCGCCTTCAGCTGCATTTCCGCGTCCCTGCCTGTGGCCACCAGACCTCCACCCTGCGTCCAGGAATAGGTGGCAATGTGGGGGTGTACCTATTGTCTCTTCGTTGTCAATTTCCATCCTCCTGGGTGGATCCAGACTTGTGTGTAAGTTTCGGACTAAAGAAAATGTTAGGGTCTTCAGGGGACGTCCTGAGCATATTCCTCACCCCCACTTCCTAGGTTGCAAAATGAGAGTGTGGAGCTGTTCATTTGGTAAGTCAGTCTATTAACCTAACCGTGCACACCCTGAAGTGCCACCTGCTGTCACTCTTATGCCTAAATCTCACTCAAAACTTCTTCTGTGGTTTTTCCCATTCCTTGGATGAAGGGAACCTATTATATTCCTTATAATAACTCAGCAGCATCTGAAAACCTGGAGGTGGATTTGTGCCCTCCTCCTCCTAGGTCAGTTATGGAAACGTCACAGCAATCTCCACACCTCCCTAGAGAGGTCTCCAGTCCTCCGATTGGAGACATTCTTCATGCCATTCTTTCCTTTTCCACAAGCCAGGTCCCCACTCATGAGTGTATGAGAGTGTATAATCCTATATAGTTTTAGAGTGGCTAACAGGTTGTTTGTGTTTTGTTCCCCCCGACCCTGCCCCCTAGGAGCATGTGGTGGAAAAGCCATGAAAGCGTTTTTCAGGTCTAAACTCATGATCTGTATTGAGATTCCTCCTGTCTTCCAGTTCCAGGAGACGAGGGTGGCAGAACATCTGACATAGATCAGGTTCACGTATGTCTTCTCTGCTACGACAATCATGTCTGCACCTAGAGGTCAATGGAAAGGTGTCAATCTCGTCCATTGATTCATTCACCAACCTTTTAAAGCATTTACCTTATATCAGGAACTGGACTAGGGGCTGGTGATGGAGCAAAGAACAGACCAATTGGGTAGCCCTCATTCCCCACCCCACCCAGCAATGAGCTGTTTCCTACCAGGAAACCCAGCGATGGGGGAGCTCTGAAACTCCAGGTGGGTGCCTAGTCTGGAATTAAAATCGACCCTCAGATACCTAGAGGAAGTTCCAGCTCACATATGCTGTCTTTATTATTTTGTAATAATACAATTTATTAATTTTATCAATTCTCTTAAACATTTATTATAAATGTTTCTATTATTTTATAATAGAGGCCCGACAAAAGAGTGTTTACAATCCGCATCACACCAACATCCAGCGTTGGCAGCCAGCAGCCTTGTTGATGGAAGAGTTTTTTGTGAGCAGCTCTCACCTGGCTGGCCTGGGGAGTCTGTTTTGAAGCAGAGGAAGAAGTGCAGGCCCTGAGTTTGTTCCTAGAACCCAGTGAGCCGGCTGCTGGGGGCAGTGGTGGGGGCAGCACTCTCTAGTGGCCAACAGCCATTCAGGCCACAGCTGCAGGAGCTCCTGGCACTGTGAGAGGAGCTGCTCTTTGGGCTCCAGGCTGAGTGGCCGGCTGTGTCCCCAGCTTGCCGAGTGTTCTGGGAGGTTGATGGGTGTATTTGCAGGGTAGTGATGGCCCTGAACAGAGGGGCAGTGCCCCCTATGCATGGAGGACAAGGGATGTCTTTTCAGAGCCTCAAGTCCTCCCACCTCATTGTCTAACAATACTGGGCCTCCAGGCATGAGGGAGTGTAATCCCTGAGTTGGTACAAATCCATCATTATGTCAAAGGACATTAAGGTGCAAGGGATGTGACCTCTACTCCAAGTCACCCTGCTAGTTAGGGGCAAAGCTGGGACTCAGAACTCCAAATTCCCTTTCAGCATCAGGCTCCTACCAGCACAAGAGTGAGTTTTCTATAACATTGTGTTGATGCTCTTTCATTTAAGTAAGCTCGGGGGCTGTCCCGTGCCGGGCTCCGTGTCTGTACATCCTGCATGGGGTTATGTCAGTACTGGTCTTTTCACGGGCCCTGCTCAGATTTCATTTTGCTCCATGATAAGGCTTTATGTGCTCTGTGCCAGCAAATAATGGGGAAGCTTATGGAAACCCGCCCGGGCATTTTCCTTCAGTATAACAGTAAAAAGGGCCAGTTGCACAGGGAGTGGGAGAGGGAGGAAGGTATTGAAGCGCTCATCCCAGGATTCCATGCAGCCTTTGTTGAGGACGTTGTGAATGTGAAGGGGAAAGTAGAGTTGCCTGTGCTGTGGATGAGTCACCACTGCCTTCGCGGCACCGTTGAGAAATGCAAGAAACTGACGGTCAGACATTAGCACCAGGTCTTATAAGGACAAACCTAAGGGTAAATCATTTGAGTCAAAGATTTAGTAATCTTCCTCCAAAAAATAAAATAAAATGAAAAGACCCAGAAAATATTCAGGGTAAACAGAAGCAAGTAGTTAGCAATGCTGTGATAATTTTGTGAAATAATAATTTTTTTTTGAGACAGAGTCTCACTCTGTCACCCAGGCTGGAGTGCAGTGGCTCAGTCATAGCTCACTGCATCCTCAAGTGATCCTTCCACCTCCACCTCCCAGATAGCTGGGACTAGAGGCACGTGCCACCATGCCTGGCTAATTTTTCTTATAAAACATTTTCTTTGTAGAGTCAGGATCTTACTGTGTTTCCCAGGCTAGTCTCAAACTCCTGGCCTCAAGCTATTCACCCACCTTGGCCTTCTGGAGTGCTGGGATTATAGGCATGAGCCACTGTCTCTGACCAAAGACATTCTTTTACATCATTGGAAATACATTTCCAAGCTGCAAGGCCTGGGAATGCCTGTCATTAATTAGAACCAAGATAAATTTACAGTTTCTGTTTTGTAACATGGAAAATTATATATATCTCAACTCTTGAAAACATCGAGAAGGACAGGAATCCATAGCCCGTTGGAGGAGGGACAAAGGGACTTTTCCTGGGTGCTCTGACTTTGCATACCTTAGCACAGACACAACGTGAGGCAGAACCACTTCATGGTCAGGTGTAGCACCTGGGTTCTGACAGTATCCCCTTTCCCATACGGGGGGGCAGAATATCAGTTTGGATATTATTTATGTTTTTAATAATCTGATTTCGAGGGAAAGTAATAGGCATTTAGAAACTTGCATTGATTTTCTCCCTGAGGAAGGAGATGGAAGGCAAATTATATCATCCCTTCCCCTTGTCATTTTGAGTCTAAGTTCTGAATGAAATGAGGAAGGAATCCAGGATGATCGCATCCATTTCTAATATTAGAAATGCCGCTGGTTGGTTGGTTTGTTTATTTCTCATCACATCCAAAAGATTGAAGGCAGCTTACAAAAATACATAATGAGCAATACGATTTTTAAAAGGAAGAGATTTGAAATCAGGCCTAAAGGAAAACAAGGATTAGAATGAAGTAATATAAAGCCATGAAGAGGGTTAATCTTACAAAATGCACGCATTCATGGCTGCTACAATTGCAAGAGGAAGGACACAAGTTTACTTCCTTTTTTCTAGCAAGCAGCATAAAGGAGACAGGATAGTTATTCAGTAAGAATGTGGTGTTCCTTGACCTGAGTTTGACAACAAACCCCTCTCTGGGGCCTCAAAAAGGGAGCAAGCTGCATTCTCCACTCACTGCTGCCACCATTTAAAGTAGTGTATCTCTTAATGACGTTGTTGAATAATCATGCCTACTTATTGGATATTTCTCATATCCAATTCTATGGAGTCAGTAGCTAAAAAAGTTTAGCTGCCTAGTAAATGATTAACACTGCAGTCAATCTGACCACCACAACTTTGCTTTTAATCATGCGGTAAATGAAGAGAAGAACAAGTTTAGGAATTTTTACTCTGAAAGGTAAGCATCATCTATTCCAGAAGACATATCGAACAGTGTTCCCATGTGTCATTTTTGGCTACAATAGAACTTGACTGTTACACCAAGAAGAGTCAATTTCATAACAAGGCTGTAGGGTGCCCATAGGGTAGGATATAGGGTGTGAGCAAAGTAGGACTAGGAGGCCAGTTCTTCCAAGGTGGGGATTCATTTCACTTGCAGTGTTAGGAAGGGAGCAAGAGTGATAAAGTGCCTGTCAGCCTTCTCCAGAGAAAGAGAACCAATAGGATGTATATAGAGAGATACTCATTTTAACCAGTTGGCTCACACAATTGGGAAGCCTGGCAATTCTGAAATCTGCTGTGCAGGCTGACAGGCTAGAGACCCTGGAAAGAGCTGATGCTGCAGCCTTAGTCTACAGGCAGTCTTCCTCCTGGGAGGACCTCAGGCTTCTTCAGGACCTTCGACTGATTGGATGAGGCCCACCTTCATCGTGGAGGGGAATCTGCCTTACTCAAAATCTATTGATTTAACTGTTAATCCCATCTGAAAAATAGCTCCATAGCAACATCTAGACTTGTGTTTGAACAGACATCTGGGCACCATAGCCTACCCAACAAAATGAATGACACGTAAAATTAACTACCACACCAGATTATGAAAGAAATAGAGGGAAGATGCTAATAAGAAAGTTAATCTGTAGAGTAACCTGGCCACAGATCAGGGCTCAGTCTCTCCACATATGATTGACAAGTGCCTTAGAGAGTGAGGAGTTAGATTTATGCTGTGGATCCAGTGGGTCCCAGCCCCAGGATGCAGCATTTCATCTGATGCAGGGAAGAGCAAGTTGCCCTGCTCACTGGGACAGGCTGATTCCCCCATCTCCGGAAGCTTTCTGGAAGCAGTGAGATTGGCTCTGGGCTTTTGTGGAGGGAACTGTTTCTGGCTCTGGGTGGTCCTAGATTCAGTTCTAATATTCTCTGCTATTCTCTATTAGAGAATATTTAACTTAAGATATTGTGATCATCAAAAATGATTTCCTTTCCAAAATAAATGGTCAACCTGACCTTGAAAGTAGGGAGGTGGGGTGAGGTAGGGACGAGCATCTGGGTTTGTGATGTGAATGTATAATAGACACCACATCATAGAGCAATGCGTGTGACCGGATCAGAGTGAAATGCTAGTACGTATGTGCGACTTCTCAAGAGCAGGTGAGTGCGATTCTCACCGTTTTATTCTGAAAGTTCAAGGAGGATATTTTAGAAAGGTAGATGCCAGCCTGTGCTTACACTAAGGAGGTCAGAAACAGATTTCAGTGGACAGTGTAGCCACATTGCTCAGTGAGTGAGGGGCTAAGAAGCAAGTACCAGAGGGCAGAGGGACTTTCCCCCCAAAAGAGTTAATGTTTTCATTTTGATTTTACACATTCAAATAAAAGACAACAACCCACACCTCATGTCCCATAAGGTATGACTGAAGTGTTGGTTTCATCGCCAATGATATAGACCTTGTTGGTGCCCCCGGGGCGGATGCTGGAGGTCTTTCTGCAGGTTCTGGGTCTCCTGTTCCATAGAGACCTGCCTAGAGGGACCCTGCCCTGTGGGTCTTTGCAGAGAACAGCCTCCCTTGAGCTATCCCACTCTGTCTGTATAGTTGAGGTTCATAGAAACTCACACTAACATATCATGGGTTCCCACTTAATGGAAATTTTACAATCACTGGGCTCCTCTGATTCTTGAACTGAACTCAGCCTCAGTGAGGTACACTTTCATCTGGGACAGAGAAACACCAGCCCCCAATTGCCTTTTTGCTCCCAGCAACCAGGGCTCCAGAAAAGCAGCTTCCCAGTGTATACCTGGCTGTCCTTCAGAACTCACCTTCCTGGGTGGGTTGAGAGCCATGGTCACCTCAGAGTCGATCCATCCATATTTCCTTTAGAATCTCTCTTACTGTTTCTCTTGCTCTGGCTTTCTCTCGGTTTTTCTTCCTCTCTGTATCTCTCTCCCCCTCTCTTTGCCTCTCTCTCTCTCTCTCACTCTCATTCTCTCTCTCTCCTTGTGTTGCTCTCTTTCTCCCTCTGGCTTTCTTTCTCTTTCTTTCTCGTGCTTTCTCATGCAGTAAGGTTCACAGAGAAGCATGGAAGAGCACGGGGCCTGGGCAGGCTGTTGCCAGGATCTTCCCCGCACTCTGCAGTCAGGTGTGTTAGTAACACCGTGCTTGCTGAAGGCCAGGAAAACAACATTGTCGGGAGCCTGAAGGAGGCACTAGAATGTGTGTCAATTAATTTAGAATAAGAAATTGTCAGCAGCCTAAGCATAGAAGTCCACAGGGCCAGCTCATTCTCTCCCTGCAGTCAGCCTCCTGAGAGGCCAAATCATAATGAGAATGTTGCTGTGGTTGGTGAAGATAAAAATCACCAAGGATTGAGTGGGTCTTATGAAGATGTCTCAAGAGCATTTGGGGGCAGCCCTATCCTAGCCCTCACATGGTTCTGCTCTCACTCTTGTTTTGGGCTTTCCTTTCTTTGGTGCGACACCCACTCTGTTTTTTCTTTGGATTTGTTACTGGCACTAGTCAAATTGCTAAAATGCCCACACAGCGTAGTTTTAGATAGAGCTGGCCCCCAGTGCCTAATTGGAAAATAAATTCCTGACCTCTCTTTCACAGATGTAGTGGAGGCTGCTTCATGTGTTTCTGGAGGCCCTCGTTGCCCTCCTGTGTGCTGATATCTGGGTGAAATTGGGAGGACAGTTTTAGTTCCCTGATTTACAAATTCTTATGGGAACTTCATGATAGCCCTTAAACATGAACAAAACAGGAGCCCAAACTATTAAAGCATTTTCATGAGTTAACTTCAAAGTAAATAACCAAGAAGTCAGAGCAAAGAGATAGTAAAAAATAATCTGATCCTCCATATCACAATGTAGTATTGTAATTTTGGTTCCCTTTACCGTAAATTGTCTTTCTTTTCCCTTTTTTGGAATGGGTAAGGAAAGCTGTTCTACCTTTGCTTCATTCTTCTGGATCCCCAGAAATTGGGTGGGTGGTATCTTCTTCAAGCTTGAGCCCTAGAATTCTGTAAAGTGCATATGTGGTGTCTCCCGGGTGGAGAAGGATGGCCAAGAGGAGGCCAGAGCCCTTGGCTTCCTGTATTTTCTCTCCCCCAAAACCAGCTTTTAGGAAAGGCTGTGATAAACTCTAAGATGTCCATGAATGAGAGGACTTTAAAAGTTATCATTGCAAATGAATGAACAAGATTTGTATGATCTCTTCTATGGATATTTGCATTTAAACAGTCCATGTTTGAAATCAGCGAAGGGAAAGGTGTTCTAACTGGGAATTGGGGCACCTTTCATCTAATAGGGAACGTATTTGGGGGGCAGAACAGCCTTCCTACCTCTGAAATCACAGCTGTTTTCAGTCCTGCCCTTTTGATCTAAAGGACTTAAATTTCAGATGTTTTAGATGAGGCCAAAGAATAAAAGTAATATAGAGGTCAAAAGAGGCAACTGGGATCCAACTTATCGATGTTATTCCATGTGCTACCATTTCAATCATGGAAGAGTTCTTCCCAGCACAGGTCCCAGACCTGTCATACCCAGTTCACTCAAAAGACAAGCCTAAAATGAGCAGGCATGAGCCACTTCTCTAGTTAATATTATTGCTAAAATAGATTTTTAAACCAAAGTCACTATATAAATTTTTAAAAATCTAAGGGAGAAAAAATTCAAAGAAAAAATATATATAATATCTGGTATCATGTGGAAATCATAATCATTTATTTTATCTTGAAAGTATTATTTGATTAACATCATTCATGCTTAGGTCTGTTAGTGGGGGAGTGTAATGTAAATGATGGAATTAACAAGATTTATTTAAGACTGATCTATTTTAAGCCTGATGGAGATGTTTAAGCATGGAGAATTTAGGAGTGTATGTATGCCTAAGAAACTGAAATCTAAGATAGCAAGATAGAATAGCTCACTAAGTTCTTTTCTTCCTGTGTTAGTAGCTTGAACTTAAGAGCCATTTCTGATAAGAAATTGAACACTTATAAAGAAATGGCAGTTCTGCCCCTGTGCACCTGTGTGTGTATATGTGTGTACACACACAAGTGCAGTGCCTTGAGTCTCTGTGATCTTCCCAAGTGGTAGTTTTAGTCCTACCGGGTTCTGTTTCGTGTCTGGGAGCCTGTCCACTCCTTGTTGGTCCACTCTCATCTCACAGATTGATGGACAATGCCCTGAGCCAGCCTTCCACCCCCAGGGACTTGGCAGGACCACAGTCAGAAATGAAAAGAGAAGAGGAAAAACCCTGGGGGGAGCCGCAGATATTTGATTTTGTGTAACTTAATCAAGTGCTAGTCACAAAGAGAAGTCTGTTGAAACAAAATAAATAGTTGCAAGCAGGTGCTGAAGAATTCATTGCTTAACAACTCAGGAACTTTGAAAGGTGTGCTCTGTGCTTATGGATGCAAAAAGATAGAGGGTCTAGTGGTGACTCCTTAAGCACTGTAATTAATTAGCTCAATTCCTTTCTTAAGGACACTTGAATACTGCATAAGTTCTGATGACAAAGAGTCTCTCCTTGACCAAACTCTAATCAGGCCTTTCTGAACTCACTTCTCAACTGGGCCCTGACCTTTGGGTGTCAGTGTTCATCTCTGCATTGGAAACTTTTAGCAAGAACCCTGCGAAATCATTTCGACCAGAACCCCCAACCCTGGATATCTGACTGTCTTCGGTATCTGTTCAGTTTTCTCATTTACCATCTGCCTGGTGGTGTTTGATCACCCTGGCCTGTCTTTAGCAAAAACAAAGTTAGGTCAGTTTTTCCAGGATCCTCCCTTACCCTTGATGTTACCTCCTAGTAATTTTGCTATTGACTGACCTCCCCCCACCTCCAACATAAACACATTCTGCTCTTTTGCCATAAATTCCCACCTTTCCTTGTTGTATTGGGAAGTGAGTCTGACCTTCCTCCCCAGCTGCAGGATCCACTGCAGTGGTTCCTATACCTATCTCAATAGCCCTTATACCTATCTCAATGGTTCTGAATAAAGTCTGCCTTATTTTCTTGAACAAATGTCATGAGTCATTTTTAACACTGCTTACCTCTACTCCCAACACGCACACACACTCACACACATGCACAGGCACACACACAGACACACAAGGTAGGGGGTGTTCAGAGTCATCCAGTCTTTAAACGGGTTCCTGGTTGGGTTAGGTCCTCTTGGAAGGGCCCGAGTGTGGATGTGAAATGAACAGAAGGTGGTGGAGCTCCCTCTTTTGAGCCAGTGCTCCACTCTTCAGTAGAACAGGGCACTGATTCCAAATCAAATCTTTGGTTTTATAAGCTGCAAAAGATCTTTAACATGTTTTGTTGTTGTTCAGAAAATTGAGAAAAAGAAATAGCAGTGCTATGAGAAATCAGCTCCACAATCTCAACTGGACCCAGAGCTCTCGAGTGTAATTTAATATTCAGTTCCTCATTAAGAGACCCAGGGACTCCTGAGACTTTTGAAACCACAAGTAATTATTTCATAGGAAGGCCCACTAGCTTGATCAGTTTGATCCTACCTTCTCAGGGAGAAGGAAGGCAGATGCTTGGATTATATAAGGTTAACTCCTTGTGGTAACTTGGTTTTATTTGATATGTTATTACCTTGACCTCAAGGAGAAAACAGTACATCTAAAATGAAGCCATCCCTTCCATTTATGCAGGAGTGTCCTGTTGATCCTGTAAGCCTTGCCCTTCTCAAAACTGGTGATTTCTGTTGGAAAAAAGGATTTCTGTTGAAATCCTTTCCCATAATTTTGCAGCCACTCTTCCTGGTTCTAATTTCACGATTTCAGGTCTCGTTTGGGCACATGCCCTCAGGTTTCTGCTCAAAGTCATTCCCCAGAGAGGCCTTGTGGCATCCCTGCCTGCCCCTTCTCATGGCTCTGTTTTTCCTCATAGATCTTATCAGTCTCCCTCACTTCATTAAATGTATATGGATTTGTTTGTTATTTTTTTTCTAGAATTTCAATGCCGCAAGTACAGGGTCTTATATTCCTCTCTGCTGCGTGCATAGTTTCTTTTTTTTCCTTTTCCTTTTCTTTCTCTCTCTCTCTTTCTTTCTTTCTTTTTCTTTTCTTTTCCTTTCCTTTCCTTTCCTTTCTTTTCTTTTCTTTTTTTTTTTTTTTTTTTTTGAAACTGAGTCTCGCTCTGTCACCCAGGCTGGAGTGCAGTGGCGTGATCTCGGCTCACTGCAGCCTTCGCCTCCTGGGTTCAAGTGATTCTTCTGCCTCAGCCTCCCAGGAAGCTGGGATTACAGGGACCTGCCACCATGCCAGGCAAATTTTGTATTTTTAGTAGAGACAGTGTTTTACCGTGTGGGCCAGGCTGGTCTCAAACTACTGACCTCGGGTGATCGGCCCGCCTCGGCCTCCCAAAGTGCTGGGATTACAGGTGTGAGCCACTGCGCCCTGCTAGCTCTGCCCATGGTTTCTAAAACACCATCTCAGGAAATACTAAAAAAAAAAAGGGGGGGGTTAAATATGTGATTGATTGATTGAATTAATACATTAATGTACACACTCCTGAAACAGTTTGGCTTTTGCTGCCAGATAACA
The DNA here is from genome assembly GCF_000001405.40 of Homo sapiens. NCBI lineage: Eukaryota > Metazoa > Chordata > Mammalia > Primates > Hominidae > Homo > Homo sapiens. Next base: position 26,673,977 of record NC_000015.10, on the reverse strand, counting down.
CGTTTTATAGATTAACAATGTTAGGCGTATATATCTTTAAGAGAGGACTTACATAACAATACTGCTAAGGTAAAAGATATAAATAGAAACAGAAATCTGCTTTAATGTGGAGTTTTCCCCATAATGGGTCATTAATTAACTTGTCACATTCTAGCTCTATTCCATTCCAAGAATAAAAGCTTTGGACAAAGTTTTTAACACTCTGGTGCATTTCTAGATTTATGCGTGATGGGCATCTGCCGTGAAGAGTGGCATTTGGGGCTGGCTTCTCCTTCCTGCCTGGGACCTTTGTCTTGTGATGCACGTAGTTGTCTGATTTGCTCTGAATGAGGGAGCTTCTGGTGGCTTTCACAGTCACTGCTTTCACAGCCATGCTGGATAGGGTCTTTGCTCCATGGCTAAGAATGGAAGAGTAATTCGTATCATCAGTGTCACTGTATGGCCAGGATTTTGAGGTTACCATTCTATCTTACTATACTCCAAGTACCTTAGGGGATGAAGCGAAATTTTAGGTGAACAGGTACAGCTGCTGACATTGTCCGGTAAGTAATAGAGATAAATGCAGTGGCCACAAGAACTCACTTTCCAGAGAGAATGTGAAGAACATGAATAAGCTGAAGTCTGAACTCAGCTATTCACTCATCTATGGTTTAAAACAATGTGTTAAAATAAGCCTTGTTACTAAGTTGCCTGCATCTACCCTCTAAGGAAGAAGGAAGGAAGGAGGAAGGAAAGAAAGGAAAAAAGGAAGGAAAGAAGGAAGGAAGGAAGTTACAATTGCAACTTTTTTCTAGCAGAATTAATGAATGTTGAGTTTCAAGAGTTACTTGAGTTTTAAGAAATGCCCACTTTCTGTGCCCGGCTTGTTTGGAATTTAGTCCCAGAAAGAGTGACCCCAGGAAAACACGATAGGAGGTCAATTTGTAGCTCCATTATGATATACTCTGATTTTTGCTTAAAATGCAAGTTTTTCCATTTTGTGCATTGGCTTTTGATAAGTAAGTATGACATGTGCTTGTAATGTTTTTATGAAACAAGAGTTTAAGACTCCATGAAATAAGTAGTTATTCAACCCCAACAGGCCTACATTTTCTTTTGCTGTCTCCTTTCTCTTGGTGTTTTTCTCTCTTTAATGGCATTTTATCATTCTTCCTCCATCACATATTTTTCATCCGTCCTTGTAAACATTGCGCATCTGCTCTGATCATGATGTTTGAGCCCACAGACATTCCCATCATCAAAACTTTAATTTGTGTGTGTACATGGAGAATTACGCCAAGAAAAGAAATCAATGGTATTGGACAGTGTAGGGAAGAAAAATTTTTTTCTCCACTCTCTTAGGTTCAGGGGCTGGAGGTGGAGGGCTGTGAATTAAAGCAACATCGGACAGGTGAACAGAAGAAAAGGCCTACTAACTTATTACTGCTAAATTTTATGTGCATAGGGGCATCATGGAAAGAAGTGAATACGCAAAGGAGAGGTGAGATTTGAGAGCTGATACCAATCTTCTTAGGGGAAAGAGAGAGGGAGAAACTCCATTTACGGAAGAGCAGATGATCTTCAGGAACTATAAGTGGGTCTTAGGAGGACAGATGGGCCATGTGGTGGCTTGTGACGATGTCTGGGTGTGGCGCTGACTTCTCTGCTCTCTTGTGATAACAGTCAATCTTCCCTGGTTATAAAATGCCTGGAGATGGGATTTATGACAGTTGAGGTCTTTTTGAAGGGTCCCTTTTCTGGGCAAAAATGAGAATTTAGAGAAAGTTTCTTCCTGCGTTCCTTGATTCTCAAATGTCTTCAGCTCAAAATAATCCTATGTCACTGTGGCACGTTCTGGACCTTCCAACAGTTTGTAAAGTTCTAAGCACGCAAAGAAAAGGAGGGAGGGAAAAGAAAACTCTAGGAAAAGAGAAAAACATTAAGAAAAAACAAGAAGGATACAGGGTAATTATTCCAAATTTTTCTCGGTATGACCCATTGTTTCTATAGTGAAACCATTTGTTGATATATATCAAAGTGAATTAGCAAACTTATAGATGTGAAAATGACAAGTAACTTTTTCCCTGGGATCAAATGAGCTCAAACTCTTTGAGACAGTGACTAGGAGAGAAAACAGAATTCCCTGCGTGTGGTCTGCTCAGCAGGCTCAGAGCCCTCACCACCTTGTCCCCCCGTGGCACTGGGGAGGGGAGGAAAGGCTTGATTATGCACTTCCAAAACTCATTTCAGCTTCTTAATAGTACAAAGTAAATTGAAAACATGTCAACCATAAAATTGATGAAGCACAATAAAATCAGTCTGAGATTCTAGCAGGAAAGCCTACCCCAACTAATCAAATAAGAAATTTATAATTCTTTAATACGACTCATCCATAAAGCACCCCCAGCATTTATAAAGCACACAACTCCCTTATAGATTCTGTTGGTCTCTTGATGAATGTTTAAAGCACTCTCGAAACGGGAAGCCCTCACCCAGAGATTCTCTTTTTAGTGGCACTGGTTTCATCTGGGAACTTGGAGGAATGTGTCCCTGCTCCAATCTTAGCTGGTCTTCTTGTCCTTCCGGCACAACTGTGGTACAACTAAGGCCATCTCTGGCATGTCTTCTTAGACATATTTGAAAAATGAATTTGGAGTTTGCTACAAATTTGCCAGATACTTGAGTAGCATAATGAATTCTGTTTATTTCAAATCACTTAGTGATGGAAGTTTCTCCTAATTTATTTTATCATGGAAAAAATTTTAAATCAATCAAGAACCTGAAAGGAAAATGACCAGTTATTCAGCTTCTGTTCTGAGGACATTTTTGGAAATAAAAGGCCTTATTTCTCTTCTTGATTGGCATAATGTTGTCATTTCTTTACACATCACAGTATTTCTTACTTCCTTAAGTGGCGTAGGGCTTATTCCTCAGCAGTCAACTATCTCATAGATTAGCCAGGCATGGTGGTGCACACCTGTGATCCCAGCTACTTGGGAGGCTGAGGCAGGAGGATCACTTGAGCCCCGGAGGTTGATGCCGTAATTGTGCCACTGCACTCCAACTGAGCGACGTTTCTCTGAAAAAAATAAAAATAAAATAAAACTATTTAAAAAGTAAATATCTCATAGAGTAGCTGTGTGATAAGGATGTTTAGCTATGAATGGTCTTTGGAAAAGGCAAGGGCTTAAAAGAAAGAAAGAGGCATAGGAAAAGCGAGTTTTAAATTTTTTACAAGTTGTAGCTTGTGTCTTGTGTATGCATATATGAATCTCATCAAATTGCTCAAAGTACAGTTACACTTCATAATTTTCTCAGTGTCAGTAGTATCATCCTCCCAAATCCCAGAATTGTAATTTTCCTATCTCGATATTTATGGGAAAAGCTGCAGCCGGGGTATGGAAAGCCCGGCCGGAGCGGGCTCCTGTGACGGCCGCGCGGCTCGAGAGCTGGCGTGGAGCTGCGGTCGGCACGGGCCTGGGCTCCTCTTCTCTTCCCTTCCTCCCTTCCCAGGCCGTGCTCCGAAGCCGCGCCTTGGCGGCCACCTCTGCGCCCAGCCTCCCGCGCCCCTCCGCAGCCAGCCACGACCCTGCTGTCGTCAGACCTGCACCTGCCACCTCCCGGAGCCCATGCTGCAGTGCCTGGACCGGGTCTGTCCAGTGCGCCGTGCCCTGCCCTGCTGCTGCAGACTGTGTCCCGGGCCCCTCTTCCCGCCTACCCTTACCTCTCCCGCCCCTCCATGCCCACCTGGAGCATCCTGCACATCTCTGCCTGGCCTCCCTCCCGCTCGCCGCCCCGCCCCGCTTACCCGCTGGGCTTGAGCCCGCGTTGGGGCGTAGCGGTCTCCGCGCTCAGCCCTGTAGGCTCCCGCACCGGGAGACTTCTTGCGTCTCCTCCCAGGTGAGGCTCCGGGGCGCTCGAGCAGCTCCCTTCACGTGGCTCTGTGCCCGTGACCGTGACTGTGACCTCCTGCACAGCATGAGGGGTGCATTGGAAGATGGACAGGGCCTCTCTGGAAGTGACACTGGATTCAGACACACATACTGCAGGTGCAGTGCACGGCATCAGGAGAATGCCCAAAAGGCAGTGGCACCCAATCCTGAGAAAGGGAATCACAGGAAAGGTTAACTTGACCCAAAAGAGAGAAAGGATCAGGATCAAAACAAGAACCTTGAAACAACTCAGAGCTCTTACAGGGAGTGGGTGATGGTGGTTGTAGAAGATGGAAGGAAAAGGTAGCAAAGGAAAGACAGCAGAAATAGGAAGTCTTGGACCAGTATTTAAGTAGCCAAGAGAAAAGGTCAAAGAAAGGGACATTTTTATGTCAGAATAGGAGGACTACTGAGGGAGTGCAAGTTAAAGGAGAGGGGTGGGGAGAGAGAGAGAGAGAGAGACAGAGTGAGTCTTGGAAAGAGGCTGTGGGTGATGAGAACATCCCAAGATTACAGGCCACCACGTTCTTGGAGGGAAAAGCAGGTTGTGGTGTGAACTATCAATAATTAAGGAAGTGAAATGATAATATTACCATGTTGGACACCTACCCCATGGCAGACAATGTGCTAGGTGCTTTGGACAGCTTATATGATTCACTGCTCACTGCACATCAACGAGGAAGATACCAGCATAATCCCCAATAAGCAAATGAGGAAAATGCAGCTTTGGGATGCCACACACTTAGCGAACATGCAGCCAGGACTTAATCCAAGCTGTCTAAATTTTGGAGATACTTCCCTAAGTAGGAAGGACATCACTGAAACGAAAGAGATAAAATTCCTGTGGCAAGGAAAGGGCAGGATTCTGTGGGGGTCACAGAGCAGATACACCAGGGGTTTGAGAGGTGGGAAAAGAGATAAACCAAGAAAGGAGACAGAACAAGAAGAGGGAAACAGACAGATAGACGGAGTGTGGGGCTGTTTATGGAAAGCAGTGAGCCTTACTCTGGGGAATCAGATAGTTTGACACCAGGACTTTCCAGCTGCCATCACGGAGGGGCAGGTACAATAGTTATCTGGATGCATAGTCATCCTCATTGTGTTCGATATGGTGTGATTAATCTTAGCCTTGCTTTTCACCCAAGGGTACCCTGCAGGGAATATGTTCATTTATGAATCAATCACCCATGCATTCATTTAAACTTTGTTTATGCTTCTTAAATCATAGTCCTCTACAACCTTGGGGAGTATGGGACTTGATATTTTGAGGGCCTAATGTGTACAGTTTTTGCATAGAGAGGTTTTGCTGCTCACTTCCTCAGATGTTATAGTCATACAATTTACTCCCCTTGATTAGGGAACTCTATTTACATATGATTTAATCTTAGCTATGTATTATTTTGTGGAGTACACATTAATTCTTCAACACCACTGATTAAATAACTTTCTCAAGAAAAGATAGAAAAGAGGGAGTATTTAGGGACTACATGCTCTTAGCAAGAGCTGACAGGCCAATTGACAGAAAAAAACACATAAATGACATCCAAGGTAAAGGGAAAACTGTATGTATGAGGCTGAGGGTTCTCAAAAGAAGAGTGAGCCTTGGTGTGACTGAGTCAGTTCGGCCCTAGGCAGGGGCTGCAGGCATTCCCGGCCTCATGTAGTAAGAGCTTATACAAATGATAGTCATAGAATATTTGCTTTCTGCCAATCATAGTATCAAATCTTGTTTTCATATTTTTAATTTTTTATAGCACATTAGCACTAAAATAGCTAACACTATTTACCTTAAAATATCTTAATTCCAATTTACTTTGCTAAGTTAAGTAAATTGTATTCATTTTGAGTAGGCATATTCTTTATTTCCTTGCTTGCAAAGAAACCTGTGAGGTAGGTCCTGTTACTGTTCCCTTTCTATAGGGAAGATAATCAAGGTTCATGGAGAATGGCCTGCATTATAAGGAAGTAGCAAAGCTGAGACTCTGACTCTTGTCTGGGTGACTCCAGCAACTGTGGTCTTAAAACCACTGTTACGCAGGGTGTTACGCAGGGAATCTTGTTTCCTATTTCTGGAATTATCTTCCTCAAACCTCGTTTTGATTGTTTTATTTCTCTGGCCAACCTCACTACAGTGCATTAAATGCAAGTCCTTGGCCTGCTGCTCTGAGCTTGCATCTGGACTTCCTACTTCATACGGGATTTGCAGACCCAAGGTTCTCATGCTTGAGCATGCCTCTGAGTCACGTGGAGGGATTGTTTCGACACAGCTGGCTGCATCCCAGCCCCAGAGTTTCTGAATAAACTGGTCTGGGATGAGGCCCAAGAATGTGCATTTCTAACAAGTGCCCAGGTGACGCTGATACTGCCGGTCTGGAGATCCTACTCTGGGAATGAGTGCCTGAGACCACAGCAGAAGGAATTACCGTTAGATTGTTTTAACTCAGTGATTAGTGGAGGTCACCTTTTAATACCAAAGAGAACATATTATGAATTTAAGAATTTAAAATAAACCTGATTAAACCACACCTTTTGTAGAAGGCTGATGCATTTTAAAACAGCCAGCGCTAGCACCCCGCCTTTGGAGTTCACATGCTCCAGGTAGAACTGTGTCACACAAGAGTTTACCATCCTGAACTGGTTCTTCTGGTGCACTCCATCCGGTGGCCGCATTAGTCAGAGCAGTTAAGATGAAAGGGGGCGGATGAAAATGTCCCGGACTGTGTCACCCCCAGATCCTACTAGAAATAAGAAAACTCCACTGCCAACATCTATGGTCCCCACAAGTCCTGGGAGGCTCTGCTGCTTGGCAGTTCACTCCTCGGGCTCTGGCATTGGAGACTTTGGCTGGAATCGTGGCTGCGCCCTAACCCAGGTGTGAAACCTGCAACCGTGACCCTCTGTTTTCCTTCACTGTAGAACAGAGACAGTAATACAGGATGCGTTCGGGACCGAAGCGAGGTGATATTCATGTATTATGGAGCGGTGTGCTCTCAATCAATCCATGTCCTGTTATTTTCACACCAAAAGCACCTAACCCCTGCAATTGGTGTGCACGGGGGTGGGCACCAGTTCTTGTGCTGGCTGAGGTCATTTTCAGAAGGGATGGATAACTCCTTGCCTCCCTGGAAGAAGGCAGAGATGAGTGTTCAGATCTAGAGGTGGCTGTAGTGGAAACAGAGAGCCCTGATCCTTCTTGCTCAACGCTTCCTGGGCCGTGAAGCGACTGGCTTCATGTTTCTTCTTCCTGACAAGTCTTCCCTTTGAGAGCAACTCTGGCTAAATGTGTCCTAGGACCATGGAACATTGCTTCTGCACAAATCCTTCCTCTTTCAAGGCAGGGGGCGCCCCAGGCCTCCATTCCCGTAGATATCCTGAGTCCTGCAGGTGACATAGGAATCCCTGAAGAGGCAAGAGGCACTAGATTGCCTCCCTAGTTCCTGCCCTGCCCTGCATTTGACATGCACTGATGATTAACCATACAAGTAACGACTGTCAGGCTCTCAGTGGCTTGCAGACCATTTCGTATCCTTCCATGTTCACCTGTAGTTTCTGAACTGCTTCATGTAGAGCAGCCAATGGCTCGTGACAAGCCTGGCAGGGTCACTGCAGCCCTCGGCCTCCCCTTACTTCACCACGCTGAGTGACTTCGGTGCGTGCAAGAAGCCGGGTATGCTGCTGGTGAGTGGAAAGTACATTACCTCTGACAAATTACTTTTCAGAAAGAGTCACAATAAAAATATTCTGTTCTTGCTTCCCATCTGCCAAGCAATAGAAATACACTACTCAGTTGGTGCCTTAAAAATTGTTTGACCATAAGTAATATGGTACTTGGGTAGAATGAAGGAGTAATGCTTTCATCTGAACAATTCATTTCCCCTGAAACCTAAAAATAGCATCACACTTGGCTGGATTATTGAGGAGTTTCACAGAGGCCATTTTTCAGTGCTAGTGTACTTATGTAAGCATGCTTTCCTTTAGACAGTGGCTTCAGGCTAAAAAGCTGGTCTGTGTGTGCATGTTTGTGCGTGTGCTTGGTAAAATAACAGTCTAAGGTCAGGGGGTTTCTACTTTGGATTATCTGAGATTGAGAAAGGTTTTATACTTGTAAACCTACTTGTCTCAGTGGCTTACCACACGTGCCATTTCAACACAAATGCACACTTTTTATTGTTATCATCCATTATAAATAGCCAGGTTTATACTTTTTCTTCTGTACAACTTTATAGTTTTTCCTATTGCTGTCATATGAAGTAGCTCATTAGCACCTTTAAAAGAAAAGAAAAACAACAACAACAACACATAAGCCTGTATGGCAGTTAGATGAGGTTTTATCATTTCCATTTTGAAGATTAGGAAATGGTGCCCCAGAAAGATGAAATGACTTGTCGGGAGTGCCCAGCCCTTCCAACATGAGTGCCCACATGAGCATTTATGGTCTCCTTTTACCTGACACCAGCTCCTTTTTCTGCCTTATTTCCTATTCCTCCTCTTGTCATGCATGGGAAATGGAATGTCACTTAAGGTGGACCAGAGGGTAAATATCAAAAAGAAAACGTTAATTTGCTATTATTACTGTCATTACTACAGCTATTTAAAAGATACTTTTAGTTTTTAAATCTTGGTTCTTTAATTTTATGTTTACATCCAGCCTTACAAATAACAGTTTGGTAATCTCTGCTACCTTTGCAATTTTGCATGATGATTCTGTTTTGCATTTGTTAAATGAGAGTATTTAATTCTATGATCTTGAAGATTTCTTCCCCCGAAATTGAACTCGTGGAGAGAGAGTAGAGTGGTGAGGCTGGGAAGAGTGGCAGAGAGTGAGGGATAAAGTGGTCATGGTTAACAGGTAGAAACATACAGATGGATACAATGAATAAGATCTAGTGATAGGTGGCACAGTAGGGCGACTATAGTTAAAAATAATGTATTTTGTATTTTAACATTTTAAATACTTTAATTTTAAAATGCTAAAATATAAAATGTTATATATAAAATATACATTAAAATGTTAAAAAAATAACTGTAACAGTAGAATTGGAATGTTCCTAGTGTTCTTAACCCAAAGAAATGATAAGGGCGTTCACGCCTGTAATCCCAGCACTTTGGGAGGCCAAGGTGGGTGGATCACCTGAGGTCGGGAGTTTGAGACCAGCCTGACCAACACGGAGAAACCCTGTCTGTACTAAAAATACAAAATTAGCTGGGCGTGGTGTTACATGCCTGTAACCCCAGCTACTTGGGAGGCTGAGCTTGAACCCAGGAGGTGGCAGTGCAGAGGTTGCGGTGAGCTGAGATTGTACCATTGCACTCCAGCCTGAGCAACAAGAGCGAAACTCCACCAAAAAAAAAAAAAAAAAAACAAAGAAAAGAAAAGAAATGATAAGGGCTTGAGGTGATGGGTACCCCATTACCGTGGTTTGATCATTGCACACTGTATGACTATATCAGAACATCACATGTACCCCATAAATATATGCAACTATGAGGTACCCATAATAATTAAAAATAAATAAATAAATTGCTTTTAATATGCAAAAAAATGATTTCTTTCCACCGTGAAACATACACAGTCAAGACTGAATGAAGTTATAAGTGAAGATGAGGCTTGTAATTCTGGCCAACATGGCGTATCCCTCTTCCTCCCATGCCCTGTCCACAACTAAAACACCCTGAACATGGTATGAGTAAATGAGTGATAAATACAATAGGCTGCCCCTCTCATGAGTTTTTTTAAAAGTATGTTTGAAGATTGAAACAAAAATTAACGTTACTATCTGATGTAGTGTTCAGTGAATGTAGAGGAGGCCTGGGCAACATAGCAAGACCCCATCTCTACAAAAAATTTAAAAATCAATTAGCTGGATATGGTGGCACATGCCTGTAGTCCCAGCTACTCAGGAGGCTGAGGTGAGGGTCGCTTGAGTCCAGGAGTCCGAGGTTATAGGGAGCTATGATCAGCACTGCATTCCCACCTGGGCAATAAAGTGAGACCCTGTCTCTATTAAAAAAATGTAGAGGAAATTCTTAAGACATTTCTATTTTAAAAGATGGGAGAATAAAAGGACTTAATAGAGGACAAGTTTTTAAATTTTGTTTGAAGTGTTAAAATGCTGATACCAGTAGGCTCTGATGTATGACTTACATATATGTTAAAACTTAATCACTAAAAATCATACAAAAATATATAATGGAAAACACTATAGAAAAATTAAAATGGACTTCCAAAAGATGTTCATGTGATCTATAAGAATGCAAGAGGAAAAGCAAACAGAGGTATAGAAAACGGAACAAACAGAAAACAAGAAATAAATTGGCAGGCTTTAGCCTTGACCTCTCAAGGCTATTAAAATATCTATTTTAAATATAAAAGGTCTAAACATAGCAATTTAAAGACAGGGATTTTCAGAATGAATAAAAACTAGGATGCAAATTCAGTGCATGCTTTCCGATAAACTCACATCAAACATGACAGCACAGGTAAGTTGAAAGTCAGGTGATGAAAAAAGATGTATTATGCAGGCACTAACTTTTAAAAAAGCAGGCATGACTATGTCAGATAATGTAGATTAAAGAGCAATGAAAAGAAGGACATCACATCACAATTTAAAACATCAGTGTAGCGATTAGACATAGCAGTCCCAAATATGCGTGCATCAAAACCATGAAATTCGTGATACCAAAACTAATAGCTTAAAGGAGAAACAGACAAATTCACAATTATAGTTGGAGATTTCAGCACCCCACTTTTAGTAATTTGTAGAGCTATTAGATAGAAAATCATATAAAGTTCCTAAAAATAACAAAATTGAAAAGTTGAATACGTCAGTCATTGCCAGGGTTGGGATTAGAGAGGAGGGAGGCTGATGTGGCTATGAAGGGGGTCACGAGGCAGGCCTGTCACAATGAACGGTTCTGATTGGTTCTGTATCTCAACTGTAGTGGTTGCACAAACCTATACATGTGATGAGATTGCACAGAACTACACACAGAGACACACACACACGTTTACATCTAAAGCTGCTGAAATCTGAATGTGATCTGTGGAATGTACCAATGTCTATTTCCTAGTTTTTGATATTGTGCTAGAATTATGCCAGATGACAGCCTTGGGGGACACTGGGCATGGGGTATGTGGAACCATCCTGGGCTTTTAAACATTTGCAACATCTTGTAAAGCTATAATTACTTTAAAATAACTGTAAAGCAAATGAAGAATGCTAACACTAAAAGATGTGTTGGGTCTGTTGGAGTTGCCTCTGTGTTCCTGGTAATGCTTTTCCTATCCTCATGTGACTGTGTCTTCCTTTCTTGATCTGATTTGGGTTGGGGTTGTAATGACACTGCCCTGAAAGGTACGCCTGTGCACTGTGCATTAGAAGTGAGGGCCTTTCTCTTGTGATTGCTGGGGCGAGCTGTGCGTGCAAGGACCAGGGTTGTGGGCACCTTTTTTCTAAGGCCAAAGCTCTCCCTGTTCATCTGTGCAGAGGCACCGTGGCATGGAGCTGCACAGAGTAATGAGGCCTAATTATTATGGGGTTTTACACAAACCACTGAAAGCTAAAAATAAGGCCGTTTGTTTCCTGATGCAGGTTTAACAGCTGTGGAAATGCCCCTGGCTGTGAACTGGGCAGCGTAATCCAGTGAGGGAGTCGTGGTTGGATGTGTCTATGGAAGGGAGGGAGGATGGCTGAGCTTACCCCCTTGGATAAACCTTCTTTTCTGCCCAACCCAATAGAGAGTTAACCCTTTATATCCTGTCAGGGTTCTTTTAGAGCTATCTTTGAAAGCACAGAATCTTTGAGAATTGTAGCATTCATGCTTTTCTGTGGTAACAGCAATGCCTATTTTCTTTGTATGAAATGTGGATAAAGATGAAAGAGGATAAGTATAGATCAGCTGGGAAGATATATTTCTGGTAAACATACTTCCTTTGTATGCACTGCACAGGTTCCAAAGCCTCCGTTCATTCAAAGGGATTGTGTTTTGATGGTTATTAAAGATGGCATCTGAGGAAAGTTAGGAAGTACAGTGGAGATGAGTCATCTGTGGGTTATATTTTAATTTGACTATCTCGGCTGCGTTTAATTGAATACTCAGTGTCTGTTATATAATGCAACATTTTTTTTCATGTGGTTTGTGGCAATCAGAGCTACACGTCAGACATAACAACCATATTAATAGCTCAGCACTCACATAGCCAAATTCCTTCCTAGGCAGTACTTCGGCCTGAGGACTGGGAGGACGCTGTTCCATGCGGGTCCAGGTTCACATCCTGGCTTGCTTTCCCCCTGCTTAGCTGGGCTCTTTCTGGTGGGATGAGCTCTTGCATCTCCTTGGGTGTCCCCTCACTTCATTGCAAGACCCCTTCCGATCCCCACTCTCATCTTCTCTGCATCCCATATGCATTTCCCTCACCATACCTGAAACCCCTTCTTGCTCTTGTGCGTGTAAGCCTTTCCCTGCACGCTACTGTGCTCCACTCCAGAGTTCAGAGGTGCTGCTTTTGTCTGCGTTCCCCAAGCACCTTGTAAATGTTCCCTGGCTGACGAGTGAATATGATGATGAAAAGGGATGCCTCGTGTAGACATCTAGCAGGGGTCTTGCATACAGGTGCTCAGAATTAAAGGAAACTTTAATTTGACTTGGCTCTCAGATACCAAGTGTGTTAGATACTTAAGAGTTTGCAAATAATTAAGGGGAGGCAAAGAATTGTGTGCGTGTGTGTGCGTGTACATGTGCTTTGTGTGTGGGTTTGTATGCATGTGTGTATGTGCATGTGTAGGCATGTGCATGTATGTGGGTATGTCATAGTTTTCTCTTGAGCATGTCAGTGTTGAGAATTCAGTTGAGAATTCAGCTGGTGATTAGGAACCATGAGTCTCCTTCACTGTGACTATCTCAAACTACTCAATTTGCCTGTTTTTACCTACACTAATTGTCAGTGAGGAAATATTTCTTTTAATTTTTTTTTTATTCTTGGCTGGGCACAGTGGCTTAAACCTGTCATCCCAGGATTTTGGGAGACCAAAGCGCGAGGATCACTTGAGTCCAGGAGTTCAGGACCAGCCTGGGCAACATAAGGAGACCCCCACACCTCTACAAATAATTTTAAAAATTAGCCAGATACAGTGGTGCATGCAGGATGCAGTGAGCCATGAGTGCACGCTACTGCACTTCACCCTGGGCGACAGAGCGAGACCCTGTCTCAAAACCCCTTGCCCCCCCAAACCAAACAAATATCTTTATAATTCATTATAATTTCCAGATGTGGGCACTTGGCATCTCACTTTAACATCGTAACAGATCTTTGTGGTGTACCTAGCAGGTTCTGTCTCACTTTGCAGGTGGGGAAACTGAGGCTCACAAGAGTCGTGACCAGAAAAGGCAAAACCAGATCTACAACCCAAGTTGTCCGTATCCTGGGTGCTTTCCCCAAAATATCCCACAGAATCTGGCTGCTGTGTGGTGGTGGTTCTCTCTGTATGATAAACAGGCCTGGACTTTCGCCAGATTTGGGGAATAGTCCTTACTGTCAAAGCATTTTGGGCAGTTGCCAGTTGCTTTTCATTCTAAATTAGGCAACTATTAACTCTGATGTATTTATCCTCTATATATAGAAGCTTAGAGGAGAGAAACGAGGAAATTGACTTGGGATTTCAGAAATCCCTCACCATCTGAGATCCGGTGGTTTTAACTACAATGTAACAAAACTGTTTATTACACACATTCGGTTGCTATGGAAATAGCCATATTTCTCCTAATCAACTGAGTATCTAGAGGATCCTAGTGTCGCCACATTTACACGTATATTTTCCCTTCTTTTTTTTTTTTTCCGAGATGGAGTCTTGCTCTGTCGCCCAGGCTGGAGTGCAGTGGCATGATCTCGACTCACCGCAACCTCCACCTCCCGGGTTCAAGCAATTCTCCTGCCTCAGACTCCTGAGTAGCTGGGATTACAGGGGCGTGCCACCATGCCTGGCTAATTTTTGTATTTTTAGTAGAGACCGAGTTTCACCGTGTTGGCCGGGTTGGTCTCAAATTCCTGACTTTGTGATCCACCCGCCTCGGCCTCCCAAAGTTCTGGGATTGCGGGTGTGAACCACCACGCCCAGCCTCATTTTCCCTTCTGATGGTCAGGCCTTCTGTTAGTTGCCACTCCCTGAAGTGTGCTTTTTAAAGGGATTCCTCCATGATTCCTGACAATACTGGCAACAAGATGCTTTTACAATGTAACTTTCTGGTGTGCCTCCCCATGGGTGGCCCAGTGCAGGCCGGTGCTCATGGTGGATGGTGCTTGCTCTCCAGGAACATGCTGGATTATGCTAATAAACTACTCCTTTCTTGACAAAGAACATGTATTTCTTCCTCATTTCCATCTTCCTCTTTCTACTCTCTATTCAGACTACCAGGTGAACCTGTTTGGAAAATGGTATATTTCAGTCAAGTTTGTTGAAAATAGTCTCAAGATTTTCAGCTTTCCATTTGCCATCATCATGATACTTAACCTGTTATTTATTTATTTACTTATTTATTTATTTTTTTGAGCCAGAGTCTCTCTCTGTCGCCTAGGCTGGAGTGCAGTGGCACGATCTTGGCTCATTGCAACCTCCACCTCCTGGGTTTAAGCGATTCTCCTGCCTCAGCCTCCCAAGTAGCTGGGATTAAAGGCGCTCCCCACCACGCCTGGCTAATTTTTGTATTTTAATAGAGATGGAGTTTCACCACCTTGGCAAGGCTGTTCTTGAACTCCTGACCTCAAGTGATCCACCTGCCTCAGCCTCCCAAAGTGCTGGGATTACAGGCATGAGCCACTGCGCCCAGCCTTAACTTGTTTTAGATAAATTATTGGTTTCATTTTTCAAACAGAAAATGAAACTTCAACAAGCTAAAGAATAGTGCATGACTTGTACCATTGACAGTGGTTCCATGGCTGCCTCCAACAACCTCCCAGGCCCCTTCCTGAGCCATCACAGGCATCTGAAGGCACCGTCTTTACCCCTTGGTCGCAAGAGCAAAATAGAGTGGATGCAGCCTCTGTATTCATGTGGCTGAATAGGAAAGTGAAAACAAATTCCAGGGACTGAAATGGAATTGCTTGTAGGAACAATTTGATCAATTTATTTTAGCGTAGTGATTCTCACCTATGACCTATCATCCAAATGGGTATCCTGTGACTTCCTTTGTTGTTGAATAATGGTTTTGAGGGTTCCGTTTCAATTGGCAACATAGCAGTTCCAGAATGTTTGCAATCAAAATGGCCAATTTCCATTCAAATGTCAATTACTATGGGTGAGGAAATCAGCATTACATCACAGATGTGTGAGCACCTACACAAAGCCTGCAAATGCTGGACAGGGAACCTCGTGCAAATAATATGGCAGTATTGGCAGGAATGATGGAGGAATCCCTTTAAAATGTACACTTCAGGCAGCAGCAGCTAACAGAAGGCCTGACCATCAGAAGGGAAAATGCACATGCAGATGAATGTGTGGCAGCACTGGGATCCTCCAGATATCCAGTTGATTATGAGAACTATGACTATCTGCATAGTCAGAGTCATTCTTTGGAATCAGACAGATGTGTATGGGCTGGAGTATGTACATATTAGGGCCATAACAATGTAAGTGCCCGTCGAGTTCTTGACTGCTGCCTAGATAGAGCTGATTTATTGAGATACAGAAATTGCAGTAGAGAAAGAATTTAATGCACACAGAGCCTGCTAGACAGGAGACAGGAGTTTTATTATTTCCTCAAATCAGCCTCCCCCCACAATTAAAAAATTAGAAGGCT
Source organism: Homo sapiens (assembly GCF_000001405.40). Classification (NCBI taxonomy): domain Eukaryota; kingdom Metazoa; phylum Chordata; class Mammalia; order Primates; family Hominidae; genus Homo; species Homo sapiens. Next base: position 26,658,273 of record NC_000015.10, on the reverse strand, counting down.
GGGGTTTTTTTTAGAGATAGTTTGGTGGGCAAGGGGCTGGGGAATGCTGACTAGTCAAGTCGGGGATGAAATCATAGGGACCAAAACTGTCTTCTTGTTTTTCATTCCTGAGTGGGATCACATAAATAGTTAAACCAGTTTACTGGTCTGGGTGGCACCAGCTGGTCCATCACAATGCACAGTCTGAAAAATACCACAAACATCAGTTTTAGGTGTTACAGTGGTACTAGTTATCCGTAGGAGCAATTGGCCAAGTTTGGAACCTTGTGGCCTCTGGCTGCATGACTCCCTAGCCATAAATTCTAATCTTGTGGCTACTTTGTTAGTTTAACGAAGGCAGTCTGGTCTCCAAGTAAGAACGGGGTTTGTTTTGGGGAGGGGCTGTTATCTTCTTCGTTTTAAAGTTGAACTATAAGCTGAATTCCTCCCAAAGTTAGTTAGGCTGGGCCCAAGAATGAACCAAGGGCAACTTAGAGCTTAGAAACAAAATGGAGTCAGTTAGGTCAGATTTCTTTCACTGTCATAATTTTCCTAGGTCAGACTTTTCTGTCATAATTTTTGCAAAAGTGGTTTCATTAAGTGAATAAAACCCTTTGAAATTCAGTTACCTATGAACTGGAGATGATACTTCTGCTTCTCATGTTTGCTGTGAGAATTCAACAAGGCCACATATATAAAGCACCTAACACAGGGTCTGAGACATACCATGCATTCCCTTTTCTGGTCTTCAGCTCACTGTGTTTAGAAAATAAATACAGTTTTACCTACACTTGAGCATATTGGGTGGCTAACTTGTCACCTAACATCCATCCGTAGATTTAGACCGTACAGGTCTCTGTTACTAAACTAGGGCAAGTGAGTATTCATGTGTTAATGTTTCATTGTCGGAATAACTTTGGATTGCATTTGGCAATTAGGATTCAAGTCAGAGAATTATCAACCATTGATCACCAGTTTTCTCTGAAATAGTCTGAAAACTGGTGACGAGAAGCCACTCACCATTTGCTACTAACAGCTCAAAGGTGAAGAATATTCCATTAAATAAAGCACTAAAGAAGATAAGCCTCTCCTCAGGCGACAAAGGGCCAACCCCAAATGAAGTCCATGCTGCGGGTCTTAAGGTCATCTGCTCATAAGAAACTGGTCACTTCTGGTGTGAGTTAAGATGAATGGAGAGAGAATTGGTTCCCAGAGACCACAGTGAAAAAGGTTAAGAACATAATAAAGACCGTAAGTTCCCCAAATAGTGAATTGTGTTTCTCTTCTTCCTAAATACAGAAAGGAAGGGTGCTACTTTTCACTCTGAGACAGATGGAGCTACTAGGTAAAGCATCATTATTGCTGTTTCAGTCTCTATTTGAAACATCATTTCCTGGGACTTAGATCAACAAGGATCTCAAAACTCAGACAAGAATTTTTTATTTTAATCCTGTGTTTTAGGACAGGGTCCCCAACCTTTTTGGCACCAGGCATCTGTTTCGTGGAAGACACTTTTTTCCACAGATGGGCGATTGGGGGAGGGGTATGGTTTGGGGATGAAACTATTCCACCTCAGATCATCAGGCATTCGACTCTCATAAGGAGTGTGCAACCTAGATCCCTCACATGTGCAGTTCACAATAGGATTTGTGCTCCTATGAGAATCTAATGCTGCCACTGATCTAACAGGGGGCCAAGCTCAGGCAGTCAGGTTCACTCACCTGCAGCTCTCCTGCTGCTGTGTGGCCCAGTTCCTAACAGGCCACGGACTGGTCCCAGACCACAGCCCAGGGATTGAAGACTCCTGTTCTAGGATAGGCAAAGTAAAATGAACAAATGTTAGCCATGTGTAAGGTACTTAAGGAAAAATCGTAAGTTTGCAGCAAACAAATCATGCCCCTCAGGTTGTCTGAGAGACTCTGATTTTATGTGTCACCTAATCCTTATTGGCAACATTTGCTATTTATGAAGTTTAGGAAGGATGAACTGAGTTTGCCTTGCACTGAGTCACTAGACAGTTTATCTTTCCGGAGCTGGAGGGAAATGAGAGACGACAACTGGCTCCCTTTTTTACAAGTGTGGAGGCTGAAGCCCAGGCAGGTGAGTTCTGCTGAGAGTGACAAAGCTCAGCTCGGGACTGTCACCTGTACCACGCGGCCTGACAGAGGAGGCAAGCTCTATCTGACCACTGTGAAAATATGCATCTGTATCTGACGGCTGTTAAAACGTGCACATCCCAAAGTAACGAAGAGATGAGAGGCAAATAACAGAAAGGAAAACTAACTTGCCAAAATACGTTAGTCAGAGGTTTAATAACCATAATATAAAAAGAATGCTATGATAAGAATAAATCCAACCCTCAAAAAAACAATGATGCAGATTACTTGTGCTTGGAAATAAAAAATGTAAATGAAAACAATAATGAGCTTTCTCTTTGGTCTGTCTAATGAGCTGATTAGCAGGTGCCTGAGTTGTGAGGCCATTCAGGTATACAGGCACCAACAGGTACAAGTACACAGGTATGCAGAAACCGAGGGTTTTTTTTTTTTTTTTGAGACAGAGTCTCGCTGTGTCACCCAGGCTGGAGTGCAGTGGCACGATCTTGGCTGACTGCAAACTCCACCTCCTGGATTCAGGCCATTCTCCTGCCTCAGCCTCCCGAGTAGCCTGGACTACAGGCGCCCGCCACCACGCCTGGCTAATTTTTTGTATTTTTAGTAGAGACAGGGTTTCACCGTGTTAGCCAGGATGGTCTCGATCTCCTGACCTCGTGATCCGCCTGCCTTGGCCTCCCAAAGTGCTGGGATTACAGGCGTGAACCACCATGCCTGGCCTAAACCGAGGGTTTTTCCATGTGATCATAGCCATAAAATGTGCATTCACCCCCAGTCTGCATCCTACAAAATAATAATGTGGAAACTTGCCTTTATGGCTATGGAGGTGTTCATCATTATGTTATTTACAACAGTTAAAAGGGAGGTGGGTTAAATAAATTATGATATATCAGACAGATTTTCACATAATAAAGTGATTATTAAAGGATTTTGAATGTGGAAAGATGTTCAGCATGAAATTTTACATAATGTGAAGCATGCAGCACAAAATTCAATATAAGCATGATCTCTACTATATTAAATTAACCCATATGTGCAACACAATCTTGTAAATCAATTCACCAAAATATTCACAATCCTTATCTCAAGATAGTGAGGGTTTTGTTTGCTTTACTTTTTATAAACATTCTACAATAAACAGTAATTATTTTATAATCAGAGAAAGGAATGTACTTATTTAAAAATAATTGCTAAGCAGGGCATGGTGACAGTCTTAGCTACTCGGGAGAGTGAGGTGGGAGGATAAGCTAACCCCAGGAAATCAAGGCTGCAGTGAGCCGTGATCGTGCTGTTGTACTCCAGCATGGGCAACGGAAGTGAGACCCTGTCTCCAAAAAAGGCAAAACTAAAACCAAAACCAAAAACAAACAAAAAAAAATTTACAAAGATAAATGAAATTGAACCTCCCTCCCCTTTTTTTGAGACAAGGTCTCACTGTGTCACCCAGGCTGGAGTGCAGTGGCACGGTCACAGGTCACTGCAGCCTTGAATTCCTGGTCTCACATGCTTCTCTTAAGTCAGCCTACCCAGGAGTGGGGACTACAGGTGTGTGCCACCTCTGCTGGCTAATTTTTTTAAATTTATTTCTTGGAGAGACGGGGTCTCACTATGTTGCTCAGAATGGTCACAAACTCCTGGCCTCAAGCAGTCCTCCTGCCTCGGCCTCCCAAAGTGCTGGGATTACAGGTGTGAGCTACTGCACTTGGCCAAACCCATTTTTAAGAGCACCTTTGTTGGCTGGGTGCGGTGGCTCACGCCTGTAATCCCAGCACTTTGGGAGGCCAAGGCAGGCAGATCACAAGGTCAGGAGATAGAGACCATCCTGGCTAACATGGTGAAACCCTGTCTCTACTAAAAAATACAAAAAATTAGCCAGGCATGGTGGCGGGCGCCTGTAGTCCCAGCTACTCGGGAGGCTGAGGCAGGAGAATGGCATGAACTCAGGAGGCGGAGCTTGCAGTGAGCTGAGATCACGCCACTGTGCTCCAGCCTGGGCAACAGAGCAAGACTCCATCTCAAAAAACAAACAAACAAAAAAACACCTTTGTTTACCACAAATTTAAAAATTTGAAGTCATCAAACTTTGTATATTTATAGTGCATCTTCTGTAGATTGCAAGAAATAGCTATTGCGGACCTCATAATGGTATTATTTCCTGGTGTTCTTTGCATTTGGGATTTATTGTTTTAACATTTAAGCAGTTTATTAGTCTGAATAAACATTATAGTCATGATCTGGTTGAGTACTTTTTCAAGCTGCTTCCCAAATTTTCCATGAGCCTTGAAAAAAGGAACTTATCTAAATATTCAAACACTGCAGTTTATTCCTTCTCAGTTTCTACATGCTTCCTGTTTAAAAAATATTTAGGCCAACATTTATTTGATGTATGGAGAACTTTACATGCATAGTTCTGAAACTGCCTTTGCAAAAATTATGACAGTAAGAAAATTATGACGGTGAAAAAGATCTGACCTAACTGTAACCACCCAATGGGTCCATTTTGCCTGCTGCCCAGATACAGCCAATATATCAAGATAGAGGAATTGCAATAGAGAAAGAGTTTAACTCATGCAGAGCCAGCTAAAAGGGAGACTGGAGTTTCATTACTCAAATCAGTCTCCCTGAAAACTCAGAGTCTGGAGTGTTTAAAGGATTAATTTGGCAGTTAGGGGACCAGAGAGTGGGGAGTGCTGATTGGTCAGCTTGGAGATGAGATCATAGGTGATTGAAGTGGATTCTTCTTGCTGTCTTCTGTGCCTGGGTGGGATTGCTGAACTGGTTGACTCAGTTTACTGGTATGGATGGTGCCACCTGATGCATTAGAATGCAGGGTTTGAAAAATACCTTGAACACCAATCTTAGGTTTTACAATAGTGATGTTATCCATAAGAGCAATTGGGGAGGTTCAGAATCTTTTGGCCTCTTTCTGCATGACTCCTAAACCCTAATTTCCAATCTTGTGGTGAATTTGTTAGTTTTACAAAGGCAGTCTTGTCCCCAGGCAAGAAGGGGGTTTGTTTTGGGAAAGGTCTGTTATCCATCTTATTTTAAAGTTAAACTATAAACTAAGTTTCTCCCTAAGTTAGTTCTGCCTACTCCCAGGAATGAAGAAGGCAGGTTGGAGGTTGGAAGCAAGATGGAGTCGGTGAGGTCAGAACTCTTTCACTGTCATAAGTTTTCTCCCTGTTGCAATTTTTGCAAAGGCCGTTTCAGTTTTACTTGGTACTCAAAACAATCCACTAAGGTGTGTACTCGTGTTATCCTTATTTTAAAGAGGAGGAAAGCAGGACTTAAACTTTAGGCTGTCAGACTCTCCCTTTCCTGCCCCACATCATTCATTTTCAATTTCCTGTATTCTGGAGATAGAATAAATCAGCGTGAATAAACATTTTCATTGTTGCAGTACAAAAATATAGATTTACCCTCCTTTTAGGGTACAACTCAGTGGTCTAGGAAACTGCAAATCTTCCCGTGGTTTTTGAAGCCATAAATTGGAAAGGATTAAGGGTTTCATCTAGGCTAATGCTCAACTTGCTGTTGACTATTTCCAGGAAATGTTTATGGCCTCTATTTATACTTCTACATATATATTTATATTTTTAATATATTTTTATTAAGGACACATTTATGTTTTGATGGAATTATGGCCCCAACTGTTTCTATTGCATCATGCAGTTAAAATTCATGTGATTTTTCTTTGGTTGTATTTGTCATCTTTGTTCCTGGTAAGATGTTAGCCTCATGATTATAAGAAAACCAAATTCTGCCAAAATACATTTAAACAGGTTTATTCTTAGCCAATAGGAGTGACCATGGTGCCGAGTAAGAGCTCCTGAGGCCGTTAAGTTACAGTTTGGTTTTACAGTTTGGTTCAATATGTGAATTGCAGATAAAATTGTCAGTACCTGGAAGGTATACATTGGTTGTGCCACGAAAGGAGGAACATCTTGAAGCCATGGGGCTTGCAAGTCATAGGTGGGTTTTAGAGATTTCTTAGTTGACAGTTTGTTGAGAGTTAAGCTATTATCTAAAGACTTGAAGTCCATGGAAAGGAATGCCTGAGTTAAGATAAGGGGGTTGTGGGGCTAAGGCTCTTGTTATGTAGAGGAAGGCTCATAGGTGGCAGCCCTCAGAGAGAATAGATGGTGAATGTCTCTTCTCAGACCTTAAAGGTGTCAGGCTCTCAGTTAATCTCTCCTAGATCTGGGAAAGGCCTAGAAAGGGAAGACCTGGCTGCATGAATGGAGATGCACTACAGATGAAAATTTTCCCCACAAAAGGTGGCTTTGTGGGGGATATTCCAATCTGTTAGCCCTGTGGCAGCCATTTCAAAATATGTCAAAGAAATATATTTTGGGATAACATGGTTTGATTTCCTTCAGGGCCTCCTGTCTGCCATGTGATGCTGTACCAGAGTGAGGTTGGAGAGCAAGGCACATCATATCGGGTTAAGAAAAAAGCCCATCAAAATGAGATGTTATGGTTTGTAGGGTGTGACTCCCCAAGTGCCTTAGATATGTATTTTGGCAAGAGAAAAAAAGGTCAGAGTTTAGTTCTCACTTGAAAGCAGTGACCATGTATAAGAATTATTTCCCTTTCTGATCTTCTTAGCATTATCTTAGCATTTAGGAATGGGGTCTAACCACGGATTTTTCCTCAGTCAGAAACCACTAATATAAGGGATATTTACACCTGATTTTTATAGCTCTGAACATACTTGAATGTTCCCACAAGTCAGTACACCCTCTGGTTTTTATCAGCAAGTAGCTGAATGCAGAAGGATGATACTAAGGCTGAAGTTAAATTGATGCAGTATTCTTCTTGGCCCCTTTGCTGGACACACCACAGGGGTGCCCTGTTTATTCAGTCCATGTGCTCAACCCCTTGTGGGAGGGAGTGTGTGAACAAGCGGGTGAGGGATCCAGTCAGCTCCTCTGGACGCCAGCAGGGGCAAGCTCTGTGTGGGGCCTGCAGTGGTGCCTAGGTGGCGTGTTCCGGTGCTGTCCTAGCTCCACTGTCTGCAGATGGCAGTGTGTTAGCAGCTCAGTTGGCCCCTTGTGGCAGTGCCCAGAGCAGTTGCCCTCTGTCAGTGAGGGCAAAGGGCCTGTGTAACAGCCTTTTTGGGTACCCATACTCAGTGGGTCCCTAGCCCTTGTCTGGCATCCAAGAAGAATGAGGTTGGGTTGGTCGCACAGACAGTTGAAGGATGGTGAAGCCGGATAACTTTCTTAAGTGATGAACATGGCTCTCAGTAGAGAGTGGAGCTGGAGAGGGGACAGGGAGGGCAGGCCATCTTTCCTGAAGCCTGATCGCCTCTTCTCTGAAGTCCGTCTCCTCAAAGTCCAACCATCTCCCCATCTACCAACTGAGTCTGGGGTCTTTATAGGCACAGGATGGGAAGTGCATGCTGATTGGTTTGTGAGCATGCAAAATAGGTTAAAGTGAAGACACCACTCAATGGTGGGCACAACAGTGTAGAAAACCAATTAGGAAAGGGTAGGCACATGTAAAATAGGTGAAGGGTGGGGATCAATCAGAAGGAAGGCAAGTTCTCAATCCAGTCTGAGGATTTAACTTAAATTTAGCTTCCAGGCTTTAAATTGTCTTCAGCTTGGAGGTGGGGCTTCACTGGGTACCCACCCCATCTGTCTAGGCATTTGGCTGCCTCCTGTTGCTATCAAAAGAAACTATTTCCATTTACTTCTGAGGTCAGAGGGATCCTCTGAAAATCTGCTTCTCTTTTGGCCCTACTGGGTCTTCAGCCTGACCTCTCCTCATAGGTTAAGTCCCTCTCTCAGCATCACCCACTCCAGCCCAGTTACCCAGGTCTGAGTCCTTCACTGTTCAGATGGGGCTAAGGGTATGCATGGGGCTGGGGTGAGGCCAACTTGACACCACTTTTGAACTGCTGTGAAATCCCAAGGGAGTTCATTAACCCAATACTCATCTTTCTCACCTGAGAATTGGTGTGATAACAATGTGAGCCTTGGAAGGTGGTGGGGTGATGTACATGAAGCACCCAACAGGGCTCTGGACAGGAACTGAGTGTTTCAGAGATGCACAGCCTTGGCGTGGTGATTATTCCAAGCTCATTGTTGCTGGGCTGCTGAGGGTAGCTGAACAAGGCTACACAAACTTGCTGGCTGGCTCCACTACAAATGCACAGTTTCAGTCTCTGTTGGACGCTCAGAACTGCTCAGAATTTTGTTTGGGTTTTGTGCCCAATTATCTCTAAACGTAGAATTGGACTGTTTTATCTCACTAATAAAATATCCCCTTTGTAGGAGATTCGGAAATTACAAAACATTATTAAAGACTGAAATTAAAAACTCATGATCCCACCCCTCAGAGACAGCTATGATTCCATATTTCCATATTTTAGTGTATTTTCATATTGTTTCCATAGCTACCATCTATCTATGCATCCATCCGTCCATTCTTTTATCGACTTATCTTCTCTCTCTCTCCCTGTCCTCTCTAATTTCACACACACACACACACACACACACACACACACACACAGCCTTGGCTCTGTCCTGCTTTCTTCTATGGGCTCAGCACATTTTCCTTTCTCCTCATCAGCTCACTTTCCCTGTAGCGGCTGTTACAAGAACCTGACCTTTCTCTTTACACTACCTCCAGTCATGCCTGTCTTAGTCCATTCCTGCTGCTATAACAGAATACCACAGACCAGGTAATTTATTAACAATAGAAATGTATTTCTCACAGTTCTGGAGACTAGGAAGTCCAAGGGCAAGGTGGCAGTAGGTTTAGTGTCTGGTGAGGACTACGGTCTGCTTTTAAGGTGCTGCCTTGTTTCTGGGTCATCACATGGTGGAGGGAGAAGAGAGAGAGGAATGCTGTGTCCTAATATGGAAGAGGAGACAGAAGGGCATCTCATGTCCCTCTAGCCCTTTTACAAGGGCACTAATCCCTTTTGTGAGGGCAGAGCCCTCATGACCTAATCACCTTGAAAGTCCCCACTTCATGACTATCACCAAGGTGATTAGGCTTCAGCATATTAATTTTGCAGAGATGCATACACGCATATCGTAGCAATGCTTCTCACCGTAGCAAATGACCCAGCTTCTGGATCCACCAAGAAAACAGCGCGAGAGAAGTAGATGGTTCTGCTGCCTCCCTGCTCGCCCAGACCCTTTGTATCTTCTCATCTCTTAGCTCTTTGCTGTTTCCACACCTGCATCTCTGCTTACCTCCTCCATGACTCAGCTCCTCCTGCCACCCACTCTGCAGGCACCCCACAAGCTCCAGCCCCTCCCTGGAACCCCACCAGTCATCCACATTCTGAAGGCACCCCCTTCTGTCCACCCACCTGCTGCTCAAAATCCCAGCCGCTGTCAGTTCTTTCCTTCCCCATCAGAGAGGAACCATGGTCTCCACACTAGTGATTCTGTCTCCTGCCTCGCCCTGCTGACGCACCCTTGGGCTTCTGTCTGTGGTTTTACAGACACTGTTTCTCTCCTGTGACCTCCTGGGTCCCCAAGACCTTGGCCTCTTCTGTATGCCTTGTCTCAAATTTTTTGCCACATTATTCTTGGCTACCTGGGATTCCCACTGCCTGGTTCTCCTGCCGCTCCCTCACTGTTCCTCCTCAGTATTTTTAACTGATGGCCCTTTCTCTGCCCCTTTCTTCGGGATCATAAGGTTCTCACTGTACACCCTCTCCATGGTTAGTTCATCCATGCCAAAACCTCCACTTATTTTAAATTTAGAGCTTTAGAGCTTCTCTTCCACATGCACAGTGATTGCTTCTCCCTAGTTTGCCCCACAGGCACCTCCAAATTACTCTGTGCAAACAGAACATTCTTAAAATAAATTATTGTTGAGCCTTGAAAAGCAAGAAAAGTCTGAGACATGTTTCCACATGGATGAACCTTAAGGATATTATGCTAAGTGAAAAAAGCAGTCACAAAGGACAAACGCTATGTGACTCCACTCATATGAGGTCCCCAGAGCAGTAAATTCAGAGACAGAAAGGAGAATGGAGGTGGCCAGGGGCTGGGGCTAGGGGCAGGGGAGTTGGTGTTTAATGGGCACAGAGTTCCAGTTGGGGTGATGGAGAGTTCTGCAGATGGATGGTCATGACGGTAACACAACAATGGGAAGGTACTTAATGCTGCTGAACTGAACACTTACAGATGGTTAGGCTGGTAAATCTTGTTAGATGTGTTTTACCACAATTGGTTTAAAAAAGTAAGTTTTTCCCCTTTTCTTCTGTCCACTTGCTAACCAGGGTAACCCGTTAGTTGTCTCCGTTTTGAGAAGGCTGTGGGCCACCGCTTTTCCTCCTCGACTAACAGTGGGGGAGGCAGCTGTGCCCCTGGATCCTTCAAATTGTCCCTAGTGCTGGCCAGGCAGCCCCGCTCTGGGATCCTGCCTTATCCTGCCTTTTCTAACAGTCCCACAGGTCCTGCTGTGGCCTGGCTTTGGTTTCATCTCTTGAGAACATCTGCCACTTCTGTTGAGTCTACAGACTGCATTCCAAACGGTCTTTTTTCAAATTGAAAAAAAATTCAAATTGTACCCTGTTCTGTAGAATGCCTGGCCTTGGCACCTGCTCTCTCTTTACCAGGCCTGAGTGCACTGTCTCCTTTCTATGACAAGCAAATTTACAGACCAATGATCTGCACAAAGAAACAAACTCAAAATGCATCCTCCACCTGAATGTAAGATCTGAAACCATGAAACATTTACAGAAAAAAACCTTAGTACTAAATCTTCCTGATCTTGGGCTCAGCAAAGATTTCTTAGACATGACTTCAAAAGCCCAAGTGATGAAAGGAAACATTGATAATTTGGACTTCATCAAAATTTAAAACTTCAGCTCTTTGAAATACTGTTAAGAGACTGAAAAACAATTCACAGCCAGGAATAAAATATTTGCAAAGCATATAACTGACAAGGAACATGTATTCAGACTATGTAAATAACTCTCACAACTTAACAATAAGAAAAACAAATTTTAACATACGTGGGCAAAGAATCTGAATAGATATTTCTCCAAAGAAGTTATATGAGGCTGGGTGCAGTGGCTCATGCCTGTAATCCCAGCACTTTGAGAGGCCGAGGTGGGTGGATCACGAGGTCAAGAGATCGAGACCATCCTGGCTAACAAGGTGAAACCCCGTCTATACTAAAAATACAAAAAATTATCCAGGCGTGGTGGCAGGTGCCTGTAGTCCCAGCTACTCGGGAGGCTGAGGCAGGAGAATGGCGTGAACCCGGGAGGCGGACCTTGCAGTGAGCCGAGATCGCACCACTGCACTCCAGCCTGGGCGACAGAGCAAGACTCCATCTCAAAAACAAACAAACAAAAAAGAAGTTATATGAATGGCTGATAGGGAAAAGACAGTTAACATCATTAGTCGCTAGGGAAATGCAAATTAGAACCACAATGAGATACCACTTAATTCCAGCTAGGATGACCATAATTTTAAAAAACAGAAAATAATAAGTGTTGATGAGAATGTGTAGAAATTGGAAACTTTATATGTTGCTGGGGTGAAATAATGCAGCTACTTTGGAAAAACATTTTGGCGGTTTCTTATGTTATTTACCATATGACCCAGAAATTCCACTTCTAGGTATATACCCAAGCAGAATGAGAACACTATCCCACACAAAGACTCATACATGGATGAGATTAGCAGCACTATTCACAATTTCCCTAAAGTGGAAATAACCCACATGCTCACTAACTGGTAAATGCGTGAACCAGTTAGTTTATTCATACTATTTAATCATGTTTGGCAATAAAAAGAAATGAAACACTGATACATGCTACCATATAGATGTACCTCAAAAGTATGATGCTAAGTGAAAGAAGCCAGGCACCAAATACCACGTAGTATATGATTCCGTTTATCTGAAATGTCCAGAATAGGCAAATCCATAGAGCCAGAAAGTGGCTTAGGGGTTGCTTGGGGTGATGGAGTGTGAAGGGAGAGTCACTGCAAATGGGCACTGGGTTCATTTCTGGGGTGAGGGATATGTTCTAAAGTTAGACTGCAGTCATGGATGCATGACTGTCAATTTACTAAAATAAATGATTCGATTGTACCCTTAAAAACAACTGAAATTTTTGGTGTGTAAATTATACCTCATTAAAGTTGTTAAAAAATAGGTCCCATTATTTGGTAAAATATTACTGAAATGTGGAAAATGATTTTTCATATATTGTTTTTTTTTTGGATTGCAAAAATTTATTAAAATTGGAGACATTGTTTTAATCTTCTTGTGCCACGAGACTCCATCAGGCGGTCTACAAAGACCATTGGGAGGCTGAGGATCACTTGAGCCCAGAAGTTTGAGGCTGTAGTAAGCTTCAAAGGCCACTGCACTCCAGCTTGGGTGAGGCAAGACCCTTTCAAGTGGTAAGCTGCATGCTTGCTTGCTGTGGTCATTAAAAACCCTAGTTTAGGATAACAGGTCTGCCTGCATTTCTTCAAGCATGAATTCGGAGTCCTTTAAAAGGTCTCCAAACATCTGCACCCAAGCAAGCCATCCACAGACAAAAATGTTACCAGGAGTAGAACCATTAAGCTGGTCCAGACAAGTTGGACTCCACCATTTCAACTTCCAGCTTTCTGTCTAATGCCTGTGTGCCAATGGCTTGAGTTAGGGTTGCTCTTTAGGACTTCAGTAGCTATTCTCATCCCTCCTTTGGGGACACAACTGTCCATAAGGTGCTATTGAGAGCCACATTGCATCTGCACCCATCACCATACCTCACAGGAGTGGACTCCTACCTCGAAAGGCTATATTCTTAATATGAGGCATGTAAAGATAGTTCCATTTCTGTTAACAAGTCACTATCTTTGGATACACACATCCAGATATGTACTGTCACTGTCAAACAGAAAATGACCAAAAGAGTTCACCAGAGCAGGAACAAGTGGCTTTTTCTTTTCTTGGAGGGGGAGACATGGTCTCACTCCGTCGCCCAGGCTGTAGTGCGTCGTGCAATCATAGCTCAGTGTGACCTGGAATTCCTGGGCTCAAGCACCCTTCCCGCCTCAGCCTCTAGAACGCTGGGACTACAGGCGCACACCACCAGGCCTGGCTCACGTTACACATTTTTGTAGACAGGGGTTCTCACTCTGTTTCCCAGGCTGGTCTCAATTGCCTCAAGCAATCCTTCCTTCTTAGCCTCTTACAAAAAGTGTTGAAATTAGAGGAACGAGCCACTAAGTGTAGCTTTGTGTTGGAGACATTGCAAGTGTTTTTCATTTTCTCCTTTTAGCTCATTTCAAAATTTTACTACAAACCTATCAAGTTTTCTGTGAGTCTCCATCACATGCTGATGTGTCCCTGAGTGGAACTGTTCTCATGTGGACCCACCTTGGACTTGCTTCTGCTCCTCAGGCTATGGACAAATCATCAGGAAGGCCCTGTTGTTCGGCAGCTTAAATTTCTCCCCAACACAGCCATGTCTGACTGTCACTGTCACCACTCCTCATGGGCTGCAGCAGTGTATCCGTCTGCTAGGGCTGCCATGGCAATGTACCACAGACCGTGGTCTTCAACAACAGAAGTTCATTCCCTCACAGTTCCGGAGGCTGGAAGCCCCAGATCAAGGTGCCAGCAGGGTTGGCTCCTTCTGAGGACCTGGAGGAGAATCTGCCCCAGTCCTGTCCCCTCCTTGTGGTGGTGGCTGGCCATCTTTGGCATTGCTTGGCTTGTACAAACATCACCCTGATCTCTGCCTCCTCCTTCACGAGGCCTTCTCTCTGTGTGCGTGTCTGTCTCCAAATCTCCTCTTTGTATCAGGACATTAGTCATGTGGGACAAGGGCTCACCCTAGCAACCTCATTTTAATTTAATCATCTCTGTAAACACTTCATCTCCAAATAAGGTCACATTCTTGAGATACCAGGGCTCAGAACCCCAACATATGAATTTGTAGAGAAGACTGTTTTCCATGTAGCAGGAAGACTGAGATTTTTAGTGCAAACCCAAAAATGTGCAGTATCTTCTCAAGGCTTTCCAAATAAAACCAAAAATCTGTACCAGAGCCTCTAATCTTGGAGTGACTATTCCTGCCCTCTGCTTCTGGCCTGAATGTCCATCCCTGCAACCGCTGGTAGGCCCCTCAGCCTGGAATTCCTTCCCTCACCTCCTGCCCTGGGTACCCTCAGTCATCGCTGCCCAACTCCCTGTCACTTCTCATGGTGTAATATTTCTGTGGATGTTTGTCAGTGTCTGCCTCTCTCATTGAATTCCACGAAGCCCCACTAAGGCAGACGGTGTCTGCAACATAGGAAGTGCTACACAAGTACTTGTTGAGTGATTGGAAAAGGGAAGGATCCGTAGTTTTGGTCTTTGCTAGACTATGAGCAAGATCCTGACAGTGTCTTATTGTCTCCCCTATGACGGCAGGTGGTGGGTCACCAGTAGTGTTTGTTGGATGAATAAATGAAAAAGTAACAGAAGAGGAGGAAAGTTTGCACTTTGGAGGTCAGACTGAGGTCACACGGGGACTTCCCGTGTGTCAGAACCAGTAGGGTGAACCCACACACACACACACACACACACACAGTGTCATGAAAGCTGGGGTGCATGTTGGTTCATTACGTTCTCCTTGTTCAAAGAGAATGCTGATGATAGGAGCGTTGACCTCTGTGTCATGGGAGGGAGACTGAAGACACCACAACATGAACATTGCTCCTGCCTGAAGTTGAAAACTACCCTTTGGCTGGTACCCTTAGCTGTTGTTTTTGGAGTTTGCTGTATGGAGTGACTCTGATCTTGAGGGTTTAAGGTTGCCTGGTGGATGTGCTCAAAATGGGCTGTGCCATCTCTGAGGGCTCCTCGTCTCTTTGCATGGCTTGCTCTTCTGCTTTCTGGCATCCCATCATTCTGAGGCTGTGTTCCACCATGACTGCAGTCAGGCACCTGGCCGCCAGGATGGGGGCACGGGGCAGTGCAGGAGACCAGGGGAGAACAGCTCCTCGGTGAACTGTCATATAGGGCCTGTGGTGTTGTGGAGAAACATAAAATCTTCACAGGGACAGGATCTTGCTGGCCATTAAGGATAACCTTCTTATGTTAGATGAGCAACTGACAGAGTGCAGAATGGAGGAGACAGTCTAAGAAGGTCAGGGTGGAGGTGTCAGCTGAGGGTTCTTTGGTGAGATGGGACAGATGGGAAAGACTTGTGAGATGGTGAAAACAGAGGAGGGCCGTGTGAGGAGAGTAGCAGGGAAGCCCCGAGGGACTGAGACAGACTGGCAATACCGGTGTAGTAGCGAAATCAACCCCCAAGCTGTGGACTGAGTCCATGACATATTTCTTTTATAAACTTGGTGAGGCAAATGTAATGAATAAATTAATAGAAAATGATGAATGGATAAACACAATAACTGAGTTCATAAATAAATGAATTCATTTAATAAATGTTCATCTGTTGAGTGATAATCTTTCTCGCAAATAACTCACAATATTTAAAAATTGTGTATCAGTGCAGCTATCTATTGCTGCTTTGGTGTGTGTGTGCGGGGGGGTACACTTACATATATGCTTATATATGCAGGTAGAGAGGAGGGGGGATTATGTGTAGGATAGCACTTAGACTATTTTTAGCATGAGAACAGTAATTCAAAGTGTCCTTCATGTTTCTCATTTCTTTGCAGGCTATGCAGGAACTGCACAGCTAGGATTCAGCCACTGTGGAACTAACGTGGCTTATAGATTCATTTTTTCCTTTCCAGGAGTTTGGAATTGAAAATGTATGTATACATATATATACACAGTTGCCCCTCAGTATATTCAGGGGATTGGTTCCAGGACCACCCCCATACCTCCAAGTACACCAAAATCCACACATATTCAAGTCCCATAGTCAGTCCTGTGGAACCCATGTATACCATACACGAAAAGTTGATCCTCTATTTTTGACTCACATTTGGCTGCAGATTCAGAACCGGTGGATATGGAGGTCCAACTATATTTATTGAAAAAAATCTGGGGGGAAGGCTTGGTGGCTTATGCCTGTTATGCCAGTGCTTTGGGAGACCGAGGCAGAAGGATTGCTTGCGGCTGGGAGTTCAAGACTGGCCTGGGCAACATGATGAGACCCTGTCTCGCAAAAAATTCTTTAACAAATTAACTGGGCACAGAGGTGAGGGCCTGTAGTCCCAGCTACTTGAGAGGCTGAGTTGGGAGGATTGCTTGAACCCAGGAGTTTAAGGCTTCAGTGAGCTATGATCGAGTCACTGCACTCTAGCTTGGGTGACACAGTGAGACCTTGTCTCTAAAAAAAAAAAAAGAAAGAGAAGAAAAAGTAAAACAATCTGTGTATAAGTGGGCCCCTACAGTTCAAACCTGTGTTGTTCAAGGGTCAGCTGTCTGTTTTCCCTGTTCTTTATTCCTGATGCCACTTCATTAGTGCAGGACATCAGTATGGGTCTTGCTGTCAGCTGTCCTCCATCACAGCCAGGGAAGCCAAGGGGCATCTGGCCATGGCCCAGCCATGAACTGGTAGAGTAGTGTCGGCATGGTAAGTGTGGCCCACAGGCAGTGCTGATGGAAATGACCAGAGGCAGATGTGATCTACCTGTCAGGTCCAAAGGCTTCAATCAAGGACAGTTGAGGGGCAAAAATAGAATGCTGGAAACCTTCATTCTAACCAAGAGTTTGTATTCCATAGGAATGCTGGCTCCTGCACTTCAGCACCCTTCTCCTTTAGTGTCAGTTTTGAACCTCAGCTATGCCAGTCAATTCACTTTCCTCTCCCTTCAGTGTCTTGCCTTCCTCTGGCCAGTGCCAGAGGGAAGGCATCCCAGAGAGGTGAGGGGGAAATGCCAGCTGGCTGAAGCAAGCCTTCTCTGCAGAGTCTCCCAATGTGGCTCCAGCTCTGGGAAGTCGTAGCATGCAGCGAGCAAGTTCTAGGTGTTATTTCTCCGCCTCATGTCCTGCGTCAGAAGGCGATCTGATAATTGCAGGCTGTCATTCATAAAGGTATATTTGATAATGGGCTGTAGTGCTATAGAGGCTGAGATGGGAGTCTACGGATCTTCATAGATGTTCGCCACTCCTCATACCGTTCTGTTTAACCTTGCTCCTGGACAAGGTTAGAAGAGGGTGTTGGATTTTGAGCCAGGGCATAGCAGGAGACAGCCAAAAGGATTGCAGCTTTTGTGACATCACATCCTGTACATTTTAAGCGACAACAGTTTCACAGTTTTAAAGGTGAACGTAAAGCAAGAGAATCATGACTGATTAAATTACCATCTGTTAATTATATTGCCAGTTATAAATTATAAACCCTAATTCTGATTAACACAGCAGCTAATGAATTGACATCTCTGGTTATGTTACAACTGAATCTGGCATGCACAATTCCAAACTCATGGGAGGTTTGGACAGTGTATCTCTAAGCTGTGTAATCATCTCCGCGGTGGCTGAATCCTGGCTGTGCAGTGCCTGCAAAGGAATGAGAAACATAAAGGACACTTTGAATTATTGTTCTCACAGTAAAAATCGTCTAGCTGCTATCCAACTTGAGGCAACTCTCACATATGGAAAACCTATATTTTAATATCCAACCTTACTCACAAAATCAGGAAAAGGTACAATTAACTTGATAGTTGATGCTTTAACCAGTGCCATGGTGAATAGAGACCTTTTGCTACTTTTTTTTTTTGAGACGGAGTCTCGCTCTGTCGCCCAGGCTGGAGTGCAGTGGCGTGATCTCGGCTCACTGCAAGCTCCACCTCCCGGGTTCATGCCATTCTCCTGCCTCAGCCTCCCTAGAAGCTGGGACTATAGATGCCCGCCACCACACCCAGCTAATTTTTTGTATTTTTAGTATAGATGGGGTTTCACTGTGTTAGCCACCATGGTCTTGATCTCCTGACCTCGTGATCTGCCTGCCTCGGCCTCCCAAAGTGCTGGTATTACAGGCATGAGCCACCGCGCCCGGCCAACGTTTTGATACTTTAAATCACCATCTGAATGCTACTGGAAAGTTTGCATTCAGTGGCCTCAAGTTGGCTTGGCTGGTCCATACCTCTGTCATAACTCCCTCGAGCTCATTTGAATATGAATAGTGTGAGATGTTATGCTAAAGTTTAACAGGACTACAGCTTGTAGCTGAGGGAGTGCCCTGCTTTATTAAAACAATGCTCTCCGTTTTGAGTAATTTAATAGTTCTTGTTTATTTACTGACTTTCAAACCAAAATATGGCGATTTTTACAATGAAAATCATCCATTCACAACTCTTGTTGGCATCATAGACATTTCACCTTCTCTTTGTGAAACCTAAATCTTCCATCTGCCTGCCTGATATGTGTGCATCATCACTGAAAGGGAATAATTAGAAACATCTGTTTACATTTACCAGGAGCAGATATTAGAGGAATTAAAACAAACACAATCATTACCCAACAGCTTAAAGAAATCGAATGTACTGGCATGTCTGAATTTCACAAGAGCAAGGGATTTCTATATGAATACACTATGTGAATACACTGTAGGATATGGAAGTATCCTTTACATAATGATAGGAGCCAGCAAGCAAAGTTAACACGTACTGGGTATGTACAGTTTTCCCTCCATATCCTTGAAGGATTGGTTCCAGGACCCCTTGAGCATACTAAAACCCAAAGATGCTCAAGTCCTTGATATAAAATGATGTAGTGTTTGCATATATCCTACACATATCCTCTCGTATGCATTAAATCATCTCTATTCTCATAATTCCTAATAAAATGTAAATGCCATGTAAATAGTTGCTATACTGTATTGTTTAGGGAATAATTACAGGAAAAAAATGTACCTGTTTGGTACAGACATAACCATCTTTTTTTTTTTTTTTTCAAATATTTTCCATCCGAGCTTGGTTTGACTCCACAGATGAGAATTCACAGATACAGGGGGTCTACTGTATTCTGAAGTATTCATTTCTGTCGTTAATTTTACTGAAACACCTAGTCATTTTGGAATTAACAACGGGCATTGGGTTGATGGCCATGATTATTATAGCATCAGGTCCTGGATGAAGGCAGGTCCTCATGCTGAGGCCATCCTCAGACACCTGTGCTGCCGTGAGAACCATCTGAAAACCGGTGATGCTAGAGCCATGACCTGTGTCTTCTTGCTGTCATGTCAGGTGTTGACATGACATTGATGGCTTTTTGGAGACCCTCTTGAAACGGTTTGCAGCAAGACCATATTGACATCCACTAGAATCCCAGAAGCGAGTGGAAGACTGTGTTCTTGCACCTCACCGGAACAGACTCTTCCTAGTTCCCGGCGGAGCGTGGTGGGGGTTGTTCCTCTGCCAGTGGCTCAGCACACATGCGCATGTTTCTAAATATAGACTGTTGATTTCAGGAAATAGAATTTTCTGATTTGAGTGAAGTTGAAAGGTTTAAATCAAAATAGTGACCAGAATATGTATTAATGTCATGAAGACTGATTACATGCAAAAATAAGAATTCCAAATGGAGCTTTTAAAAAAATGCCAGGCTTGGGCTTTACCTCCTGGGATTCTGACTCAAGGCAACTGGGGTGGGTCTTGGAACTGGATTAGGAAACAAGGAAAGAGAAGGAATAAAGATGACAAAGAGACTACAAAGTAGTGCTGTCAGAAGAGCAGCTGGATAAGGGATTGGCACTCAGAGGGGTCTCCGGCCTTCAGCCAGAAATGGGTGTCATCAGCTATGGTTTTTGTCAAACATCTTAGGAATGATTGAGATCACCTTGGAAGAGAGGAAGGAAGGAGCACGGCTCAACTGAGGTAATCTAACCTTTAGACCTAGAACAGAGGTGCCGTCTATCCTGGGAGCCCTGAGCAGAGCAGCCAGCCAGTAAAGTAAAAAGGCAAGAGGAGCGGGTATCACAGAGACTGGGCAGACAGGCATAAAGAGAACAAGCTCTCAGCCCTGCTGCATCTGCCTAGATATTGAGTAGGATGAGGACAAAAGAGTGCCCTTTGGGGGTCATTGTGTGACCTTGCTCTGACCAGGCTTGGACCAGGTTCAGAACCCTGGTGGGCTGATGAGGGATGGGGACTTCAGTGTCCAGAAATATGATTGACTACCAATTCTAAAGAACTCTCCATATAAAGCCACTAGAAATGGCAGATAAATTATAATGCACATTATTTAAATATATCACTTAATTCATAAGAAAATAATAGGAAGTCCCGGCTAAGAGTGAAAGCATTGTAAGCTGCACTTGGAGGATGGAAAGCCTGAGGTCTTTTGCCCTTGGTAACCAAGTGGCTTGGTGTCAGTGGCTAGGCAGAAACAGGAGGCTAGGGACTAGGCAAGTCCTCCAAGCAGAGGGCTGAAATGGAGTCCTCATAGAGCTGGTGCAATCAAAGGGGTACACAGTAAAAGGGTGTTCTAGGACAATGGTCGCCAACTATCAAACAAGGAAATGTGTCTGTCTCGCTAATGCTTCAGGTGGCCAAGACAATGTCTGCCCCAAGAATTTGTATCCCATGCCTGTGCTAATCTGGATTTGGGATTTAACTTTAAGCTGCAGAGAAATTTTCACTGGAAGTAATCCAAGGCTATCAACCAATCTGGAACACCTCTGAAAAAACATACAGATCTTTTCTGAAGGGACACACCAACAACCAGGTTATACAGAACTTCTACACACTTGTTCAGTAGATTTTTATGCAATGCCTAATTTGTGCTCAGCACCATCCTAGATGCTGCAGATACATCTACGAACCAAAGAGAAAGAATTTCCTGCACTCATGCAGCTGATGTTCTAGCAGGGGGAAAAAGGAAAGAAACATAATAAATAAGTGCAATAAATAAACCTATCATCTAGAGTATGATTAGGATTAAGAGGATGGGAGCGTGTAGAGGGTGCGGGTTGCCACTGTCAGGAGGGTGAATCTGAGCAGACCTGACTAAGGTAAGGAAGTCAGGAGAAGGTTGTTAGGGGAAAGAGAGTTCAAGGCAGAAGGAACAGCGAATGCAAAGTGGAAGGATGCCTGGGTTGTTTGAGGAGCAACATAGAGGGTGTTGTTGCCAGAACTAAGCTAGCAAAGGTGACAATAATGAGAGGTAAGGTCAGAGAGATGCTAAGTGGGCCAGAGCATGTTGACTTAGGCTTTACTTAGGCAGGGAGCCACTGTAGGGTTTTGAACAGGAGAGCAAATGATCTGACTTCAGTTGTTCATTAATCATTCTGGTTGCTCCAATGGGAACAAGACCGTGGGAGAGAAGAGTGCAAGGACCCAGTTAGGACACCCCTAGACTAGGAATGGGGAGAGATGGTGTGTTTGACAAGGGTGGTAGAAACAGTGGTGATAAGGTATGGTGGAACCTGTGTCTGTGTTTAACATGGGGTCAATAGAATTTCAGACAGATTGATGAAGAATGTGAGAGAAGAGATGAGTGAAAAATGACTCCAGAAATGTTGGCTTGAGTAACTGCAAGGAGAGAATGCCGTTGTGTGAACTGGGAAGACCACAAGTGGATTGGTTTTGAGAGTAAGATCAGTAATTCCATTTGAATGTGTTGAGTTGATTCTGGAGTTTGATTTAAAAATTTGGTTGGAGACAACATTTAGGAATTCTAAGCATATAGATGGAATGATCAGGATCAGCCATGCAGCTAGAGGCAATCACTTAAGGGAGGGAGTGCAGATAGAGAAGAGACCAGGGTCTGGTGGAAAGAGTGGGTGGATGGTGGCATAAAAAGAGGAGCCCTGGGGCCCTCTAGCATTAAAAAGAAGAGGCAGAATTGGAGGGAGTAGCAAAGAAGATGAGCCATTTAGGTCGGAGGAAAGGCAGGAGAGCATGTATCCAGAATGGTGGAGAGTCTGTTTTGCCCTAATTACAAGCTAGCAAGTTGGTGCCATGGATGCTGGAGGAAGACATGGATCTGAATGGTCAGAGACAAAGGACAAGGTTAGTTCACAAGCAGGGCCAGCTACCTAATTTGAGGGGCCTAGTGCAAAATGAAAGTACAAGGTCCTTTGTTCAAAAAGTAGAAATAAGGTGCTGTTATTCTCCAATCTAAAGGTTAACACTTGTGTTTTCCCTCCTTCGGCACTGTGCTTGATTGGGTGTATGAAACCTGCATGGTAGTTCCTGTCTGGCTACCTGGGCTTTGATTACAGTATTCCAGAGGAAAGGGCTGCTTTATGCAATGCCTTGCAGAGATGTCCATCCAAATATTTATCCAATTAATAGCAATTCAGAAAAGACAACTATCAAACTAATATTTCTCGGCTATATCAAGTGCAGTACTGTTGATATTGTGATTTATCTAACAGCAGTAATCTAATAGGTTCTGCACAGAAACTAGAAATAGGCATGATCTCAGAAATGAATAGACTTGCTCTCTAAAAATAGCACATCTCAGACATTGAAAGAACTCTAAAATGTGTGGCATCACTAATCCACATGATTTGTCTTTGAGGTGAGGAAATCCATTGACAAATCCTGATCTAGATGCATATATATGAAATCAAAGGGCAATTGAATTTTCACAGTGTAAGGGTATGGGAGCGGTCTTAAGACAGAAATACTCATTCTGTAAATGAAAGGGAGTAAAAAACCCATTAAGAAAGGTTGACTGGTACGGTTCTGGCATTCACTTGTGCCAAATATCAGAAATTATTCCTCCTGATAAATAAACGTCTTTCTTTCTGTTTAAGCATTTTTTTTTTGCCTTGTCTGCTCTCTTGAAGGGATTCAGAGAAGTAATTTTAAGTGATACTCAGTTTAGCAAATCTAATAATACAAACTCCATAAATCATGCCACCCAAGAGAGGACCATCACTATTTAAGAACATAGAATTCTTAACCTTATGGTCATCTGCAGGAGCTATGTTTAAGCAGGGGAAGAGCACAGAGGCATGGATCATCCAGCCTGATACACGTCTCACAGTCAGAATGGGGATGAATCACTCGCCAGTCTCCAGGGGTAATGTTCACCCAGTTCAAGTACCTTTGAAATATGGAGATGAGGGTGCCTTGTCCAAGCAATATGGATGTTTTTCACAGCCAGTTCTCAGAGCATCTTTGGAAGAATGATATCACTGGAGTCACTGCATTCCCTTTTGGAATTCTCTTAATTAAAGATAGTTGCCGGAAAATAAAACTATGGCTTTGATTAGTACACATATGTTTCAACATATAAAGTCTCTCTCTCTTCCTCTCTAAATATATATATATTATATATATATATATATATATATATTTAGAGATACATATATCTCTTACTTACTTGAGAAAGTTATCTAATCTTTAGAGATTATCTAATATTTGGAGAGAGATATATATAATTTTTAAAGTTTTTTCTCTCTATAAATATGTGTGTATATATGTGTGTATGTATACATACACACACAAACACATATATACACACGTATTTAGTGAGTATTGTTCAGATAAATACCTGTTTTAAATAAAGGAGAGTATGCAATGACTCTGCAGTTTACCAGCACATTCCAGAAATTCATTCATATTATATTGTGTTGAGTTGGAACATCTGCTCCCTTATAGAGTGTGAGGCATCTGGTCATTCCCTATATTATTCTATTTAACCCATAACATGTCTGAGGTTTGGTATTTGACCTCCATACTCTAGACACCATGGGTAAGCATGCTTCTGGGATGCAATTTGTGAGTCTAGGCACTCATCCTCTAATCCGTTGCCATGGCGACATCAGTGGAAACACTCCAGCCCTCAGCACTGCAGCTGACCTCATGATCCCATTCTAGAGATGAAAGATTTTTAGGAAATAGTATCGACAGAACATAGTGGCTGAATGATTGTTGGAGGTTAGGGTGAGAATGAAAGAGGCTGGTATATTGCTTCTGGTTTGGGTTGGGTTGCGTGAGTGGGCGGGTGGGTGAACACATTTGAGGCACGAAGACAGTGAGTTAATTTGGGACATGATGATCTTGGGTTGCATGTGGGGCATCTGGATGGAAAGGTTCAGAAGGCAGTGGGATCAATGCATCCAAATCCCAGGAAAGTAGAATGGGCCAGAGACAGCAGTGGAAGAACGAAGACCCAGAGGCTGATCAGGAGTGGGAAAGGGGGGTGCCCCTCTCCCTTAGCTCTTTGGTGCCCAGTTTGGGAGAAGAAGCAACCTCTCCAAAAAAAGGCTACAGTAGGTCACCAACTTACAACTAAAGGAGGCTGCAAAGGGAATGCTTATTGAAAATGTTCCTTATATGGAGGAGTCACTTTGTTGTACCTGACTGAGCGAGTTAGAGAAAACGCCACACTTTGAAACGAATTAAGAGTCCGTTTATTTAGCCGGCGGCCAAGAGACGGCTAACGCTCAAAGTTCTTTCAGCCCTGAAGAAGGGGCTAGATTTTCTTTTATACTTTGGTTTAGAAAGGGGAAGGGGGTCTAGTTAAAACAATTTTACAGAAATAAAGTAGGCAAAAAAGTTAGAAGGATAAATGGTAACAGGAAAGTAAACAGTTCCAGGTGCACGGGCTTTAAGACTATTACAAGGTGATAGACGTGGGGCTTTGGGTGTTATCAATCAGACGAATTCCTGGGAACTGCGGATATTGCTCGCCACAGTATCTTATCAGTTAATTGCATTCTTGGATGTGCTGGGAGTCAGCTTGCACAAGTTAAGTCCTTGAGGAAGGGGCTGCCGGTGAAAGAACCAAGATGGAGTCTCTCTGGCTGTCTTAGCTAAGGGAGAGTCAATTCAGGTGGAAACAAGGCTAGGTGATTAAAGGAAAGAGGAGAGTCTAAAAACAAGGTTCGTAATAACAGGTTGGGCATTACACTTGACTATAGGATGGGGTTTTCTAAAGGTACAGGGAAGAGAGAGTGGGTGGGAGGTGAGCCCTGGAGCACTGGAAGGGTGGCTGTCAGGGTCAGCTGCAGTAGGATGGCTGGTGGTGGTTTCATTTTGATTAGCACTGTAGCTCTTTTATAAATTTGTGTTTAATTTTAATTTATAATTTCAAAGTAATTCACAGCAGAAAAAATGTTTTATGAAAAAAAGCTAGTGACCTGATACATTTCAGGAAACAAGCTTGTATTGCATTTGGATATTGAGTAGACGATGAAACTTGGGATTTGAGAGCAAAGGGTGAAGCCTGCTCCAGATAATTTTGGGAATTCTACACCATTGGGCTGGGATTTCTTCACCTGCATCTCAGGAAAACACAGCACATTTTCATTTGTGGTTTGGTGTATACTCGCTGTAGAATAGTGGGGGCTGGGGGCAGCTAATAAAGAGGGTCCTTTTTCATTCAGTTCTGGAGGGTCTTCTTTCAGGGGTGACTGGCCCTGCTCTTGAGACAAGAGAAAGTACAATTTTCCAAATGCCTGTTATGAATCCAGCACTGTGTTAAGCATTGTTAGATCAATTAATGGCTACAGCACTTTTGCAAAAGGAGCATTTTTAGTTTCATTTTTACACAAGAGGTTGCTAAGGCTCAGAATAATTAGATAACTTTCCCAAGTAAGGCACATGGCAAGGGTGTCACCCAGCGAGTCTGACACATTTTGCTCCAGCACACTCAACACCGACGGCAAACAAGCACCTGCATGAACAGTTTATTTAGTGAAGGGCATCTCTCTTACATTTCCCTGGTTCTCATTGGCTTAGGTTGAATTCTCCAGATTTCTTCTCACAGTACAATGTATTTGTCCTCTGAATGTAGGTCAGTGCAATCATTTTGCTTTTCAAACTTACTCGACTCCAGAAAAGTATCTTTTTAGACTTATAAAGAAAAACATTTTCAAAATAATTCCTATCCTATGCCAGCTTTTCAGATAGCTTTAGGGGCCTGGGAGACTTATATCTCTTTTCACCAGCCCTTTCAGATTTCATACAGAGGTGACTACTTCATCTTCTGACTACATTTAGCATTTAGATGGATGAATAAATGCACACTCTGCCTTTCGGCAGGTATAAAGGCTGAAAAGCCTCAGTAACTGGACTCCTCTCCTGCCAGCCCTAGGCTGAGTGAGAGGACCCTTACATATATACTTCTTTCGCATTGCTGTACACTTAACTCAGCACACCATGTCCTCCCCATGCTAAGGACTTCAGAATGCGTGGCAGGCAGTCTTCACAGATCCAGTGACAGGCATAAGACAGTGAGGTCGCCTGTCACTTGCTGGGCCAGTAGGAGGCCAACTTGAGACTTCGGCACGTTCGCTTCCAAAGCTGCTTCTCCTAATCACTCTAATTGTACTTGGATCCATCTTTCTTTCTCCCCACTAGATTGTGAGCTTTTTAAAGGTACCAATTCTGTCTTCCTTATCTCTGGATCCCTAACACTAAGTATGGTTCTTGGCCTATGGTAGATAATCAATGCTTAAAGCAAGATGGAGGGAGGCAGAGAAGGAAGCTGTTTTATTATTAAACATCAAATAGAGTCAACAAATGGAAAGCTAGATACCATCGAAGTCTGTTGTGGGAGGAGAGTTGGTTGTGATGTTAGATATTTAGTTTTTGGTCATTAAACGGAATAGATTGGAATTTCCAAAATAAATTTTGTTAATAAAAGTGCCGATTCCCTCAGCCTAACCTTCCTTGTAGGAATGACTACAAAGGAAGTCACCACCACCTAGGGCTTATGTAAGCTTCTCAAAACAATTTTCCATCTTCCCTGACCTGAGAACAACTTACCTGCAAGGTTTTGTATCATAAACTTGCTGAACCAGATGCAAATGCAGGTGTCCTGTGGTTTTCACAGCTGCAGTTAAATATTTAAATTTGGTTTAGAAATTGCATTTCTTTCTCAGGGATGGTAAATTTTTTCTTCATTTCCTGTGCTAAGGAATGTAGTCAATTACTTAATTGCAGAATAATGAGCAATATTTCCGCTTTCAAATGTGTATTCTTGTCATTTTAATGTCATAAACGCCAAGAGATTTGCAAAAGCAGGAAGAAACTTTGTTGTTTATATGTCTTACTGCAATTCATCTGAGCTGCCTGAATTATACACCTAAAGATGAGCTGAGGTTTCATTTTGTTTTGTTGTTGCTGCTGCTTGTATATACTCAGGAGATTTTGAAAGGGCAGTCACTATGTATAAATGCTTCACTTGTGGGTGGCTCATATTCCAGAATGCCTGCTCCCGGCACTCAGGGCTTCCTCTACAGCTTCTAGGTCCAGCAATACTTTCCTTGCCTCCCAGCGGCACTGTGGCTCCAAAACAGGGAGCCTGGGCTAGTCCTCGTGTCTCACCAGGAACCGTGGCTTCTTACCTTCACATGAAATTGTTTGATAATCTGGAGTGAAACCTAACAACCCTTTTTGTCATAGTTTTTTCTATAGGAAAACACTGCAGACATCCTAAGCAAATGATGTACAAATTTGTGGAACTCCACCCACTAGTATTGAAAGCAATTTGAGCTTGTAAAACACGCATCCCATGAACTTCAGGGTTTTGTGCTAACTGATTGATACACACACCAATACTGAGAGAGATTGTATTTTCTGTGGAGAGGGCCCCCGATTTCATTAGATTATCAAAGGGCTTTATGATCCCCAAAATAAGCCAAGATGAATAAATGGCTTTTTAATTCAAGTGATTTTGTTTGCAAAGTTTTTAAGCAAGACCCTTTTTTTAAAGAAAGGTTCTGTTTTTAAGAAAGACCCTTTGTTTTGAATGCAACTCTTACTCGAATATTTCTTCATGCTGATTCTAAGTTCTTCAGAAGGCTTTTATGAGAGAAAGGTATTGATTCAAGACATCTTATCTAATGATTTTGATAAACTGTAATAGTTCAAACCACTATAATTCAGCAAAACAACTCACATGCTCCAGAGAGCATACTCCAGAGAGTTCCAGTTCCCAGTAGACTGGAGAATTCCCTTGTGTTTTCCTCCTCACTGCCTGAGCACTCTCCATTAAATCCCATATCCCAGGGCTGCAATGTCCACAGGAACCTGTCACGGTATAACCAGAGGTGCTGGCAGCTTTCCCTTCTGTGGACAGCTGTTTCAGGTACAGAGGGACTGGGTAGAGCAGGGGCCCAGAAGGTCTCTGCAGGTGCCCTGGGCTCCTGCCCACCCAGAGGAAAGAGCCTCACCTCCGGGAGCCTGGCCGAGGAATGCAGGAGTCCAAGGATAATTGCTCCACAAGGGCTTCCCCAGCGGCCTTCCCTGGTGAGGGTTTGGGGTTGAACCGCTGAGTAAATGGGGTGGCAGAGGTCGTGGAGGGTTGCGGGGTGCCAGGACCTCTCATTGCCTTTACCTACAGCCTTCTAAGTACTGTATCCATCCAGGGCCAGCCCCATCTCAGGATTGGCGCTGCACCTTAACCAGAAGCCAAACGTTCTCAGGGTGCCCAGGGCTATGGAGACACGTGCTAACAAAATACGTTCGAGTCAGTATTGGTGAACACACATTCAGTGTGTCAGTTAATTAATTTACAGGAGGGATATTTTATAAATGCTTGAATGGCTATAAATCTCAACTCCCACTAAGACTGTAGTTTTCTAAAGTCAGGTTACATCTAATTACAACCAGAAGGGGCTCGGTGAACTCAGAAGCTGCACCAGGGCTGAAGAGTTTGGTGATGTGAGAAGTGGAGTGTTACCACCTTCGGTTTGTGGGGCTCACCCACAGCCAAGGACGAGGACACTTCTGCATCCCCTGGACACGGGGCTGTGTCTCCGCAGCCCCACTGGAAGCTGCTATTTTTGCAAGCTCTGACCTCTCCACCAATACCCCCTCCTCCTCCTGCCAACACATTCGGTCTAGATGTGCTGATAAGGCTGGTTGTGCCACAGCCAAGAGCCAGTGCCAGGAGACAGCCTGTCTCTTCCCGGTGTGTGCTAATCTAATCAGGCCCACCCTCCCAGGGCGAGGTTCTCCACGCCGCACAGCGCCGCGCACAGGGAGGAGCTTGCCCGCCAGGCTCCTGAGCTGGGCCACGCCTTTTCCGCTACGGGCCACGCCCCTCGAGCCACAGACCACGCCTCCTCCCTCTCGGGGCCAAGCTTCCGCGCTGCCCTCCTTTCCAGGCCCCGCCCCTGATTGCCGCCGCTTCGCAAAGCCCTCCGTCTCCCGGGAGCTGCTTCTCCCCACACTCCGCCCCTGCGCCTCCCCGAGCTTCAGCCTCTCCTGTAAAGAGCAGAGATGGAGAGGAAGCGACAGTCACAACTTCCGGTTAGCGTGGCGGAGGCTCTCGGAGTCTTTGGGACCTCAGCACCGGGATACCGGGAGACTCCCTCGTGTCCCCATGTGGGCCACCTACCAGACAGAAGAGGTAAAAGTCGGGGACGCGGGCTCTCGGCAGTCACAAGGAGTGGAGGCGCTCTTGCACCTGACTCCCCCACACCTCCCAGCTCGGATTTCCAAGGCCTGAGAGCCTCCGTTTGAGGACTGCCGTTTCAGGCCTCTGCTGGCCCCCTTTCGTCTCTCTAGGGCTCCCTCAGCTACCCTGGGGGGGTCACCAACCTAGGTAGAATGTGAGGTCCACCCTGTGGAGCCATCTCCTCTGCCTAGCCCTGTGGCGCTGGTTGGTTTTTTGTTTTGTTTTGTTTTGTTTTTTTGTTTTTTTGTTTTTTTTGCGAAAATAGCTGTGTAGGGTCAGTTGATAACAGGAGCTGCTTCGACCAGATGTCCATACCCAAGACTGGCCCTCCAGGGGCAGCCGCCCTTCCCTTCACATAGCTGAATCTTTTACTTCTAGGTTTAGATCAGATGGTTGTTTTTCCAAGAATTCACCTGTAGTCATCCTTCCCAGAAGTGGCTTCTTTTTCTGATTGCCATATCCCTTCGTGTTTAGTATAGCACTTAACCTAGATTGCTTTTGAATTCTTGGAACCTGCAATTATTGTCTCTGCCACATGGGCAGCCCCTGAGGGCTCACAGTGCCTCAGGTTCATCTTCGCCTCCCCCAAGTTGCCTAGCAGGCGGTAAGCACTCAATAAACATTTGCTGAATAACTGAGTAAATACAGGCACACCCTCAGAGATACTGCAGGTTCTGTTCCAGACCATTGCTGTAAAGCAAATATCATGAAGTGAGTCACAAATTTTTTGGTTTCCCAAGATATATAAAAGTTATGTTTATACTACATTGTAGTCTATTAATTGTCCAATAACATTATGTCTATAAAATATACATACCTTAATTGAAAATACTGTATTGCTGAAAGTGCTAACAATCATCTGAGCCTTCAGTGAGTCATGATCTTTTTGCTGGTGGAGGGTCTTGCCTCAGTGTTGATGGCTGCTGGCTGATCAGGGTGGTGGTTGCTGAAAGCTGTGGCAGTTTAAGACAACAATGAAATTTATTACTTTGGCTATTCCTTTCATGAAAGATTTCTCTGTAGCATTGGATGCTGTTTGATAGCATTTTACCCAGAGTAGAACTTCTTCCAAAATTGAAGTCAGTCCTCTCAAACCCTGCCACTGCTTTATCAACTAAGTTTATGTAATCTTCTAAATCCTTTGTTGTCATTGCAACAATGTTCACAACATCCTCACCAGGAGTAGATTCCATCTCAAGAAACCACTCTTTGCTCATCCATAGGAAGCAACTCCTCATTCATTCAAGTTTAATCATGAGATTCCAGAAATTCAGGGAAATCTTCAAGTTTCACTTCTAGTTCTGTTGCTATTCCCACCACATCTGCAATGACTTGAACCCCTCAAAGTCATCCATGAGGGCTGGAATCCACATCTTCCAAACTCCTCTTGGTGTTGATATTTTGACCTCCTCCTATAAATCATGAATGTTCTTACTGACATCTAGAATGACATCTAGTCCTTTCCAGAATGTTTTCAGTTTACTTTGCCCAGATCCGTAAAAATAATCACTGTCTATGGCAGCTACAGCCTTGTGAAATGTATTTCTTAAATAATAAAACTTGAAAGTCAGTTTCTCCTTGATCTATGGGCTGTAGAATGGATGTTGTGTTAGCAGACATGAAAACAACATTCATCTCTTTGTACATATCCATTAGAGCTCTTGAGTGACCAGGTACATTGAAAATGAGCAGTAACATTTTGAAAGGAATGTTTTTTCTGAGCAGAAGGTCTCAACTGTGGGTTAAAAATATTCAGTTTTGTAAACGTGTTGACACCCAGGTTTTATTGTTGGATTTTTTGAGCATAGGCGGAGTAGATTAGCAGAATTCTTAAGGGCCCTGGGATTTTCAAAATGGTGGGTGAGCATTGGCTTCAACTTAAAGTCAGCAGCTGCAATTAGCCCCTAGCAAGAGAGTCAGCCTGTCATTTGAAGCTCCGAAGCCAGACAATGACTTCTTCTCTTTTGCTATGAAAGTCCGACATGGCCTCTTCTTCCATTAGAAAAGACTTCTTCCAAAGTCTACTCTGAAAACCTGTTGTTTAGTGTAACCACCTTCATCAGTGATTTTAGCGGGATCTTCTGGATAACTTGCTGCAGCTTCTCCATCAGCACTTGCTGCTTCACCTTGCACTTTTATGTTATGGAAATGGCTTCGTTGCTTAAACCTCATGAACCAATCTCTCCTATCTTCTAACTTTTCTTCTGCAGCTGCCCTAACTCTTTCAGCCTTCACAGAATTGAAGAGAGTCAGGATTTTACTCCAGATTAAACTTTGACTTAAGGGAACGTTATGGCTGGTTTGATATTCTATCAATATCAGCAGTAAGGCTGTTGGACTTTCTTATCATTCCCCAGAGTAGCACTTTTAATTTCCTACTAAAACTTTTTCTTTGCATTCACAATTGGGCTAACTGGTAGAAAAGGCCTAACTTTGGGCCTATAAAAATCTTTTGCACATCAATCATTTGACCTGCCTCCCTCACTAAGCTTAATCATTTCTGGTTTTTCATTTACCATGAGAGATGGGCGACTCTTCCTTTCACTTAAACCCTTAGAGGCCATTGGAGGGCTACTAACTGGCCTAATGTTGATATTGTTGTGTCTCAGGGAATAGGGAGGCCCAAGGAGAGGGAGAGATACAGGGTTAAGGGTCAGTTGGTAGATCAGTCAGAGGACACACAACATTTGTACGATAAGTTTGCCATCTTATATGGGTGCTATTCCTGGTGCCCCAGAGTGATAATAATAGTAATATCAAATATCACTGATTATAGGTCACCATAACCAATATAAAAGTAATGAAATACTAAGATTGAAATCTTGTGAAAATTACCAAAATATGACCCAGAGACATGAAGTGAGCATATGCTGTTGGAAAAACAGTGTTGTTCAACTTACATGCTCAACGCTGGGTTGCCACAAACCTTCAAATTGTTAAAAATGCAGTATCTGTGAAGCACAGTAAAGTAAGGCAGGCGTGTATCTAATGATACAGATAGTTTCTTGTGCAGCCTGGGGGTCTGGCAAAAGAGGGAACGTTAGCAACTCAATTGGTGGAGGACGCGGGCTGCTTCTGTAAACGATATCAACAGTCTGTCTCATTTGGTGTCTACTGCTACCTCCCCAGCCCCTTGTCAGCCAGCAGGAACCATAGCAACAGGGATCCACCCTGCCGCAGAGTGGCCAGCTTGGCTGTTCTTTGAGAAGCTCCACCCTTCCCAGTCATTTCTTATTTTTGTACCCAGACGTCACCTGAGTCCACCTCGAGCATTAAGGTTAAAGAACAAAGGCTTAATTTCCATTTCATGTTCTGTGAGGAATCCAGTGTCCCCTCTGCTATTCCTTTAATCCTTGGAGCTTTTAAAGTCTCAAAGTATCTTCTGTTTCTGCAGACAGGCTTGGAATTCAAAACTCTGACAGACTCTCCATCCCATGCAAATTCCATCTCTTTGTGACTGTGCTCTTCTCTTTGGTTCATGCCACATCATTGCAAAGGTAAAAATTGGTGACTTCCCTGGGATGTATGGGATGCATTGAAGAAAAGGATACTTTTACAAAGCTTCTTTCTATAGCAGCTGTGCTAAATGTTTGGCGATGGGTTGGGTGTGGAAGGAGGAGTTGGTGGTGCCGGGGTTCTGATTACTGCCCTGAAGAACCCCCCTGCATGACCTGACTCTCCATGCTCAGAGACATCCTTTCAAAGCCCCACCCTGCCAAGCTCACTCCACTTTATTGTGAGGAACTGTTTAGCTCCCATCCCTTGGAGCTTCCACATTGAGAGCCAGGCCCTGAAAGGAGGTGGCCCGAACTTCAAGTTCCACTATCCCGGGTTACTAGTGTTTGAGGGAGTGGAGGGAGTGGATGAGGAGCGAGTTACTTCAGCTCTTCAATTTTTGTTACTTCATCGATATAGGATAATAATTATAATACCTGCCTCCTAGTTAAATGAGGTTCTAGGTAGCACAGGGCGTGGAGTTTGCTGAAGGATCACTCACACAAGCGGCTGCCCGCTGTTCCTGGCTCAGTGCTCACCACTGCACGTCACAAGGAGCGGCACCATGGCTCCCGTAACAGGAAAACCCTGCATTTGCTACTCCCGGCTGCACGAGAGTGGAGGGAGGCTTGGACCTTTCCACCACCCCCTTCCCTTTGTTGCCAGCTAGTAAGTATCCCAGAAAAAAAGGAGGACACTGATTTGTGCCCCCACTGATGTGATAGTCCTTGCCATACATGGCTGATCACATGCAGCGGGTTTGGATTTTCATACTGTTTTTTCCCTCTTGCTGTTACCTAAGCTCTTACCCACTAGTCTACTCAAGTCACCTCAGCAGACACCCAAGACCCAAACTGAGAGGCGCTGCTGGTGGTGCGGAGAGCGACACAGTCCAAAATAAGACGCGGAGCCCGAGCTGTCAGGCTGTGAGTGACAGCCGGGCTCCTAGGGCTGACTGACAAGTTCTCTCCCTTCTTGTGGCAAGCCATGTGCGAGCCCATCCGGAGGGACTCTGAGAAGGGCGCTAGACATCGCGACTCAGGCGTAAGCATGCGGGGTTAGGAGTAAAGAAAGAAACAAGTGAAACTTCTATTTCAATACGAGTGTAACATGGAGGGTGATAGTAGAGAAACTCTGTGGTCGCCACCACTAACACATCCTCCTTTTGTTGTGAAACCACAACTTTGCACGCCTCAGTTCCAGCGCACCGCCCACACCAGCGAAAGGTAATGGTGATGAAGGGGCGGAATATGCCCTGTGAAGGTGCATTCTCATCCTGATGTTCTGCATCAGCCCAGTGTCCGAGAACCTTTCAGGCCTTTGCTTTACCCACCACTCAGCACTGTCCACTCCTCGGAGGCCTCTGCACACCATCCCTTCTACCCCTTGAACTCACCATTGCTACGCTAGTTTTCCTCACAGGCGGCTTTGTGTTTTAAACTGGAGGTTTTATTATTATTTAGGTCAGGCAAGGCCGACAGATCAGGACACAACTGCCATTGAGAGGAGAGTGTGTTCCTTCCAGTTCTGGAGCAGCAGGGAGCCACACCATGCCATGGGGGCTGCTCAGGGAGTGCCAGGGTGGGTCAGGCAGCAGAGGGAGGGGAAATGCCTTTATTGTGGTTGCTGGGAAGGAATGGGTGACACGGGGTGTGCAGGCTCAGAATTGGCTGGTTTAAATAATTTCAGGCCCTTGGGGCACAGGGGCTGTCTTTAGTTGTCCATTACCTGGACCTGGGGCAGTTTAAGCGGGTGATAGGGACCCCAGAATGTGCAAGCTCAGTAAAAGAGGTGATTGGAGTCTAAGCCGCTGAAATCTATGCTCTATGAATTTATGGCATAATAGGTATAAAAAATAAAAGACCTCTGGACTGTAAAAACAAACAAACAAACAAAAGAGATGGTTGGGGTGTGGGTTCTGGACTGGTTGGTTTGCATGTGAAAAGTACACTCCTAGGAGAGTTGCTAGCCGTCTCTCGGAATTAGCCAGCCCTGGAAGGGGCCCTCCCTCCAAGGTCCACAGGGTCGCAGATCAAAGCATCAGAACACAGAAATAAAAGGCACGGTTAATACTCCTGGTCATGGCTCTCTGCTCCATGGAAACTATCAGTGGCTTTCATTGGCTGCGAAGGTGGCATTCTAGTTTCCACCTTGTGGTCACTGCCCTGGGGTCTAGCCTGACTCATCGCTCTGCTCTCTTTTACCCATAAACCCAGCATTCCAGCAAAACTGCACTCCACAGGCTTTTCCATCAGACCCTTAAGAGCAACACTCCATGTGTTTTTCGATGTGCTGTACCTGCTGTCTACCTAGCCGAGGGTTATCTTTAGTGTCACCTGCTCTGCGAGAATCTTTAATTGGTGGTGGTGGTGAGGGCCCCCACAGGTTATTACTAGGCACAGAGCTGTGCCCACAAAAGTGTCTGGGAAAAAAAATGCCTGCTTCTTTTCATCTGCTTAAATGCTGCCTCTCCTTTAACTTGAAGACAAGGCCTCTCCAAAGACTGTCCAGCCCATTTGGACTTTCTTGCCTTTCCTTCCACTCTTAATTTTTATGGGACTCAAAGCTTAAAAACGTATTTTGTTTACAGTGATATAGTACAAGCTGGTTTTGTTTCCCCTTCTTGTGGCAAGCATCTGAAGACAAATCGATGTCCTCTATCAGTCCCTAAGCCTCTATATTCCAACACTATTGAGAGCAGCAATAAACAGCCATCAGTTTAGCAACACCGTGAATTGCCCTGCAAGAAGCAAAAAGAATACTGGAGGGGTTGTCAGGAGGCCTGTGTCGAGACTGGATTCTTCAACCGATTTGCTCTCCATCTCTCGCTGTCCACAAGTGAGGATGTTTGCAGACATGATCTTAAAGTGTGTGAACTCAGAAAGCTGCTTTTGCAGAATGGCAGCGATTTTTTCCCCTCCGTGGTTGGATAATTTACCTCCTAACCTTTGATGTTTTCAGCTTGTATCTTTCCACAGAAGGGTGCAAAATGTCCTGTGAATATCACTAGATTTTTAGACTTGGTCATTCTAGAACTGAGTAGTGATGATTGTCCCCAACAAAAAGAGAATTTCTTTTGTTCTGCCATGTCTAGCCTCTGATTTGTCTTTTTTCCCACTTTGTTCTCGATAAACTAACTGCTTTGGCAAAACGAAAGCAGAACCATCACGTGGATATTTGGTAATTTTGTGGGCAAGCCTGTGGACAACACCATGGCCCTGTCTGTCTCCCACCTCCCATATCCTGCTTGGACCTTAGGTTCCCATTTTCCTCAGGTGAATATGTCATCATCTCCGGGTGATTTTATGGTCCAGTTAATGTAGAAATGGCCACGGCAAGCTGGAGGAAAAAGGAAATACAATAGGTAGGGCATGGAGACCTCCCACAGTCCCTTGTGTCTCCAGAGGATGTTTATGGAAGGTTTGTATTTATAGCCCTCATGGAGGGCAGAACCAGAGGAAAGTGGCTCAAATTGCAGAGAGAGTTTGTAGATAGAGCTCATCTGTTGTAGGTTGTTAAAGCACCTGTCTGCCTGGTGGGAAAGAGAACATCCATGGGAACAATCTAGTTCCCCGCCAGCAACCTGATTTTACGATGACTTTTTCCCGTTTATTTCTATGCTGTTATCTGTTAAATGCCAGTTTGTCTAGTCTGCTTCTTAACCTAAGTAAAACAGAGGACATCTATACGTGACACACACAGACTCATGTACCTATTAAAACTGGTATTTGCATTCACAAGAAAGCAGCCATTGCTTCCCATTCTGCATAAAAATGGCATCCGTTTCTCCTGGTTATTCACTGTAGAGCCTAGATTGCAACCTGAATTTGGCTGGTCGTGGAGGAAATACACCTGTGGCTGGGTACAAACTAACTTTCTTTCTTTTCTTTTCCCCCCAGGATTATACCTTAACCATGTATTTTCAACAATATTGGAGAGATAAAAGGCTCGCCTATTCTGGGATCCCTCTCAACCTCACGCTTGACAATCGAGTGGCTGACCAGCTATGGGTGCCCGACACATATTTCTTAAATGACAAAAAGTCATTTGTGCATGGAGTGACAGTGAAAAACCGCATGATCCGTCTTCACCCTGATGGGACAGTGCTGTATGGGCTCAGGTCTGTGTGCCTCTTCAGGACCAATTTTGCTGTTGCATGGTGCATGGGTGTTGAATATCTCACTTGAGATGATTATTGTAAGTGAGGCAATGACCTCAGATAAATTAGGAAGCATCTATGAAGCACTAAAGCTTTGCAGAAAAAAAAATCTCATAACCATAAAATTTGGGGCATTACTGTTACTGTAAATAGTCACAAGCAGTTGAAAAACAGCCACCTTTGGATCAATTGTATATAATTGGATTGCCATGTCTAAGAACACAGATTCCCTCAGGATGGATTTTCCATATCATAGCCACAGAGGCCTGTAATTAATATCGCCCTGACACTGCAGTGGCTTCAGTGAAGTTTTTTTCAAAGCTGTCTGCACAGTTGAAAAAAAAATGTCTGTTGCGCAGATTGTAGGGTTTACTCTCTACGGAGCTTTATTGAGGTAGTGCCACGAATATTTATGGGAATGACTAAGTGAGAGATTTCCTGATGAGAAACATCTCTCTCCAGCTCTCATAATATAATCACTCAAATCAGGAAACCAGGCTGCCTTCCTGAGTCCCAGTGAGGAGGCCCTGGGCTTCCCTGGTTGCCCTGGAAACCGCCAGGCCTTTCCATAGAGCTCCATCCCAGCTGGTGGTCAATTATTTTGAATATCACCTTGCTAAATGGTGCTCTTAAAAACCTTCTGTCTCTTGCATAGATTTTTGCCTGATTTTTGGGTTGTTTTATTTAGAACAGTATTTTGTGTGTATGTGTGTCTGTTTCTTGCTCTCCTGGCCTAAAAGTGCCCTTGAGACCCTCTAGCAGTGGCTCTCAGTGTTGAGTGGGACACATGTGGATAGCTTAGAGAAAAGATGTATCTGAAAGTGTTGTGAGCCCAGAGGCTTTGAACTAAGACTTTAACAGCTATAAGCGAAATCATAACAGTATATATTTAAATCCACATCCCTGGGACTTTCATGCCTCAAGACGGGTAGAGTGAATGATTTAACATAGCCTCAAATAGAACATGTGAGTGACTTTCTCAGAACCGCAGTATAGAGAGCAGAATTTGGGATTTTAGCAAAATCAGATGTTTTTAGTGTTAAGTGGCACATGTCAACCAAGCCATCGTGTTCCTTCAAAAAGAGTCTATCCTGGAGTTTCTTTGGGAAGTTTTCAGCATTTTATGTTTTTGCCTGAAAATGAGACCTGTGGTTGTAAAGCTCCGGAGGTTCAGGTTCTGATAAGTGCATCAGCTATACAAAAGACTATTCAGAAGTCCTGGGAATGTAGAATGAGGAGCCATTTACCTGCCCCCACACCCAAAAAAACTAAAGTGAAAGAAGCTGATATGTGAGTTTGTGTCTGTGGGTGTGTGTTGAGTTTTGGGTGTGTGCGGTATGTGATGTGTGTGGTGTGTGTTGGGTTTGTGTGTGTGGTATGTGTTGTGTTGGTGTGCATTGTGGATGTGTGTGTGGTGTGTGTTTTGTGTGGTAATGTGTGTGTTGTAGGTGTGTGCACATGTGTGTGTGATGGGGAAGAGCAAAAAAGCAAATATCAACAAAAATTAATCTAGGAATTTTTGGCTTTTTAAACAAAACATGCTATTTCAGTTTTCTCCACTTTTATTTTTGCATTCTTTATTTTTTATTTATTTATTTTTATTATTATTATACTTTAAGTTTTAGGGTACATGTGCATAATGTGCAGGTTAGTTACATATGTATACATGTGCCATGCTAGTGCGCTGCACCCACTAACTCGTCATCTAGCATTAGGTATATATCCCAATGCTATCCCTCCCCCCTCCCCCCACCCCACAACAGTCCCCAGAGTGTGAAGTTCCCCTTCCTGTGTCCATGTGTTCTCATTGTTCAATTTCCACCTGTGAGTAAGAATATGCGGTGTTTGGTTTTTTGTTCTTGCAGTAGTTTACTGAGAATGATGATTTCCAATTTCATCCATGTCCCTACAAAGGACATGAACTCATCATTTTTTATGGCTGCATAGTATTCCATGGTGTATATGTGCCACATTTTCTTAATCCAGTCTATCATGGTTGGACATTTGGGTTGGTTCCAAGTCTTTGCTATTGTGAATAGTGCCACAATAAACATACGTGTGCATGTGTCTTTATAGCAGCATGATTTATAGTCCTTTGGGTATATATCCAGTAATGGGATGGCTGGGTCAAATGGTATTTCTAGTTCTAGATCCCTGAGGAATCTCCACAGTGACTTCCACAATGGTTGAACTAGTTTACAGTCCCACCAACAGTGTAAAAGTGTTCCTATTTCTCCACATCCTCTCCAGCACCTGTTGTTTCCTGACTTTTGAATGATTGCCATTCTAACTGGTGTGAGATGGTATCTCATTGTGGTTTTGATTTGCATTTCTCTGATGGCCAGTGATGGTGAGCATTTTTTCATGTGTTTTTTGGCTGCATAAATGTCTTCTTTTGAGAAGTGTCTGTTCATGTCCTTCGCCCACTTTTTGATGGGATTGTTTGTTTTTTTCTTGTAAATTTGTTTGAGTTCATTGTGGATTCTGGATATTAGCCCTTTGTCAGATGAGTAGGTTGCAAAAATTTTCTCCCATTTTGTAGGTTGCCTGTTCACTCTGATGGTAGTTTCTTTTGCTATGCAGAAGCTCTTTAGTTTAATTAGATCCCATTTGTCAATTTTGGCTGTTGTTGCCATTGTTTTTGGTGTTTTAGACATGAAGTCCTTGCCCATGCCTATGTCCTAAATGGTATTGCCTAGGTTTTCTTCTAGGGTTTTTATGGTTTTTAGGTCTAACGTTTAAGTCTTTAATCCATCTTGAATTGATTTTTGTATAAGGTGTAAGGAAGGGATCCAGTTTCAGCTTTCTACATATGGCTAGCCAGTTTTCCCAGCACCATTTATGAAATAGGGAATCCTTTCCCCATTGCTTGTTTTTCTCAGGTTTGTCAAAGATCAGATAGTTGTAGATATGTGGCGTTATTTCTGAGGGCTCTGTTCTGTTCCATTGATCTATATCTCTGTTTTGGTACCAGTACCATGCTGTTTTGGTTACTGTAGCCTTGTAGTATAGTTTGAAGTCAGGTAGCGTGATGCCTCCAGCTTTGTTCTTTTGGCTTAGGATTGACTTGGCGATGTGGGCTCTTTTTTGGTTCCGTATGAACTTTAAAGTAGTTTTTTCCAATTCTGTGAAGAAAGTCATTGGTAGCTTGATGGGGATGGCATTGAATCTATAAATTACCTTGGGCAGTATGGCCATTTTCATGATACTGATTCTTCCTGCCCATGAGCATGGAATGTTCTTCCATTTCTTTGTATCCTCTTTTATTTCATTGAGCAGTGGTTTGTAGTTCTCCTTGAAGAGGTCCTTCACATCCCTTGTAAGTTGGATTCCTAGGTGTTTTATTCTCTTTGAAGCAATTGTGAATGGGAGTTCACTCATGATTTGGCTCTCTGTTTGTCTGTTATTGGTGTATAAGAATGCTTGTGATTTTTGTACATTGATTTTGTATCCTGAGACTTTGCTGAAGTTGCTTATCAGCTTAAGGAGATTTTGGGCTGAGACAGTGGGGTTTTCTAGATATATAATCATGTCGTCTGCAAACAGGGACAATTTGACTTCCTCTTTTCCTAATTGAATACCCTTTATTTCCTTCTCCTGCCTAATTGCCCTGGCCAGAACTTCCAACACTATGTTGAATAGGAGTGGTGAGAGAGGGCATCCCTGTCTTGTGCCAGTTTTCAAAGGGAATGCTTCCAGTTTTTGCCCATTCAGTATGATATTGGCTGTGGGCTTGTGATAGATAGCTCTTATTATTTTGAGATACGTCCCATCAATACCTAATTTATTGAGAGTTTTTAGCATGAAGCATTGTTGAATTTTGTCAAAGGGCTTTTCTGCATCTATTGAGATAATCATGTGGTTTTTTTCTTTGGTTCTGTTTATATGCTGGATTACATTTATTGATTTGCATATATTGAACCAGCCTTGCATCCCAGGGATGAACCCCACTTTATCATGTTGGATAAGCTTTTTGATGGGCTGCTGGATTCGGATGATGGGCTGCTGGATTCGGATCCTGGTATCAGGATGATGCTGGTCTCATAAAATGAGTTAGGGAGGATTCCCTCTTTTTCTATTGATTGGAATAGTTTCAGAAGGAATGGTACCAGTTCCTCCTTGTACCTCTGGTAGAATTCGGCTGTGAATCCATCTGGTGCTGGACTCTTTTTGGTTGGTAAGCTATTGATTATTGCCACAATTTCAGCTCCTGTTATTGGTCTATTCAGAGATTCAACTTCTTCCTGGTTTAGTCTTGGGAGAGTGTATGTGTCGATGGATAAATTCCTCGACACATACACTTTTTGTTTTTTTTTTTAACAGAAGTAGAGTATGTCAGTCTGTCTCTGTATGTCTTTGTTAAAAGCAAAGAGCTTTAACTCTGTTAAAATAGAATTATGTAATACATAAAAAAGCTCTGTAATAAATTCCACAACTGTTTGAAAATGTTGGATTTTAGGTAAGAGTAAGATCAACCAAGAAAATAAAAATTGCTTGGTCTGTAACTTCATATGTAAATGTTAAATAATAATGTAATAATAAGCCTTTAGTAGTAAACTTTATATAATAACCTAAAAAAGCATTAGTCAAATTTATATCCATCATGCCTCTCAAACAGCCTCTTAAATCAATAAATGGATTTTTAAGTAAGTAGCTGGTTTTTTTTTTTTTCAAGTGTAGTATAGGTATACTCCTTAGCTCTTTATTTAGAGCATCAGATTTTTGAAACACTTCTTCAGAGTTATATGGACCTGGATAAGCTGTCATAAAGAAAACCTCCAAAGTGCAGACTGACCACCACATTCTTCATGTGTTTAGCAGCTAAACTTACATCATCTGCTCATTAGAAATTGGCTATTCTAGAAATTTCTGCCTTGATATTTAAAAAACATGTAGCTCTAGAGATTGATTTGAACTACTGGACAAAAGAGCAAATTAATAAGTCTCAACCCTGATCATTAAACTCATATACGCATATTCTTTGCTATCCTATATAAACTTCAGTACCATTTGTATATTTTACACGTGACTTTTGATAAAAACAAGGTGTGAGTGCTCACATGGCTCAGCCACCCTCCATCCTCTCCTTGGCCCCAAGGCCCACCTTCCCTCCCGTGTCTTTTTACTGTTGCACTGGCTGGATGGTGACATGGCAGGCCCGGAGTGGGCCAGTGTGTGTAACCCAACAATGCATTGCATCTTTTTGGTAAATAGGTACTATGGCCCTGGCCTGGAGGAGGTCTGGCACAGCTGAGAACACTGAAGTTAAATTCCCCATGGTGGAAGGTTTGCAGAGAGCTGGGGTTGTTCCTGCTGTTCCTGCTTGTAAAGTACTGCTGAGGAAGGTCCTGCCCAGCAGAGATTGCTTTCCTACTGATTATGTGCTTGAAATACTGGTTGGACTGGCTGTATCACTGAGACCTTCAGACTGAATTTCTCTCACCCCTGGACACTGAGATTGGCTCTCACCTTGTCTATCCAGCAGTAGCCTACACTGGTAGGTCAGTCGCCACTTAGCTCCTCTACGCTTCTTTTGTTATTCATGCCCAGCCATTATGGGAACAGCATCAGTGGGCTTTTGCTTTATCTAGGCTAGATGAAGACCTTTGGCTGTAGATGAGCTGTCCGTGACGTAGGTTTGTACGTCAACTCAGCCTTATTCTGGGAAATCATTAATCCTTAACTCTGATGACTGTGCAAAAGTAGTCACTGACCACTCACGCAGATGCTTGAGAGTGATCACATTCTTGTAGTGATAAAAGGTTGTTTTAAATCATGAGCCATTTTTCCCATGACTCTTGTAGCCCCTTGAGCTTGAAACTTGGGGTAACACTAGCTTGCTCTTCTTACCAGCTTGAGCTCAGCTGAATATGACGGTGAACTGAGATCCCTGCACCAGCTTGTCAGCATGTGATGGGAGAGAATGCTCTGGACAGGGTATGCATGCCATCCTAAAATAAAACATAAATCCTTGACAATTTCCTTTGGACAGTCAAACCATTTAAGGAACTAGGAAGATCTTGGCTGACTAAGAGACTAATGGTCCTTTGTCCTGTCCCAGTCACAGCTTTTCTGTTTTCTTTGATGCTGCACTGAAGTTTTCTTCTATTTGTAAAAAGGCAGAGTTATCATCCCTTTTCCTAACTTTCTTTTTCAGTCTCTTGGCCCTCGGATGTCATTGAATGTCTCACCTTGCATCATTAAGCATACTTTGTAATGTGGTCTTTTCTTCATGCCATACATGTTGTATCTTCTTATCATTTCTCTGATGCTATGAGTTGGCGAGGGGGGGGTTCACAAAATAGTATTCACTTTGCTCCAAAAAGCACCTGGGAATCTGAGGCTGAGTC
This sequence comes from Homo sapiens, assembly GCF_000001405.40. Lineage (NCBI taxonomy): Eukaryota > Metazoa > Chordata > Mammalia > Primates > Hominidae > Homo > Homo sapiens. The sequence continues at coordinate 26,614,924 of NC_000015.10, read as the reverse complement.
ATCAAAGCAACATCCATATTTTGCCTGAGAAGTGTATTGCAAAACCTGTTGGACAGTACATTATAAAGTTCCCACTTGTGGCTAAAAATTGCTTTAAGTTGGCAAAATTGCCATTTCTATACTTAAAGATTGAAAGCAATATTAAAATGAAGCCAGAACTTATATCAGAAGATTCAAATTAAATCATCGAATTCGTTTGACTAGCATCTTATTCTGAAACTGTTTTATATGGTGGTTCTGTTAAAATACTTTTCTCCTCAGAAAAGATATCAACTCACAGAGGTATTAGGTCTCGTGTGATTTTTATGCAGCCGTCCCTAACTCCCAAACCCTTGTTTTGTCACCATCTCCCAAATTATGCAACTAAAAAGCATATTGATAAATTTCTTACCAGATGGGATTATGCCAATTTACACTCCCACCAGCAATAAAGTATATATTAGCTTTAGGATTGTGATGCCTGCTTTGGAATTTATTATCACTCAGGCTACTGCAAGTAATCTATCCATTTTCTTCATCTCTCAAAGCTGGTGAAGATTGCCTGACTCACTTTAAATTCTGGCTTATACACTTCTCTGCTCCCCACCCCCAGCATGTTTTATCCTTCCCCTCCTTATAAGGACTCTTCTCACCTTCTCTGCAAACTCTCCCCTCACTTGGATTTAATGAGGTTACTTCAAACTTTAGTTGGAAACACAGAAACTTCATCTTTGCGTTACAAAGAGCCCACCTGAGCTATCTGTTGGCTCATTCTTTGCCTCCCCTATCAAAATGGGGAGCAGCTTGGCATCCTGACCATTTCCAAAATGAGCTTCACCTTGGCACCCTGTCACTACTGGAGGACTTGGCTCCTGCAGTCCTGACCTTGCCCTTTCTGCTACTTTCCTCCTCCCTCATCATGCTTCCAGTACACACACTTTCCTTCTGCTCTTCAGAAACATCAGGCATGCCCCTGTCCTAGGGCCTTTGCACATGCCCTTGCTGTATATGGCTGCACTGTGTCTAGATGGTTATGTGTTGAGCATCATTAGAAGGTAATTAGGTAACTAAGGATTGCTCAGCTGTCACACTGATAGGGAGAGCCCTTCTCTGATCATTCATTCACTTTCTATTACATTACCTTTCTGGGTTGTTATCATAGCACTTATCCAGAGCTGACATTATCTTGTCAGTTTATTGCATTTCTTACTTATTGACTCACTATTCCCATCCATGATGACGGGGAAGCCACTATGAGAATATAAACTCTTTGAGAAAAGAATGGTTTCTGTCTTGTTCATTATTCCATCCCCAAATTCTAGAGTAGTGCTTCATGGAAAAAAAAAAGTATGGCATGAGAGTTAACTTTGAATTCCATTTAGCCTTTCCATAGTACTTATATTTTCATATTTTCCATTTAGGTGTTCAATCCCTTGGAATTTATCTTGGTGTAGGATGTGATGTAGCTATCCACATTTTTGTTTCCTTCCTTCCTTCCTTCTTTCTTTTTCTTTCTTTCCTTCTTTCTTTCTTTTGAGATGGAGTCTCGCTCTGTTGCCCAGGCTGGAGTACAGTGGCGTGATCTCAGCTCACCACAACCTCCACCTCCCAGGTTCAAGCAATTCTCCTGCCTCAGCCTCCCGAGTAGCTGGGACTACAGGTGTGCACTACCATGTCTGACTAATTTTTGTATTTTTAGTAGAGATGGGGTTTCACTATGTTGACCAGGCTGCTCTCGAACTCCTGACCCCGTGATCTGCCCGCCTCAGCCTCCCAAAGTGCTGGGATTACAGGCATGAGCCACTGCACCCAGCCTGTTTGTTTCTTTTGAGACAGGGTCTTGCTCTGTTGCTCAGACTGGAGTACAGTGGCACAATCATGGTTCATTGTTACTTCCAACTCCCAGGCTCTAATGATCCTCCTGCCTCAGCCTCCTGAGTAGCTGTGACTGAAGGTGCAGGCCCCCACAACCAGCTATTTTTTTTGTGTGTGTGTGTGAAGATGGGGTTTTATTATGTTGCCCAGACTGGTCTCAAACTTCTAGCTTCAAGCAGTCCTCCAGCCTTGGACTCCCAAAATGCTGGGATTATAGGCATGAGCCACCATGCCATGTCCAATTTTTTGTTCTTACATGCTTAGCTATTTGTCCTAATAGTTACCAGTTTATTCTTCCACATTAACTTTAGAATCATTTATTTTATCAAATTCCTAAAAGTATAGCTTGTGTTGTTTGTTGAAATTATGCACATGTAGCACTACTTTGGCAAGAGCAAAAGATATACTATATTCAATGTTTCTTGCGTGAACATGGCATGTCCTCATTCATGTCTTTGTTTATGGCTTTTAGTAAAGTTTTGTCATTTACTCCACTGACTGCTAAACTTTCCATTTTTAACTTAACATTTCTTGCTAAACTTACTCCACTTTTTGAAAGTGTGATGCTCTTAGAAGTGGAATCATTGCTCCATTATTTTTCTAGCTGGCTTTCCCCGGTATGTGGGAAGGCTCATGGTCAATTTGTATATAACTACCTTTAAGTATGCATCTATCAAAAATTATATCTAGTCAGTCTGATGTTTCATTATTTTCAACAGTTTAGTTAATCCTGATTATTTTAGTCTTACAATCATATTGCTTATAATGATGATTTTTAATCTTCATTTTCAATTGTTTTTATTCTTATTTCTGTTTTATTGTATTTCCACCTTCCAGAACAATGATAACCAGTGATAACAGTGTTAATATCAGCACATTTTTCATTGCAATGGGTGCTTCTTGTGGCCCACCATGAAGGATGAGCTGCACTTTTAGTTTAATGTAACTATTTCTTATTCTTTTACTTCCATTGTTTTTTGTTCCTGATATATAAATTAGTATCTTTAAGTCCACCAACACCACTATGCATTTTGTGCAATTTAGAAATTACTTCAGGCATGTGACTAGTAAGCATGTTAGTGCTAATACTATCTATGCAGAGGAGCAAGTACAGTGTGAAATAAAGGAATGCGAACATTTATGTGAAATGTGTATTCATGCTAAATCTGTCTTTAGGCTTAACTCTATTAAAAAGGAATTGTCAAACTGCCAATGTGTTTCATTACAATATTTCTTATTTACTTTCATCAACGCTAAGAGCTTTAACTATGACCAATGTTAATTTAACCAACTTCTCCAATTTTCTATCTCATTTTAAAACAATTATTATCTAAACTTTTTCAACTTTCTAGTTCCTCTGCATGTGCATGAAGATAGACGTACAGAGAAACAAACAAAAAAAATTACATATGCCTTACACAGACATGCTTGGACTTTCTGTTTTTTCATACATTTTCTGTTTTTTAAGTAACCAGTCATTTTACTTTAGGACAAAAATTTAGCATAGGCCATAATTTGAAACAACTTTGAGATCAAATCTGAATTAGACAAAAGTTATTCTTTTATTCAATAAGTACACATCTTCTTTGGCGTATTTTATATACAAAATTATTCACTGCAGTTCTTATTCTTAATAATATTAAATTTTGTGAAAACCTAAGAAGCAAGAAATCCTGAACTGCCTATCAAATGTTAGCATTTTATATATGAGAACCATTCTATAATTTATAGAAATGTTTCCTCATAATTTTTATTTGACTAGAAATGACCCAGACATCCAATGAACATGAAAAGAATTTTAAGGTTTTAAATTACACAAAAAGTTCACCTACAAGGATTTATTCTATTTACATTTACTCAAGCCTTTCATTTTTTAAAGAGTTTATCTAGATTAATTCTGAGAACTGAGATATTATACAAAACTAGTTATCATTTCCAGTTACTTCCTTGTTCGCCATTTTTTAAAATAGTCTGTGAATATCAGGTGTTCACCTATGTAAGAACCTTAAGGTTAAATACATGGGTATTTTTGCCAATAACTCAGAAGATTCGGCTGTTTTCATTAAATCAACAAGCCTAAATTAGTCATTTCTCAAACAATGTCACATAAACAAAGATCATTTTGTTTTGGCTGAGTTATGATTTTATAACCTGTGCTAAATCCTGACACCTCAAAATATCTAGCAGAGACAAATATAAAACCCAGACAAAAATGTATGCTGACAATTCTGAAGACATTGCTATTTTCATCTTTTACTTTGGAACTCTAGCAATGAGATAGCAATACAAACCCACGAATTTACGAACAGGTTTACATGCTTAAAATTTGTTCTGATAGGTAATCCAGTGAACGCTGTGAACCACAGTTTTAGGTAAAGCAGTTTCCAGTTAGGCTCCAGAGATCACTGGGGCCAAACAGCACTACAGAAGATCATCACATAACTCCATCCCACTTTCCCATTTAACAGCAAAATGAGGTCCATAGAGAGCCCAAACTTCTCCAGATTCTAAAGAATACTGGGGTCAAACAGTATTATAAAAGAATATCAGCTTATCAAATTCTGATTTCCCATTACTATGTTGATACATACACAATCAACCACCAAAGCACAATCCACCTGCTGCAACAACCAACACATTTATGATCACGGAACCAAAATCTGTTACTGAAATACCAGGGGTTTGGTCTAGGTCTGGCTACAAGCCACACAGAAAGCCAGTCACTGAGATGAGTGTTGGCAAGGAAGAAGGCTTTCTCCGGGTGCTTCAGCTGAGGACATGGGAGATCAGTCTCAAATCCATCCCTTCAACCAACAAAAATTAGGGGTTTATATGCAGTTTTTGCTGTTACTTTTAATGGCAA